>NC_000017.11:23817464-24128687 GCF_000001405.40 Homo sapiens | reverse complement strand
GAACTATCAAAGGAAGGTTCAACTCTGGGATTTGAATGCAAACATCACCAAGAAGTTTCTGAGAATGCTTCTGTTTAGTTTTTATGTGAAGATATTCCCGTTTCCAAAGACATCTTCGGAGAGGTCCACATATCCACTTGCAGATTCCACAAAAAGAGAGTTTCAACACTGCTCTATCCATAGGAGGGTTCAACTCTGTGAGTTGAATGCAATCATCACAGAGAAGTTTCTGAGAAGGCTTCTCTCCAGTTTTTATGTGACCATAATTCGTTTTCCACCACAGGCCTGAAAGCGCTCCAAATGTCCACTTGCAGACACTACGAAAAGCATGTTTCAGAACTACTCTATGAAAAGCAACGTGAAACTCTGGGAGTTGAACACAAACATCACAGAGAAGTTTCTGAGAATGCTTCTGTTTTAGTTCTGTGCGTTTTATCCCGTTTCCAACGAAATCCTCAGAGAGGCCCAAATATCCACTTGCAGATTCCACAGAAAGAGTGATTGGAAACTGCTGTTTGAAAAGGAACCTTCAACTCTGTGAGTTGAATGCAATCATCACAAAGAAGTTTCTGACAATGCTTCTATCTAGCTTTTACGGGAAGTTAATTCCTTTTCCACCACAGGCTTCAAAGCCCTCCAAATGTCCACTTGCAGATTCTGGAAAAAGAGTGTTTCAAAGCTTCTCTCTCGAAAGGAAAGTTCAACTCTGTGAGTTGAATGCAAGCATCACAAAGAAGTTTCTGAGAATGCTACTGTCTAGCTTTTATATGAAGCTATTTCCTTTACTACCATAGGCCTCAAAGCGGTCCATATCTCCACTTGCAGATCCTACACAAAGAGAGTTTCCAAACTGCTCTGTCAAAGGGAATGTTCAACTCTGTGACTTGAATGCAATCATCACAAAGTAGTTTCTGAGAATGCTTCTGTTTAGTTCTGTGCGGTTTATCCCGTTTCCAACGAAATCCTCAGAGAGGCCTAAATATCCACTTGCACATTCTACAAATAGTGTGTTTCGAAACTGCTCCATCCAAAGGAATGTTCAGCTCTGTGAGTTAAACTCAGTCGTCACCAAGAGTTTTCTGTGAATGCTTCTGTTTTAGTTCTGTGCGGGTTATCCCGTTTCCAACGAAATCCTCAGAGAGGTCCAAATATCTACTTGCAGTTTCTACAGAAAGACCGTTTCAAACCTGAACTATCAAAGAAAGGTTCAACACTGTGAGTTGAATGCAAACATCACGAAGAAGGTTCTGAGAATGCTTCTGTTTAGTTCTGTGCGGTTTATCCCGTTTCCAACGAAATCCTCAGAGAGGACCAAATATCCACTTGCAGTTTCTACAAGAAGAGTGTTTCAAAGCTGAACTATCAAGAAAGGTTCAGCACTGTGAGTTGAATGCAAACATCACGAAGAGGGTTCTGAGAATGCTTCTGTCTTCTTTTTAGAGGAAGTTATTTCCTTTACTACGGTACTCCTCAAAGAGTGCAATTATCCCCTTGCAGTTTATACAAAAAGAGTGTTTCAAACCTGAACTATCAAAGAAAGGTTCCACACTGTGAGTTGAATGCAGACATCACGAAGAAGGTTCTGAGAATGCTTCTGTTTAGTCAGCTGAAATTATCCCGTTTCCAACGAATTCCTCACAGAGGTCCAAATATGCACTTGCAGATTCTGCAGAAAGTGTGTTTCTAAACTGCTACATCGCAAGGAATGCTCAGCTCTGTGAGTTCAACTCAATCATCCCAAAGAATTTTCTGAGAAAGCTTCTGTCTAGATGTCATGTGAAGATATACCCGTTTCGAACGAAGGACACAGAGTGGTCCAAATATCCACTTGTAGATCCTGCAAAAAGAGTGTTTCAAACGTGAACTTTGAAAGGAAAGTTCAACTCGGGGATTTGAATGCAAACATCACAAAGAAGATTCTGAGACTGCTTCTGTATAGTTTTTATGTGAAGATGATTCCGTTTCCAACGAAATCTTCAAAGAGGTCTACATGTCCCCTTGCAGATGCCACAGAAAGAGAGTTTCAAAACTGCGTTCTCAAAAGGAGTGTTCAACTCCGTGAGTTGAATGCAGTCATCACAGAGAAGCTTCTGAGGATGCTTCTATCTAGTATTTAGGTGAAGATATTTCCTTTTCCACCACAAACCATAAAGCCCTCCAAACGTCCACTTGCAGATTCTAGAAAAAGAGTGTTTCATAGCTGCTCTTTCCAAAGGAAAGTTCAACTCTGGGAGTTGAATACAAACATCACCAAAAAGTTCCTGAGAATGCATCTGTCTAGTTTTTCTATGAAGCTATTCCCTTTACTACCATAGGCCTCAAAGCGCTCCAAATCTCCACTTGCACATTCCACAACAAGAGTGTTTCCAAACTGCTCTATCAATAGGAATGTTCAACTCTGTGAGGTGAATGCAATCATCACAAAGCAGTTTCTGAGAATGCTTCCGTTTAGTTAGGTGCAGTTATCCCGTTTCCAACGAAATCCTCAGAGAGGTCCAAATATCCACTTGTAGATTCTACAAAAGGTGTGTCTCAAACCTGCTCCATCCAAAGGAATGTTCAGCTCTGTGAGTTAAACTCAATCATCACAAAGTATTTTCTGAGAATGCTTCTGTCTAGATTTTATGCGAAGATATACCCGTTTCGAACGAAGGCCACAGAGTGGTCCAAATATCCACTTGCAGATCCTACAAAAAGAGTGTTTCAAACCTGAACTATCAAAGGAAGGTTCAACTCTGGGATTTGAATGCAAACATCACCAAGAAGTTTCTGAGAATGCTTCTGTTTAGTTTTTATGTGAAGATATTCCCGTTTCCAAAGACATCTTCGGAGAGGTCCACATATCCACTTGCAGATTCCACAAAAAGAGAGTTTCAACACTGCTCTATCCATAGGAGGGTTCAACTCTGTGAGTTGAATGCAATCATCACAGAGAAGTTTCTGAGAAGGCTTCTCTCCAGTTTTTATGTGACCATAATTCGTTTTCCACCACAGGCCTGAAAGCGCTCCAAATGTCCACTTGCAGACACTACGAAAAGCATGTTTCAGAACTACTCTATGAAAAGCAACGTGAAACTCTGGGAGTTGAACACAAACATCACAGAGAAGTTTCTGAGAATGCTTCTGTTTTAGTTCTGTGCGTTTTATCCCGTTTCCAACGAAATCCTCAGAGAGGCCCAAATATCCACTTGCAGATTCCACAGAAAGAGTGATTGGAAACTGCTGTTTGAAAAGGAACCTTCAACTCTGTGAGTTGAATGCAATCATCACAAAGAAGTTTCTGACAATGCTTCTGTTTTAGTTCTGTGCGGTTTATCCCGTTTCCAACGAAATCCTCAGAGAGGACCAAACATCCACTTGCAGTTTCTACAAAAAGAGTGTTTCAAAGCTGCACTATCAAAGAAAGGTTCAGCACTGTGAGTTGAATGCAAACATCACGAAGAGGGCTCTGAGAATTCTTCTGTTTAGTTCTGTGCGGTTTATCCCGTTTCCAACGAAATCCTCAGAGAGGACCAAATATCCACTTGCAGTTTCTACAAGAAGAGTGTTTCAAAGCTGAACTATCAAAGAAAGGTTCAGCACTGTGAGTTGAATGCAAACATCACGAAGAGGGTTCTGAGAATGCTTCTGTCTTCTTTCTATAGGAAGTTATTTCCTTTACTACGGTAGGCCTCAAAGAAGTGCAATTATCCCCTTGCAGTTTCTACAAAAAGAGTGTTTCAAACCTGAACTATCAAAGAAAGGTTCCACACTGTGAGTTGAATGCAGACATCACGAAGAAGGTTCTGAGAATGCTTCTGTTTAGTCAGCTGAAATTATCCCGTTTCCAACGAATTCCTCAGAGAGGTCCAAATATGCACTTGCAGATTCTGCAGAAAGTGTGTTTCTAAACTGCTCCATCGCAAGGAATGTTCAGCTCTGTGAGTTCCACTCAATCATCCCAAAGAATTTTCTGAGAAAGCTTCTGTCTAGATGTCGTGTGAAGATATACCCGTTTCGAACGAAGGACACAGAGTGGTCCAAATATCCACTTGTAGATCCTGCAAAAAGAGTGTTTCAAACGTGAACTTTGAAAGGAAAGTTCAACTCTGGGATTTGAATGCAAACATCACAAAGAAGATTCTGAGACTGCTTCTGTATAGTTTTTATGTGAAGATGATTCCGTTTCCAACGAAATCTTCAAAGAGGTCTACATGTCCCCTTGCAGATGCCACAGAAAGAGAGTTTCAAAACTGCGCTCTCAAAAGGAGTGTTCAACTCCGTGAGTTGAATGCAGTCATCACAGAGAAGCTTCTGAGAATGCTTCTATCTAGTATTTAGGTGAAGATATTTCCTTTTCCACCACAAACCACAAAGCCCTCCAAACGTCCACTTGCAGATTCTAGAAAAAGAGTGTTTCATAGCTGCTCTTTCCAAAGGAAAGTTCAACTCTGGGAGTTGAATACAAACATCACCAAAAAGTTCCTGAGAATGCATCTGTCTAGTTTTTCTATGAAGCTATTCCCTTTACTACCACAGGCCTCAAAGCGCTCCAAATCTCCACTTGCACATTCCGCAACAAGAGTGTTTCCAAACTGCTCTATCAATAGGAATGTTCAACTCTGTGAGGTGAATGCAATCATCACAAAGCAGTTTCTGAGAATGCTTCCGTTTAGTTAGGTGCAGTTATCCCGTTTCCAACGAAATCCTCAGAGAGGTCCAAATATCCACTTGTAGATTGTACAAAAGGTGTGTCTCAAACCTGCTCCATCCAAAGGAATGTTCAGCTCTGTGAGTTAAACTCAATCATCACAAAGTATTTTCTGAGAATGCTTTCTGTCTAGATTTTATGCGAAGATATACCCGTTTCGAACGAAGGCCACAGAGTGGTCCAAATATCCACTTGCAGATCCTACAAAAAGAGTGTTTCAAACCTGAACTATCAAAGGAAGGTTCAACTCTGGGATTTGAATGCAAACATCACCAAGAAGTTTCTGAGAATGCTTCTGTTTAGTTTTTATGTGAAGATATTCCCGTTTCCAAAGACATCTTCGGAGAGGTCCACATATCCACTTGCAGATTCCACAAAAAGAGAGTTTCAACACTGCTCTATCCATAGGAGGGTTCAACTCTGTGAGTTGAATGCAATCATCACAGAGAAGTTTCTGAGAAGGCTTCTCTCCAGTTTTTATGTGACCATAATTCGTTTTCCACCACAGGCCTGAAAGCGCTCCAAATGTCCACTTGTAGACACTACGAAAAGCATGTTTCAGAACTACTCTATGAAAAGCAATGTGAAACTCTGGGAGTTGAACACAAACATCACAGAGAAGTTTCTGAGAATGCTTCTGATTAGCTTTTCTGTGAAGATTCTCCCGTTTCCAACGAAATCTTCAAAGAGGTCCAAATATCCACTTGCAGATTCCACAGAAAGAGTGATTGGAAACTGCTCTTTGAAAAGGAACCTTCAACTCTGTGACTTGAATGCAATCATCACAAAGAAGTTTCTGACAATGCTTCTATCTAGCTTTTACGGGAAGATAATTCCTTTTCCACCACAGGCCTCAAAGCCCTCCAAATGTCCACTTGCAGATTCTGGAAAAAGAGTGTTTCAAAGCTTCTCTCTCGAAAGGAAAGTTCAACTCTGTGAGTTGAATGCAAGCATCACAAAGAAGTTTCTGAGAATGCTACTGTCTAGCTTTTATATGAAGGTATTTCCTTTACTACCATAGGCCTCAAAGCGGTCCATATCTCCACTTGCAGATTCTACACAAAGAGAGTTTCCAAACTGCTCTGTCAAAGGGAATGTTCAACTCTGTGACTTGAATGCAATCATCACAAAGTAGTTTCTGAGAATGTTTCTGTTTTAGTTCTGTGCGTTTTATCCCGTTTCCAACGAAATCCTCAGAGAGGCCCAAATATCCACTTGCAGATTCTACAAATAGTGTGTTTCGAAACTGCTCCATCCAAAGGAATGTTCAGCTCTGTGAGTTAAACTCAGTCGTCACCAAGAGTTTTCTGTGAATGCTTCTGTTTTAGTTCTGTGCGGTTTATCCCGTTTCCAACGAAATCCTCAGAGAGGACCAAATATCCACTTGCAGTTTCTACAAAAAGAGTGTTTCAAAGCTGCACTATCAAAGAAAGGTTCAGCACTGTGAGTTGAATGCAAACATCACGAAGAGGGCTCTGAGAATTCTTCTGTTTAGTTCTGTGCGGTTTATCCCGTTTCCAACGAAATCCTCAGAGAGGACCAAATATCCACTTGCAGTTTCTACAAGAAGAGTGTTTCAAAGCTGAACTATCAAAGAAAGGTTCAGCACTGTGAGTTGAATGCAAACATCACGAAGAGGGTTCTGAGAATGCTTCTGTCTTCTTTCTATAGGAAGTTATTTCCTTTACTACGGTAGGCCTCAAAGAAGTGCAATTATCCCCTTGCAGTTTCTACAAAAAGAGTGTTTCAAACCTGAACTATCAAAGAAAGGTTCCACACTGTGAGTTGAATGCAGACATCACGAAGAAGGTTCTGAGAATGCTTCTGTTTAGTCAGCTGAAATTATCCCGTTTCCAACGAATTCCTCAGAGAGGTCCAAATATGCACTTGCAGATTCTGCAGAAAGTGTGTTTCTAAACTGCTACATCGCAAGGAATGTTCAGCTCTGTGAGTTCCACTCAATCATCCCAAAGAATTTTCTGAGAAAGCTTCTGTCTAGATGTCGTGTGAAGATATACCCGTTTCGAACGAAGGACACAGAGTGGTCCAAATATCCACTTGTAGATCCTGCAAAAAGAGTGTTTCAAACGTGAACTTTGAAAGGAAAGTTCAACTCTGGGATTTGAATGCAAACATCACAAAGAAGATTCTGAGACTGCTTCTGTATAGTTTTTATGTGAAGATGATTCCGTTTCCAACGAAATCTTCAAAGAGGTCTACATGTCCCCTTGCAGATGCCACAGAAAGAGAGTTTCAAAACTGCGCTCTCAAAAGGAGTGTTCAACTCCGTGAGTTGAATGCAGTCATCACAGAGAAGCTTCTGAGAATGCTTCTATCTAGTATTTAGGTGAAGATATTTCCTTTTCCACCACAAACCACAAAGCCCTCCAAACGTCCACTTGCAGATTCTAGAAAAAGAGTGTTTCATAGCTGCTCTTTCCAAAGGAAAGTTCAACTCTGGGAGTTGAATACAAACATCACCAAAAGGTTCCTGAGAATGCATCTGTCTAGTTTTTCTATGAAGCTATTCCCTTTACTACCATAGGCCTCAAAGCGCTCCAAATCTCCACTTGCACATTCCACAACAAGAGTGTTTCCAAACTGCTCTATCAATAGGAATGTTCAACTCTGTGAGGTGAATGCAATCATCACAAAGCAGTTTCTGAGAATGCTTCCGTTTAGTTAGGTGCAGTTATCCCGTTTCCAACGAAATCCTCAGAGAGGTCGAAATATCCACTTGTAGATTCTACAAAAAGTGTGTCTCAAACCTGCTCCATCCAAAGGAATGTTCAGCTCTGTGAGTTAAACTCAATCATCACAAAGTATTTTCTGAGAATGCTTCTGTCTAGATTTTTTGCGAAGATGTACCCGTTTCGAACGAAGGCCACAGAGTGGTCCAAATATCCACTTGCAGATCCTACAAAAAGAGTGTTTCAAACCTGAACTATCAAAGGAAGTTCCAACTCTGGGATTTGAATGCAAACATCACCAAGAAGTTTCTGAGAATGCTTCTGTTTAGTTTTTATGTGAAGATATTCCCGTTTCCAAAGACATCTTCGGAGAGGTCCACATATCCACTTACAGATTCCACAAAAAGAGAGTTTCAACACTGCTCTATCCATAGGAGGGTTCAACTCTGTGAGTTGAATGCAATCATCACAGAGAAGTTTCTGAGAAGGCTTCTCTCCAGTTTCTATGTGACCATAATTCGTTTTCCACCACAGGCCTGAAAGCGCTCCAAATGTCCACTTGCAGACACTACGAAAAGCATGTTTCAGAACTACTCTATGAAAAGCAATGTGAAACTCTGGGAGTTGAACACAAACATCACAGAGAAGTTTCTGAGAAAGCTTCTGTTTAGCTTTTCTGTGAAGATTCTCCCGTTTCCAACGAAATCTTCAAAGAGGTCCAAATATCTACTTGTAGATTCCACAGAAAGAGTGTTTGGAAACTGCTGTTTCAAAAGGAACCTTCAACTCTGTGAGTTGAATGCAATAATCACAAAGAAGTTTCTGACAATGCTTCTATCTAGCTTTTACGGGAAGATAATTCCTTTTCCACCACAGGCCTCAAAGCCCTCCAAATGTCCACTTGCAGATTCTGGAAAAAGAGTGTTTCAAAGCTTCTCTCTCGAAAGGAAAGTTCAACTCTGTGAGTTGAATGCAAGCATCACAAAGAAGTTTCTGAGAATGCTACTGTCTAGCTTTTATATGAAGCTATTTCCTTTACTACCATAGTCCTCAAAGCGGTCCATATCTCCACTTGCAGATTCTACACAAAGAGAGTTTCCAAACTGCTCTGTCAAAGGGAATGTTCAACTCTGTGACTTGAATGCAATCATCACAAAGTAGTTTCTGAGAATGCTTCTGTTTAGTTCTGTGCGGTTTATCCCGTTTCCAACGAAATCCTCAGAGAGGCCCCAATATCCACTTGCACATTCTACAAATAGTGTGTTTCGAAACTGCTCCATCCAAAGGGGTGTTCAGCTCTGTGAGTTAAACTCAGTCGTCACCAAGAGTTTTCTGTGAATGCTTCTGTTTAGTTCTGTGCGGTTTATCCCGTTTCCAACGAAATCCTCACAGAGGACCAAATATCCACTTGCAGTTTCTACAAAAAGAGTGTTTCAAAGCTGAACTATCAAAGAAAGTTTCAGCACTGTGAGTTGAATGCAAACATCACGAAGAAGGTTCTGAGAATGCTTCTTGTCTTCTTTTTATAGGAATTTATTTCCTTTACTACGGTTGGCCTCAAAGAAGTGCAATTATCCCCTTGCAGTTTCTACAAAAAGAGTGTTTCAAACCTGAACTATCAAAGAAAGGTTCCACACTGTGAGTTGAATGCAGACATCACGAAGAAGGTTCTGAGGATGCTTCTGTTTAGTCAGCTGAAATTATCCCGTTTCCAACGAATTCCTCACAGAGGTCCAAATATGCACTTGCAGATTCTGCAGAAAGTGTGTTTCTAAACTGCTACATCGCAAGGAATGCTCAGCTCTGTGAGTTCAACTCAATCATCCCAAAGAATTTTCTGAGAAAGCTTATCTGTCTAGATGTCATGTGAAGATATACCCGTTTCGAACGAAGGACACAGAGTGGTCCAAATATCCACTTGTAGATCCTGCAAAAAGAGTGTTTCAAACGTGAACTTTGAAAGGAAAGTTCAACTCTGGGATTTGAATGCAAACACCACAAAGAAGATTCTGAGACTGCTTCTGTATACTTTTGATGTGAAGATGATTCCGTTTCCAACGAAATCTTCAAAGAGGTCTACATGTCCCCTTGCAGATGCCACAGAAAGAGAGTTTCAAAACTGCGCTCTCAAAAGGAGTGTTCAACTCCGTGAGTTGAATGCAGTCATCACAGAGAAGCTTCTGAGAATGCTTCTATCTAGTATTTAGGTGAAGATATTTCCTTTTCCACCACAAACCACAAAGCCCTCCAAACGTCCACTTGCAGATTCTAGAAAAAGAGTGTTTCATAGCTGCTCTTTCCAAAGGAAAGTTCAACTCTGGGAGTTGAATACAAACATCACCAAAAAGTTCCTGAGAATGCATCTGTCTAGTTTTTCTATGAAGCTATTCCCTTTACTACCACAGGCCTCAAAGCGCTCCAAATCTCCACTTGCACATTCCGCAACAAGAGTGTTTCCAAACTGCTCTATCAATAGGAATGTTCAACTCTGTGAGGTGAATGCAATCATCACAAAGCAGTTTCTGAGAATGCTTCCGTTTAGTTAGGTGCAGTTATCCCGTTTCCAACGAAATCCTCAGAGAGGTCCAAATATCCACTTGTAGATTCTACAAAAAGTGTGTCTCAAACCTGCTCCATCCAAAGGAATGGTCAGCTCTGTGATTTAAACTCAATCATCACAAAGTATTTTCTGAGAATGCTTCTGTCTAGATTTTATGCGAAGATATACCCGTTTCGAACGAAGGCCACAGAGTGGTCCAAATAGCCACTTGCAGATCCTACAGAAAGAGTGTTTCAAACCTGAACTATCAAAGGAAGGTTCAACTCTGGGATTTGAATGCAAACATCACCAAGAAGTTTTCTGAGAATGCTTCTGTTTAGTTTTTATGTGAAGATATTCCCGTTTCCAAAGACATCTTCGGAGAGGTCCACATATCCACTTGCAGATTCCACAAAAAGAGAGTTTCAACACTGCTCTATCCATAGGAGGGTTCAACTCTGTGAGTTGAATGCAATCATCACAGAGAAGTTTCTGAGAAGGCTTCTCTCCAGTTTTTATGTGACCATAATTCGTTTTCCACCACAGGCCTGAAAGCGCTCCAAATGTCCACTTGCAGACACTACGAAAAGCATGTTTCAGAACTACTCTATGAAAAGCAACGTGAAACTCTGGGAGTTGAACACAAACATCACAGAGAAGTTTCTGAGAATGCTTCTGTTTTAGTTCTGTGCGTTTTATCCCGTTTCCAACGAAATCCTCAGAGAGGCCCAAATATCCACTTGCAGATTCCACAGAAAGAGTGATTGGAAACTGCTGTTTGAAAAGGAACCTTCAACTCTGTGAGTTGAATGCAATCATCACAAAGAAGTTTCTGACAATGCTTCTGTTTTAGTTCTGTGCGGTTTATCCCGTTTCCAACGAAATCCTCAGAGAGGACCAAATATCCACTTGCAGTTTCTACAAAAAGAGTGTTTCAAAGCTGCACTATCAAAGAAAGGTTCAGCACTGTGAGTTGAATGCAAACATCACGAAGAGGGCTCTGAGAATTCTTCTGTTTAGTTCTGTGCGGTTTATCCCGTTTCCAACGAAATCCTCAGAGAGGACGAAATATCCACTTGCAGTTTCTACAAGAAGAGTGTTTCAAAGCTGAACTATCAAAGAAAGGTTCAGCACTGTGAGTTGAATGCAAACATCACGAAGAGGGTTCTGAGAATGCTTCTGTCTTCTTTCTATAGGAAGTTATTTCCTTTACTACGGTAGGCCTCAAAGAAGTGCAATTATCCCCTTGCAGTTTCTACAAAAAGAGTGTTTCAAACCTGAACTATCAAAGAAAGGTTCCACACTGTGAGTTGAATGCAGACATCACGAAGAAGGTTCTGAGAATGCTTCTGTTTAGTCAGCTGAAATTATCCCGTTTCCAACGAATTCCTCAGAGAGGTCCAAATATGCACTTGCAGATTCTGCAGAAAGTGTGTTTCTAAACTGCTACATCGCAAGGAATGTTCAGCTCTGTGAGTTCCACTCAATCATCCCAAAGAATTTTCTGAGAAAGCTTCTGTCTAGATGTCATGTGAAGATATACCCGTTTCGAACGAAGGACACAGAGTGGTCCAAATATCCACTTGTAGATCCTGCAAAAAGAGTGTTTCAAACGTGAACTTTGAAAGGAAAGTTCAACTCTGGGATTTGAATGCAAACACCACAAAGAAGATTCTGAGACTGCTTCTGTATAGTTTTGATGTGAAGATGATTCCGTTTCCAACGAAATCTTCAAAGAGGTCTACATGTCCCCTTGCAGATGCCACAGAAAGAGAGTTTCAAAACTGCGCTCTCAAAAGGAGTGTTCAACTCCGTGAGTTGAATGCAGTCATCACAGAGAAGCTTCTGAGAATGCTTCTATCTAGTATTTAGGTGAAGATATTTCCTTTTCCACCACAAACCACAAAGCCCTCCAAACGTCCACTTGCAGATTCTAGAAAAAGAGTGTTTCATAGCTGCTCTTTCCAAAGGAAAGTTCAACTCTGGGAGTTGAATACAAACATCACAAAAAAGTTCCTGAGAATGCATCTGTCTAGTTTTTCTATGAAGCTATTCCCTTTACTACCATAGGCCTCAAAGCGCTCCAAATCTCCACTTGCACATTCCACAACAAGAGTGTTTCCAAACTGCTCTATCAATAGGAATGTTCAACTCTGTGAGGTGAATGCAATCATCACAAAGCAGTTTCTGAGAATGCTTCCGTTTAGTTAGGTGCAGTTATCCCGTTTCCAACGAAATCCTCAGAGAGGTCCAAATATCCACTTGTAGATTCTACAAAAAGTGTGTCTCAAACCTGCTCCATCCAAAGGAATGTTCAGCTCTGTGAGTTCAACTCAATCATCACAAAGTATTTTCTGAGAATGCTTCTGTCTAGATTTTATGCGAAGACGTACCCTTTTCGAACGAAGGCCACAGAGTGGTCCAAATATCCACTTGCAGATCCTACAAAAAGAGTGTTTCAAACCTGAACTATCAAAGGAAGGTTCAACTCTGGGATTTGAATGCAAACATCACCAAGAAGTTTCTGAGAATGCTTCTGTTTAGTTTTTATGTGAAGATATTCCCGTTTCCAAAGACATCTTCTGAGAGGTCCACGTATCCGCTTGCAGATTCCACAAAAAGAGAGTTTCAACACTGCTCTATCCATAGGAGGGTTCAACTCTGTGAGTTGAATGCAATCATCACAGAGAAGTTTCTGAGAAGGCTTCTCTCCAGTTTTTATGTGACCATAATTCGTTTTCCACCACAGGCCTGAAAGCGCTCCAAATGTCCACTTGCAGACACTACGAAAAGCATCTTTCAGAACTACTCTATGAGAAGCAATGTGAAACTCTGGGAATTGAACACAAACATCACAGAGAAGTTTCTGAGAATGCTTCTGTTTAGCTTTTCTGTGAAGATTCTCCCGTTTCCAACGAAATCTTCAAAGAGGTCCAAATATCCACTTGCAGATTCCACAGAAAGAGTGATTGGAAACTGCTCTTTGAAAAGGAACCTTCAACTCTGTGACTTGAATGCAATCATCACAAAGAAGTTTCTGACAATGCTTCTATCTAGCTTTTACGGGAAGATAATTCCTTTTCCACCACAGGCCTCAAAGCCCTCCAAATGTCCACTTGCAGATTCTGGAAAAAGAGTGTTTCAAAGCTTCTCTCTCGAAAGGAAAGTTCAACTCTGTGAGTTGAATGCAAGCATCACAAAGAAGTTTCTGAGAATGCTACTGTCTAGCTTTTATATGAAGCTATTTCCTTTACTACCATAGGCCTCAAAGCGGTCCATATCTCCACTTGCAGATTCTACACAAAGAGAGTTTCCAAACTGCTCTGTCAAAGGGAATGTTCAACTCTGTGACTTGAATGCAATCATCACAAAGTAGTTTCTGAGAATGCTTCTGTTTAGTTCTGTGCGGTTTATCCCGTTTCCAACGAAATCCTCAGAGAGGCCCAAATATCCACTTGCACATTCTACAAATAGTGTGTTTCGAAACTGATCCATCCAAAGGAATGTTCAGCTCTGTGAGTTAAACTCAGTCGTCACCAAGAGTTTTCTGTGAATGCTTCTGTTTTAGTTCTGTGCGGGTTATCCCGTTTCCAACGAAATCCTCAGAGAGGTCCAAATATCTACTTGCAGTTTCTACAGAAAGACCGTTTCAAACCTGAACTATCAAAGAAAGGTTCAACACTGTGAGTTGAATGCAAACATCACGAAGAAGGTTCTGAGAATGCTTCTGTTTAGTTCTGTGCGGTTTATCCCGTTTCCAACGAAATCCTCAGAGAGGACGAAATATCCACTTGCAGTTTCTACAAGAAGAGTGTTTCAAAGCTGAACTATCAAAGAAAGGTTCAGCACTGTGAGTTGAATGCAAACATCACGAAGAGGATTCTGAGAATGCTTCTGTCTTCTTTTTACAGGAAGTTATTTCCTTTACTACGGTACTCCTCAAAGAGTGCAATTATCCCCTTGCAGTTTCTACAAAAAGAGTGTTTCAAACCTGAACTATCAAAGAAAGGTTCCACACTGTGAGTTGAATGCAGACATCACGAAGAAGGTTCTGAGAATGCTTCTGTTTAGTCAGCTGAAATTATCCCGTTTCCAACGAATTCCTCAGAGAGGTCCAAATATGCACTTGCAGATTCTGCAGAAAGTGTGTTTCTAAACTGCTACATCGCAAGGAATGCTCAGCTCTGTGAGTTCAACTCAATCATCCCAAACAATTTTCTGAGAAAGCTTCTGTCTAGATGTCATGTGAAGATATACCCGTTTCGAACGAAGGACACAGATTGGTCCAAATATCCACTTGTAGATCCTGCAAAAAGAGTGTTTCAAACGTGAACTTTGAAAGGAAAGTTCAACTCTGGGATTTGAATGCAAACATCACAAAGAAGATTCTGAGACTGCTTCTGTATAGTTTTTATGTGAAGATGATTCCGTTTCCAACGAAATCTTCAAAGAGGTCTACATGTCCCCTTGCAGATGCCAAAGAAAGAGAGTTTCAAAACTGCGCTCTCAAAAGGAGTGTTCAACTCCGTGAGTTGAATGCAGTCATCACAGAGAAGCTTCTGAGAATGCTTCTATCTAGTATTTAGGTGAAGATATTTCCTTTTCCACCACAAACCACAAAGCCCTCCAAACGTCCACTTGCAGATTCTAGAAAAAGAGTGTTTCATAGCTGCTCTTTCCAAAGGAAAGTTCAACTCTGGGAGTTGAATACAAACATCACCAAAAAGTTCCTGAGAATGCATCTGTCTAGTTTTTCTATGAAGCTATTCCCTTTACTACCATAGACCTCAAAGCGCTCCAAATCTCCACTTGCACATTCCACAACAAGAGTGTTTCCAAACTGCTCTATCAATAGGAATGTTCAACTCTGTGAGGTGAATGCAATCATCACAAAGCAGTTTCTGAGAATGCTTCCGTTTAGTTAGGTGCAGTTATCCCGTTTCCAACGAAATCCTCAGAGAGGTCCAAATATCCACTTGTAGATTCTACAAAAAGTGTGTCTCAAACCTGCTCCATCCAAAGGAATGTTCAGCTCTGTGATTTAAACTCAATCATCACAAAGTATTTTCTGAGAATGCTTCTGTCTAGATTTTATGCGAAGATATACCCGTTTCGAACGAAGGCCACAGAGTGGTCCAAATAGCCACTTGCAGATCCTACAAAAAGAGTGTTTCAAACCTGAACTATCAAAGGAAGGTTCAACTCTGGGATTTGAATGCAAACATCACCAAGAAGTTTCTGAGAATGCTTCTGTTTAGTTTTTATGTGAAGATATTCCCGTTTCCAAAGACATCTTCGGCGAGGTCCACATATCCACTTGCAGATTCCACAAAAGAGAGTTTCAACACTGCTCTATCCATAGGAGGGTTCAACTCTGTGAGTTGAATGCAATCATCACAGAGAAGTTTCTGAGAAGGCTTCTCTCCAGTTTTTATGTGACCATAATTCGTTTTCCACCACAGGCCTGAAAGCGCTCCAAATGTCCACTTGCAGACACTACGAAAAGCATGTTTCAGAACTACTCTATGAAAAGCAACGTGAAACTCTGGGAGTTGAACACAAACATCACAGAGAAGTTTCTGAGAATGCTTCTGTTTAGCTTTTCTGGGAAGATTCTCCCGTTTCCAACGAAATCTTCAAAGAGGTCGAAATATCCACTTGCAGATTCCACAGAAAGAGTGATTGGAAACTGCTGTTTGAAAAGGAACCTTCAACTCTGTGAGTTGAATGCAATCATCACAAAGAAGTTTCTGACAATGCTTCTATCTAGCTTTTACGGGAAGATAATTCCTTTTCCACCACAGGCCTCAAAGCTCCCCAAATGTCCACTTGCACATTCTGGAAAAAGAGTGTTTCAAAGCTTCTCTCTCGAAAGGAAAGTTCAACTCTGTGAGTTGAATGCAAGCATCACAAAGAAGTTTCTGAGAATGCTACTGTCTAGCTTTTATATGAAGCTATTTCCTTTACTACCATAGGCCTCAAAGCGGTCCATATCTCCACTTGCAGATTCTACACAAAGAGAGTTTCCAAACTGCTCTGTCAAAGGGAATGTTCAACTCTGTGACTTGAATGCAATCATCACAAAGTAGTTTCTGAGAATGCTTCTGTTTAGTTCTGGGCGGTTTATCCCGTTTCCAACGAAATCCTCAGAGAGGCCCACATATCCACTTGCACATTCTACAAATAGTGTGTTTCTAAACTGCTCCATCCAAAGGAATGTTCAGCTCTGTGAGTTAAACTCAGTCGTCACCAAGAGTTTTCTGTGAAAGCTTCTGTTTTAGTTCTGTGCGGTTTATCCCGTTTCCAACGAAATCCTCAGAGAGGACCAAACATCCACTTGCAGTTTCTACAAAAAGAGTGTTTCAAAGCTGCACTATCAAAGAAAGGTTCAGCACTGTGAGTTGAATGCAAACATCACGAAGAGGGCTCTGAGAATTCTTCTGTTTAGTTCTGTGCGGTTTATCCCTTTTCCAACGAAATCCTCAGAGAGGACCAAATATCCACTTGCAGTTTCTACAAAAAGAGTGTTTCAAAGCTGAACTATCAAAGAAAGGCTCAGCACTGTGAGTTGAATGCAAACATCACGAAGAGGGTTCTGAGAATGCTTCTGTCTTCTTTTTATAGGAAGTTATTTCCTTTACTACGGTAGGCCTCAAAGAAGTGCAATTATCCCCTTGCAGTTTCTACAAAAAGAGTGTTTCAAACCTGAACTATCAAAGAAAGGTTCCACACTGTGAGTTGAATGCAGACATCACGAAGAAGGTTCTGAGAATGCTTCTGTTTAGTCAGCTGAAATTATCCCGTTTCCAACGAATTCCTCAGAGAGGTCCAAATATGCACTTGCAGATTCTGCAGAAAGTGTGTTTCTAAACTGCTACATCGCAAGGAATGTTCAGCTCTGTGAGTTCAACTCAATCATCCCAAAGAGTTTTCTGAGAAAGCTTCTGTCTAGATGTCATGTGAAGATATACCCGTTTCGAACGAAGGACACAGAGTGGTCCAAATATCCACTTGTAGATCCTGCAAAAAGAGTGTTTCAAACGTGAACTTTGAAAGGAAAGTTCAACTCTGGGATTTGAATGCAAACATCACAAAGAAGATTCTGAGACTGCTTCTGTATAGTTTTTATGTGAAGATGATTCCGTTTCCAACGAAATCTTCAAAGAGGTCTACATGTCCCCTTGCAGATGCCACAGAAAGGGAGTTTCAAAACTGCGCTCTCAAAAGGAGTGTTCAACTCCGTGAGTTGAATGCAGTCATCACAGAGAAGCTTCTGAGAATGCTTCTATCTAGTATTTAGGTGAAGATATTTCCTTTTCCACCACAAACCACAAAGCCCTCCAAACGTCCACTTGCAGATTCTAGAAAAAGAGTGTTTCATAGCTGCTCTTTCCAAAGGAAAGTTCAACTCTGGGAGTTGAATACAAACATCACCAAAAAGTTCCTGAGAATGCATCTGTCTAGTTTTTCTATGAAGCTATTCCCTTTACTACCATAGGCCTCAAAGCGCTCCAAATCTCCACTTGCACATTCCACAACAAGAGTGTTTCCAAACTGCTCTATCAATAGGAATGTTCAACTCTGTGAGGTGAATGCAATCATCACAAAGCAGTTTCTGAGAATGCTTCCGTTTAGTTAGGTGCAGTTATCCCGTTTCCAACGAATCCTCAGAGAGGTCCAAATATCCACTTGTAGATTCTACAAAAAGTGTGTCTCAAACCTGCTCCATCCAAAGGAATGGTCAGCTCTGTGATTTAAACTCAATCATCACAAAGTATTTTCTGAGAATGCTTCTGTCTAGATTTTATGCGAAGATATACCCGTTTCGAACGAAGGCCACAGAGTGGTCCAAATAGCCACTTGCAGATCCTACAAAAAGAGTGTTTCAAACCTGAACTATCAAAGGAAGGTTCAACTCTGGGATTTGAATGCAAACATCACCAAGAAGTTTCCTGAGAATGCTTCTGTTTAGTTTTTATGTGAAGATATTCCCGTTTCCAAAGACATCTTCGGAGAGGTCCACATATCCACTTGCAGATTCCACAAAAAGAGAGTTTCAACACTGCTCTATCCATAGGAGGGTTCAACTATGTGAGTTGAATGCAATCATCACAGAGAAGTTTCTGAGAAGGCTTCTCTCCAGTTTTTATGGGACCATAATTCGTTTTCCACCACAGGCCTGAAAGCGCTCCAAATGTCCACTTGCAGACACTACGAAAAGCATGTTTCAGAACTACTCTATGAAAAGCAATGTGAAACTCTGGGAGTTGAACACAAACATCACAGAGAAGTTTCTGAGAATGCTTCTGTTTAGCTTTTCTGTGAAGATTCTCCCGTTTCCAACGAAATCTTCAAAGAGGTCCAAATATCCACTTGCAGATTCCACAGAAAGAGTGTTTGGAAACTGCTGTTTGTAAAGGAACCTTCATCTCCGTGAGTTGAATGCAATCATCACAAAGAAGTTTCTGACAATGCTTCTATCTAGCTTTTACGGGAAGTTAATTCCTTTTCCACCACAGGCCTCAAAGCCCTCCAAATGTCCACTTGCAGATTCTGGAAAAAGAGTGTTTCAAAGCTTCTCTCTCGAAAGGAAAGTTCAACTCTGTGAGTTGAATGCAAGCATCACAAAGAAGTTTCTGAGAATGCTACTGTCTAGCTTTTATATGAAGCTATTTCCTTTACTACCATAGGCCTCAAAGCGGTCCATATCTCCACTTGCAGATTCTACACAAAGAGAGTTTCCAAACTGCTCTGTCAAAGGGAATGTTCAACTCTGTGACTTGAATGCAATCATCACAAAGTAGTTTCTGAGAATGCTCTGTTTAGTTCTGTGCGGTTTATCCCGTTTCCAGCGAAATCCTCAGAGAGGCCCAAATATCCACTTGCACATTCTACAAATAGTGTGTTTCGAAACTGCTCCATCCAAAGGAATGTTCAGCTCTGTGAGTTAAACTCAGTCGTCACCAAGAGTTTTCTGTGAATGCTATCTGTTTTAGTTCTGTGCGGTTTATCCCGTTTCCAACGAAATCCTCAGAGAGGTCCAAATATCTACTTGCAGTTTCTACAGAAAGACCGTTTCCAACCTGAACTATCAAAGAAAGGTTCAACACTGTGAGTTGAATGCAAACATCACGAAGAAGGTTCAGAGAATGCTTCTGTTTAGTTCTGTGCGGTTTATCCCGTTTCCAACGAAATCCTCAGAGAGGACCAAATATCCACTTGCAGTTTCTACAAGAAGAGTGTTTCAAAGCTGAACTATCAAAGAAAGGTTCAGCACTGTGAGTTGAATGCAAACATCACGAAGAGGGTTCTGAGAATGCTTCTGTCTTCTTTCTATAGGAAGTTATTTCCTTTACTACGGTAGGCCTCAAAGAAGTGCAATTATCCCCTTGCAGTTTCTACAAAAAGAGTGTTTCAAACCTGAACTATCAAAGAAAGGTTCCACACTGTGAGTTGAATGCAGACATCACGAAGAAGGTTCTGAGAATGCTTCTGTTTAGTCAGCTGAAATTATCCCGTTTCCAACGAATTCCTCAGAGAGGTCCAAATATGCACTTGCAGATTCTGCAGAAAGTGTGTTTCTAAACTGCTACATCGCAAGGAATGTTCAGCTCTGTGAGTTCCACTCAATCATCCCAAAGAATTTTCTGAGAAAGCTTCTGTCTAGATGTCGTGTGAAGATATACCCGTTTCGAACGAAGGACACAGAGTGGTCCAAATATCCACTTGTAGATCCTGCAAAAAGAGTGTTTCAAACGTGAACTTTGAAAGGAAAGTTCAACTCTGGGATTTGAATGCAAACATCACAAAGAAGATTCTGAGACTGCTTCTGTATAGTTTTTATGTGAAGATGATTCCGTTTCCAACGAAATCTTCAAAGAGGTCTACATGTCCCCTTGCAGATGCCACAGAAAGAGAGTTTCAAAACTGCGCTCTCAAAAGGAGTGTTCAACTCCGTGAGTTGAATGCAGTCATCACAGAGAAGCTTCTGAGAATGCTTCTATCTAGTATTTAGGTGAAGATATTTCCTTTTCCACCACAAACCACAAAGCCCTCCAAACGTCCACTTGCAGATTCTAGAAAAAGAGTGTTTCATAGCTGCTCTTTCCAAAGGAAAGTTCAACTCTGGGAGTTGAATACAAACATCACCAAAAAGTTCCTGAGAATGCATCTGTCTAGTTTTTCTATGAAGCTATTCCCTTTACTACCACAGGCCTCAAAGCGCTCCAAATCTCCACTTGCACATTCCACAACAAGAGTGTTTCCAAACTGCTCTATCAATAGGAATGTTCAACTCTGTGAGGTGAATGCAATCATCACAAAGCAGTTTCTGAGAATGCTTCCGTTTAGTTAGGTGCAGTTATCCCGTTTCCAACGAAATCCTCAGAGAGGTCCAAATATCCACTTGTAGATTCTACAAAAAGTGTGTCTCAAACCTGCTCCATCCAAAGGAATGGTCAGCTCTGTGATTTAAACTCAATCATCACAAAGTATTTTCTGAGAATGCTTCTGTCTAGATTTTATGCGAAGATATACCCGTTTCGAACGAAGGCCACAGAGTGGTCCAAATAGCCACTTGCAGATCCTACAGAAAGAGTGTTTCAAACCTGAACTATCAAAGGAAGGTTCAACTCTGGGATTTGAATGCAAACATCACCAAGAAGTTTCTGAGAATGCTTCTGTTTAGTTTTTATGTGAAGATATTCCCGTTTCCAAAGACATCTTCGGAGAGGTCCACATATCCACTTGCAGATTCCACAAAAAGAGAGTTTCAACACTGCTCTATCCATAGGAGGGTTCAACTCTGTGAGTTGAATGCAATCATCACAGAGAAGTTTCTGAGAAGGCTTCTCTCCAGTTTTTATGTGACCATAATTCGTTTTCCACCACAGGCCTGAAAGCGCTCCAAATGTCCACTTGCAGACACTACGAAAAGCATGTTTCAGAACTACTCTATGAAAAGCAACGTGAAACTCTGGGAGTTGAACACAAACATCACAGAGAAGTTTCTGAGAATGCTTCTGTTTTAGTTCTGTGCGTTTTATCCCGTTTCCAACGAAATCCTCAGAGAGGCCCAAATATCCACTTGCAGATTCCACAGAAAGAGTGATTGGAAACTGCTGTTTGAAAAGGAACCTTCAACTCTGTGAGTTGAATGCAATCATCACAAAGAAGTTTCTGACAATGCTTCTGTTTTAGTTCTGTGCGGTTTATCCCGTTTCCAACGAAATCCTCAGAGAGGACCAAACATCCACTTGCAGTTTCTACAAAAAGAGTGTTTCAAAGCTGCACTATCAAAGAAAGGTTCAGCACTGTGAGTTGAATGCAAACATCACGAAGAGGGCTCTGAGAATTCTTCTGTTTAGTTCTGTGCGGTTTATCCCGTTTCCAACGAAATCCTCACAGAGGACCAAATATCCACTTGCAGTTTCTACAAAAAGAGTGTTTCAAACCTGAACTATCAAAGAAAGATTCCACACTGTGAGTTGAATGCAGACATCACGAAGAAGGTTCTGAGAATGCTTCTGTCTTCTTTTTATGGGAAGTTATTTCCTTTACTACGGTAGGCCTCAAAGAAGTGCAATTATCCCCTTGCAGTCTCTACAAAAAGAGTGTTTCAAACCTGAACTATCAAAGAAAGGTTCCACACTGTGAGTTGAATGCAGACATCACGAAGAAGGTTCTGAGAATGCTTCTGTTTAGTCAGCTGAAATTATCCCGTTTCCAACGAATTCCTCAGAGAGGTCCACATATGCACTTGCAGATTCTGCAGAAAGTGTGTTTCTAAACTGCTACATCGCAAGGAATGTTCAGCTCTGTGAGTTCCACTCAATCATCCCAAAGGATTTTCTGAGAAAGCTTCTGTCTAGATGTCATGTGAAGATATACCCGTTTCGAACGAAGGACACAGAGTGGTCCAAATATCCACTTGTAGATCCTGCAAAAAGAGTGTTTCAAACGTGAACTTTGAAAGGGAAGTTCAACTCTGGGATTTGAATGCAAACATCACAAAGAAGATTCTGAGACTGCTTCTGTATAGTTTTTATGTGAAGATGATTCCGTTTCCAACGAAATCTTCAAAGAGGTCTACATGTCCCCTTGCAGATGCCACAGAAAGAGAGTTTCAAAACTGCGCTCTCAAAAGGAGTGTTCAACTCCGTGAGTTGAATGCAGTCATCACAGAGAAGCTTCTGAGAATGCTTCTATCTAGTATTTAGGTGAAGATATTTCCTTTTCCACCACAAACCACAAAGCCCTCCAAACGTCCACTTGCAGATTCTAGAAAAAGAGTGTTTCATAGCTGCTCTTTCCAAAGGAAAGTTCAACTCTGGGAGTTGAATACAAACATCACCAAAAAGTTCCTGAGAATGCATCCTGTCTAGTTTTTCTATGAAGCTATTCCCTTTACTACCATAGGCCTCAAAGCGCTCCAAATCTCCACTTGCACATTCCACAACAAGAGTGTTTCCAAACTGCTCTATCAATAGGAATGTTCAACTCTGTGAGGTGAATGCAATCATCACAAAGCAGTTTCTGAGAATGCTTCCGTTTAGTTAGGTGCAGTTATCCCGTTTCCAACGAAATCCTCAGAGAGGTCCAAATATCCACTTGTAGATTCTACAAAAAGTGTGTCTCAAACCTGCTCCATCCAAAGGAATGGTCAGCTCTGTGATTTAAACTCAATCATCACAAAGTATTTTCTGAGAATGCTTCTGTCTAGATTTTATGCGAAGATATACCCGTTTCGAACGAAGGCCACAGAGTGGTCCAAATAGCCACTTGCAGATCCTACAGAAAGAGTGTTTCAAACCTGAACTATCAAAGGAAGGTTCAACTCTGGGATTTGAATGCAAACATCACCAAGAAGTTTCTGAGAATGCTTCTGTTTAGTTTTTATGTGAAGATATTCCCGTTTCCAAAGACATCTTCGGAGAGGTCCACATATCCACTTGCAGATTCCACAAAAAGAGAGTTTCAACACTGCTCTATCCATAGGAGGGTTCAACTCTGTGAGTTGAATGCAATCATCACAGAGAAGTTTCTGAGAAGGCTTCTCTCCAGTTTTTATGTGACCATAATTCGTTTTCCACCACAGGCCTGAAAGCGCTCCAAATGTCCACTTGCAGACACTACGAAAAGCATGTTTCAGAACTACTCTATGAAAAGCAACGTGAAACTCTGGGAGTTGAACACAAACATCACAGAGAAGTTTCTGAGAATGCTTCTGTTTTAGTTCTGTGCGTTTTATCCCGTTTCCAACGAAATCCTCAGAGAGGCCCAAATATCCACTTGCAGATTCCACAGAAAGAGTGATTGGAAACTGCTGTTTGAAAAGGAACCTTCAACTCTGTGAGTTGAATGCAATCATCACAAAGAAGTTTCTGACAATGCTTCTGTTTTAGTTCTGTGCGGTTTATCCCGTTTCCAACGAAATCCTCAGAGAGGACCAAACATCCACTTGCAGTTTCTACAAAAAGAGTGTTTCAAAGCTGCACTATCAAAGAAAGGTTCAGCACTGTGAGTTGAATGCAAACATCACGAAGAGGGCTCTGAGAATTCTTCTGTTTAGTTCTGTGCGGTTTATCCCGTTTCCAACGAAATCCTCAGAGAGGACCAAATATCCACTTGCAGTTTCTACAAGAAGAGTGTTTCAAAGCTGAACTATCAAAGAAAGGTTCAGCACTGTGAGTTGAATGCAAACATCACGAAGAGGGTTCTGAGAATGCTTCTGTCTTCTTTCTATAGGAAGTTATTTCCTTTACTACGGTAGGCCTCAAAGAAGTGC
Source organism: Homo sapiens (assembly GCF_000001405.40). Classification (NCBI taxonomy): domain Eukaryota; kingdom Metazoa; phylum Chordata; class Mammalia; order Primates; family Hominidae; genus Homo; species Homo sapiens. The sequence goes on along the minus strand of NC_000017.11, from coordinate 24,104,982 downwards.
AATTATCCCCTTGCAGTTTCTACAAAAAGAGTGTTTCAAACCTGAACTATCAAAGAAAGGTTCCACACTGTGAGTTGAATGCAGACATCACGAAGAAGGTTCTGAGAATGCTTCTGTTTAGTCAGCTGAAATTATCCCGTTTCCAACGAATTCCTCAGAGAGGTCCAAATATGCACTTGCAGATTCTGCAGAAAGTGTGTTTCTAAACTGCTACATCGCAAGGAATGTTCAGCTCTGTGAGTTCCACTCAATCATCCCAAAGAATTTTCTGAGAAAGCTTCTGTCTAGATGTCGTGTGAAGATATACCCGTTTCGAACGAAGGACACAGAGTGGTCCAAATATCCACTTGTAGATCCTGCAAAAAGAGTGTTTCAAACGTGAACTTTGAAAGGAAAGTTCAACTCTGGGATTTGAATGCAAACATCACAAAGAAGATTCTGAGACTGCTTCTGTATAGTTTTTATGTGAAGATGATTCCGTTTCCAACGAAATCTTCAAAGAGGTCTACATGTCCCCTTGCAGATGCCACAGAAAGAGAGTTTCAAAACTGCGCTCTCAAAAGGAGTGTTCAACTCCGTGAGTTGAATGCAGTCATCACAGAGAAGCTTCTGAGAATGCTTCTATCTAGTATTTAGGTGAAGATATTTCCTTTTCCACCACAAACCACAAAGCCCTCCAAACGTCCACTTGCAGATTCTAGAAAAAGAGTGTTTCATAGCTGCTCTTTCCAAAGGAAAGTTCAACTCTGGGAGTTGAATACAAACATCACCAAAAAGTTCCTGAGAATGCATCTGTCTAGTTTTTCTATGAAGCTATTCCCTTTACTACCATAGGCCTCAAAGTGCTCCAAATCTCCACTTGCACATTCCACAACAAGAGTGTTTCCAAACTGCTCTATCAATAGGAATGTTCAACTCTGTGAGGTGAATGCAATCATCACAAAGCAGTTTCTGAGAATGCTTCCGTTTAGTTAGGTGCAGTTATCCCGTTTCCAACGAAATCCTCAGAGAGGTCCAAATATCCACTTGTAGATTCTACAAAAAGTGTGTCTCAAACCTGCTCCATCCAAAGGAATGGTCAGCTCTGTGATTTAAACTCAATCATCACAAAGTATTTTCTGAGAATGCTTCTGTCTAGATTTTATGCGAAGATATACCCGTTTCGAACGAAGGCCACAGAGTGGTCCAAATAGCCACTTGCAGATCCTACAGAAAGAGTGTTTCAAACCTGAACTATCAAAGGAAGGTTCAACTCTGGGATTTGAATGCAAACATCACCAAGAAGTTTCTGAGAATGCTTCTGTTTAGTTTTTATGTGAAGATATTCCCGTTTCCAAAGACATCTTCGGAGAGGTCCACATATCCACTTGCAGATTCCACAAAAAGAGAGTTTCAACACTGCTCTATCCATAGGAGGGTTCAACTCTGTGAGTTGAATGCAATCATCACAGAGAAGTTTCTGAGAAGGCTTCTCTCCAGTTTTTATGTGACCATAATTCGTTTTCCACCACAGGCCTGAAAGCGCTCCAAATGTCCACTTGCAGACACTACGAAAAGCATGTTTCAGAACTACTCTATGAAAAGCAACGTGAAACTCTGGGAGTTGAACACAAACATCACAGAGAAGTTTCTGAGAATGCTTCTGTTTTAGTTCTGTGCGTTTTATCCCGTTTCCAACGAAATCCTCAGAGAGGCCCAAATATCCACTTGCAGATTCCACAGAAAGAGTGATTGGAAACTGCTGTTTGAAAAGGAACCTTCAACTCTGTGAGTTGAATGCAATCATCACAAAGAAGTTTCTGACAATGCTTCTGTTTTAGTTCTGTGCGGTTTATCCCGTTTCCAACGAAATCCTCAGAGAGGACCAAACATCCACTTGCAGTTTCTACAAAAAGAGTGTTTCAAAGCTGCACTATCAAAGAAAGGTTCAGCACTGTGAGTTGAATGCAAACATCACGAAGAGGGCTCTGAGAATGCTTCTGTTTAGTTCTGTGCGGTTTATCCCGTTTCCAACGAAATCCTCAGAGAGGACCAAATATCCACTTGCAGTTTCTACAAGAAGAGTGTTTCAGAGCTGAACTATCAAAGAAAGGTTCAGCACTGTGAGTTGAATGCAAACATCACGAAGAGGGTTCTGAGAATGCTTCTGTCTTCTTTCTATAGGAAGTTATTTCCTTTACTACGGTAGGCCTCAAAGAAGTGCAATTATCCCCTTGCAGTTTCTACAAAAAGAGTGTTTCAAACCTGAACTATCAAAGAAAGGTTCCACACTGTGAGTTGAATGCAGACATCACGAAGAAGGTTCTGAGAATGCTTCTGTTTAGTCAGCTGAAATTATCCCGTTTCCAACGAATTCCTCAGAGAGGTCCAAATATGCACTTGCAGATTCTGCAGAAAGTGTGTTTCTAAACTGCTACATCGCAAGGAATGTTCAGCTCTGTGAGTTCCACTCAATCATCCCAAAGAATTTTCTGAGAAAGCTTCTGTCTAGATGTCGTGTGAAGATATACCCGTTTCGAACGAAGGACACAGAGTGGTCCAAATATCCACTTGTAGATCCTGCAAAAAGAGTGTTTCAAACGTGAACTTTGAAAGGAAAGTTCAACTCTGGGATTTGAATGCAAACATCACAAAGAAGATTCTGAGACTGCTTCTGTATAGTTTTTATGTGAAGATGATTCCGTTTCCAACGAAATCTTCAAAGAGGTCTACATGTCCCCTTGCAGATGCCACAGAAAGAGAGTTTCAAAACTGCGCTCTCAAAAGGAGTGTTCAACTCCGTGAGTTGAATGCAGTCATCACAGAGAAGCTTCTGAGAATGCTTCTATCTAGTATTTAGGTGAAGATATTTCCTTTTCCACCACAAACCACAAAGCCCTCCAAACGTCCACTTGCAGATTCTAGAAAAAGAGTGTTTCATAGCTGCTCTTTCCAAAGGAAAGTTCAACTCTGGGAGTTGAATACAAACATCACCAAAAAGTTCCTGAGAATGCATCTGTCTAGTTTTTCTATGAAGCTATTCCCTTTACTACCATAGGCCTCAAAGCGCTCCAAATCTCCACTTGCACATTCCACAACAAGAGTGTTTCCAAACTGCTCTATCAATAGGAATGTTCAACTCTGTGAGGTGAATGCAATCATCACAAAGCAGTTTCTGAGAATGCTTCCGTTTAGTTAGGTGCAGTTATCCCGTTTCCAACGAAATCCTCAGAGAGGTCCAAATATCCACTTGTAGATTCTACAAAAAGTGTGTCTCAAACCTGCTCCATCCAAAGGAATGTTCAGCTCTGTGATTTAAACTCAATCATCACAAAGTATTTTCTGAGAATGCTTCTGTCTAGATTTTATGCGAAGATATACCCGTTTCGAACGAAGGCCACAGAGTGGTCCAAATAGCCACTTGCAGATCCTACAAAAAGAGTGTTTCAAACCTGAACTATCAAAGGAAGGTTCAACTCTGGGATTTGAATGCAAACATCACCAAGAAGTTTCTGAGAATGCTTCTGTTTAGTTTTTATGTGAAGATATTCCCGTTTCCAAAGACATCTTCGGAGAGGTCCACATATCCACTTGCAGATTCCACAAAAAGAGAGTTTCAACACTGCTCTATCCATAGGAGGGTTCAACTCTGTGAGTTGAATGCAATCATCACAGAGAAGTTTCTGAGAAGGCTTCTCTCCAGTTTTTATGTGACCATAATTCGTTTTCCACCACAGGCCTGAAAGCGCTCCAAATGTCCACTTGCAGACACTACGAAAAGCATGTTTCAGAACTACTCTATGAAAAGCAACGTGAAACTCTGGGAGTTGAACACAAACATCACAGAGAAGTTTCTGAGAATGCTTCTGTTTTAGTTCTGTGCGTTTTATCCCGTTTCCAACGAAATCCTCAGAGAGGCCCAAATATCCACTTGCAGATTCCACAGAAAGAGTGATTGGAAACTGCTGTTTGAAAAGGAACCTTCAACTCTGTGAGTTGAATGCAATCATCACAAAGAAGTTTCTGACAATGCTTCTGTTTTAGTTCTGTGTGGTTTATCCCGTTTCCAACGAAATCCTCAGAGAGGACCAAACATCCACTTGCAGTTTCTACAAAAAGAGTGTTTCAAAGCTGCACTATCAAAGAAAGGTTCAGCACTGTGAGTTGAATGCAAACATCACGAAGAGGGCTCTGAGAATTCTTCTGTTTAGTTCTGTGCGGTTTATCCCGTTTCCAACGAAATCCTCAGAGAGGACCAAATATCCACTTGCAGTTTCTACAAGAAGAGTGTTTCAAAGCTGAACTATCAAAGAAAGGTTCAGCACTGTGAGTTGAATGCAAACATCACGAAGAGGGTTCTGAGAATGCTTCTGTCTTCTTTCTATAGGAAGTTATTTCCTTTACTACGGTAGGCCTCAAAGAAGTGCAATTATCCCCTTGCAGTTTCTACAAAAAGAGTGTTTCAAACCTGAACTATCAAAGAAAGGTTCCACACTGTGAGTTGAATGCAGACACCACGAAGAAGGTTCTGAGAATGCTTCTGTTTAGTCAGCTGAAATTATCCCGTTTCCAACGAATTCCTCAGAGAGGTCCAAATATGCACTTGCAGATTCTGCAGAAAGTGTGTTTCTAAACTGCTACATCGCAAGGAATGTTCAGCTCTGTGAGTTCCACTCAATCATCCCAAAGAATTTTCTGAGAAAGCTTCTGTCTAGATGTCGTGTGAAGATATACCCGTTTCGAACGAAGGACACAGAGTGGTCCAAATATCCACTTGTAGATCCTGCAAAAAGAGTGTTTCAAACGTGAACTTTGAAAGGAAAGTTCAACTCTGGGATTTGAATGCAAACATCACAAAGAAGATTCTGAGACTGCTTCTGTATAGTTTTTATGTGAAGATGATTCCGTTTCCAACGAAATCTTCAAAGAGGTCTACATGTCCCCTTGCAGATGCCACAGAAAGAGAGTTTCAAAACTGCGCTCTCAAAAGGAGTGTTCAACTCCGTGAGTTGAATGCAGTCATCACAGAGAAGCTTCTGAGAATGCTTCTATCTAGTATTTAGGTGAAGATATTTCCTTTTCCACCACAAACCACAAAGCCCTCCAAACGTCCACTTGCAGATTCTAGAAAAAGAGTGTTTCATAGCTGCTCTTTCCAAAGGAAAGTTCAACTCTGGGAGTTGAATACAAACATCACCAAAAAGTTCCTGAGAATGCATCTGTCTAGTTTTTCTATGAAGCTATTCCCTTTACTACCACAGGCCTCAAAGCGCTCCAAATCTCCACTTGCACATTCCACAACAAGAGTGTTTCCAAACTGCTCTATCAATAGGAATGTTCAACTCTGTGAGGTGAATGCAATCATCACAAAGCAGTTTCTGAGAATGCTTCCGTTTAGTTAGGTGCAGTTTTCCCGTTTCCAACGAAATCCTCAGAGAGGTCCAAATATCCACTTGTAGATTCTACAAAAAGTGTGTCTCAAACCTGCTCCATCCAAAGGAATGGTCAGCTCTGTGATTTAAACTCAATCATCACAAAGTATTTTCTGAGAATGCTTCTGTCTAGATTTTATGCGAAGATATACCCGTTTCGAACGAAGGCCACAGAGTGGTCCAAATAGCCACTTGCAGATCCTACAGAAAGAGTGTTTCAAACCTGAACTATCAAAGGAAGGTTCAACTCTGGGATTTGAATGCAAACATCACCAAGAAGTTTCTGAGAATGCTTCTGTTTAGTTTTTATGTGAAGATATTCCCGTTTCCAAAGACATCTTCGGAGAGGTCCACATATCCACTTGCAGATTCCACAAAAAGAGAGTTTCAACACTGCTCTATCCATAGGAGGGTTCAACTCTGTGAGTTGAATGCAATCATCACAGAGAAGTTTCTGAGAAGGCTTCTCTCCAGTTTTTATGTGACCATAATTCGTTTTCCACCACAGGCCTGAAGCGCTCCAAATGTCCACTTGCAGACACTACGAAAAGCATGTTTCAGAACTACTCTATGAAAAGCAACGTGAAACTCTGGGAGTTGAACACAAACATCACAGAGAAGTTTCTGAGAATGCTTCTGTTTAGCTTTTCTGTGAAGATTATCCCGTTTCCAACGAAATCTTCAAAATAGGTCGAAATATCCTCTTGCAGATTCCACAGAAAGAGTGATTGGAAACTGCTCTTTGAAAAGGAACCTTCAACTCTGTGAGTTGAATGCAATCATCACAAAGAAGTTTCTGACAATGCTTCTATCTAGCTTTTACGGGAAGTTAATTCCTTTTACACCACAGGCCTCAAAGCCCTCCAAATGTCCACTTGCAGATTCTGGAAAAAGAGTGTTTCAAAACTTCTCTCTCGAAAGGAACGTTCAACTCTGTGAGTTGAATGCAAGCATCACAAAGAAGTTTCTGAGAATGCTACTGTCTAGCTTTTATATGAAGCTATTTCCTTTACTACCATAGGCCTCAAAGCGGTCCATATCTCCACTTGCAGATTCTACACAAAGAGAGTTTCCAAACTGCTCTGTCAAAGGGAATGTTCAACTCTGTGACTTGAATGCAATCATCACAAAGTAGTTTCTGAGAATGCTTCTGTTTAGTTCTGTGCGGTTTATCCCATTTCCAACGAAATCCTCAGAGAGGCCCAAATATCCACTTGCACATTCTACAAATAGTGTGTTTCGAAACTGCTCCATCCAAAGGAATGTTCAGCTCTGTGAGTTAAACTCAGTCGTCACCAAGAGTTTTCTGTGAATGCTTCTGTTTTAGTTCTGTGCGGGTTATCCCGTTTCCAACGAAATCCTCAGAGAGGTCCATATATCTACTTGCAGTTTCTACAGAAAGACCGTTTCAAACCTGAACTATCAAAGAAAGGTTCAACACTGTGAGTTGAATGCAAACATCACGAAGAAGGTTCTGAGAATGCTTCTGTTTCGTTCTGTGCGTTTTATCCCATTTCCAACGAAATCGTCAGAGAGGACCAAATATCCACTTGCAGTTTCTACAAAAAGAGTGTTTCAAAGCTGAACTATCAAAGAAAGGTTCAGCACTGTGTGTTGAATGCAAACATCACGAAGAGGGTTCTGAGAATGCTTCTGTCTTCTTTTTATAGGAAGTTATTTCCTTTACTACGGTACTCCTCAAAGAGTGCAATTATCCCCTTGCAGTTTCTACAAAAAGAGTTTTTAAAACCTGAACTATCAAAGAAAGGTTCCACACTTTGAGTTGAATGCAGACATCACGAAGAAGGTTCTGAGAATGCTTCTGTTTAGTCAGCTGAAATTATCCCGTTTCCAACGAATTCCTCAGAGAGGTCCAAATATGCACTTGCAGATTCTGCAGAAAGTGTGTTTCTAAACTGCTACATCGCAAGGAATGCTCAGCTCTGTGATTTCAACTCAATCATCCCAAAGAATTTTCTGAGAAAGCTTCTGTCTAGATGTCATGTGAAGATATACCCGTTTCGAACGAAGGACACAGAGTGGTCCAAATATCCACTTGTAGATCCTGCAAAAAGAGTGTTTCAAACGTGAACTTTGAAAGGAAAGTTCAACTCTGGGATTTGAATGCAAACATCACAAAGAAGATTCTGAGACTGCTTCTGTGTAGTTTTTATGTGAAGATGATTCCGTTTCCAACGAAATTTTCAAAGAGGTCTACATGTCCCCTTGCAGATGCCACAGAAAGAGAGTTTCAAAACTGCGCTCTCAAAAGGAGTGTTCAACTCCGTGAGTTGAATGCAGTCATCACAGAGAAGCTTCTGAGAATGCTTCTATCTAGTATTTAGGTGAAGATATTTCCTTTTCCACCACAAACCACAAAGCCCTCCAAACGTCCACTTGCAGATTCTAGAAAAACAGTGTTTCATAGCTGCTCTTTCCAAAGGAAAGTTCAACTCTGGGAGTTGAATACAAACATCACCAAAAAGTTCCTGAGAATGCATCTGTCTAGTTTTTCTATGAAGCTATTCCCTTTACTACCATAGGCCCCAAAGCGCTCCAAATCTCCACTTGCACATTCCACAAGAAGAGTGTTTCCAAACTGCTCTATCAATACGAATGTTCAACTCTGTGAGGTGAATGCAATCATCACAAAGCAGTTTCTGAGAATGCTTCCGTTTAGTTAGGTGCAGTTATCCCGTTTCCAACGAAATCCTCAGAGAGGTCCAAATATCCACTTGTAGATTCTACAAAAAGTGTGTCTCAAACCTGCTCCATCCAAAGGAATGGTCAGCTCTGTGATTTAAACTCAATCATCACAAAGTATTTTCTGAGAATGCTTCTGTCTAGATTTTATGCGAAGATATACCCGTTTCGAACGAAGGCCACAGAGTGGTCCAAATAGCCACTTGCAGATCCTACAGAAAGAGTGTTTCAAACCTGAACTATCAAAGGAAGGTTCAACTCTGGGATTTGAATGCAAACATCACCAAGAAGTTTCTGAGAATGCTTCTGTTTAGTTTTTATGTGAAGATATTCCCGTTTCCAAAGACATCTTCGGAGAGGTCCACATATCCACTTGCAGATTCCACAAAAAGAGAGTTTCAACACTGCTCTATCCATAGGAGGGTTCAACTCTGTGAGTTGAATGCAATCATCACAGAGAAGTTTCTGAGAAGGCTTCTCTCCAGTTTTTATGTGACCATAATTCGTTTTCCACCACAGGCCTGAAAGCGCTCCAAATGTCCACTTGCAGACACTACGAAAAGCATGTTTCAGAACTACTCTATGAAAAGCAACGGTGAAACTCTGGGAGTTGAACACAAACATCACAGAGAAGTTTCTGAGAATGCTTCTGTTTTAGTTCTGTGCGTTTTATCCCGTTTCCAACGAAATCCTCAGAGAGGCCCAAATATCCACTTGCAGATTCCACAGAAAGAGTGATTGGAAACTGCTGTTTGAAAAGGAACCTTCAACTCTGTGAGTTGAATGCAATCATCACAAAGAAGTTTCTGACAATGCTTCTGTTTTAGTTCTGTGCGGTTTATCCCGTTTCCAACGAAATCCTCAGAGAGGACCAAACATCCACTTGCAGTTTCTACAAAAAGAGTGTTTCAAAGCTGCACTATCAAAGAAAGGTTCAGCACTGTGAGTTGAATGCAAACATCACGAAGAGGGCTCTGAGAATTCTTCTGTTTAGTTCTGTGCGGTTTATCCCGTTTCCAACGAAATCCTCAGAGAGGACCAAATATCCACTTGCAGTTTCTACAAGAAGAGTGTTTCAAAGCTGAACTATCAAAGAAAGGTTCAGCACTGTGAGTTGAATGCAAACATCACGAAGAGGGTTCTGAGAATGCTTCTGTCTTCTTTCTATAGGAAGTTATTTCCTTTACTACGGTAGGCCTCAAAGAAGTGCAATTATCCCCTTGCAGTTTCTACAAAAAGAGTGTTTCAAACCTGAACTATCAAAGAAAGGTTCCACACTGTGAGTTGAATGCAGACATCACGAAGAAGGTTCTGAGAATGCTTCTGTTTAGTCAGCTGAAATTATCCCGTTTCCAACGAATTCCTCAGAGAGGTCCAAATATGCACTTGCAGATTCTGCAGAAAGTGTGTTTCTAAACTGCTACATCGCAATGAATGTTCAGCTCTGTGAGTTCCACTCAATCATCCCAAAGAATTTTCTGAGAAAGCTTCTGTCTAGATGTCGTGTGAAGATATACCCGTTTCGAACGAAGGACACAGAGTGGTCCAAATATCCACTTGTAGATCCTGCAAAAAGAGTGTTTCAAACGTGAACTTTGAAAGGAAAGTTCAACTCTGGGATTTGAATGCAAACATCACAAAGAAGATTCTGAGACTGCTTCTGTATAGTTTTTATGTGAAGATGATTCCGTTTCCAACGAAATCTTCAAAGAGGTCTACATGTCCCCTTGCAGATGCCACAGAAAGAGAGTTTCAAAACTGCGCTCTCAAAAGGAGTGTTCAACTCCGTGAGTTGAATGCAGTCATCACAGAGAAGCTTCTGAGAATGCTTCTGTCTAGTATTTAGGTGAAGATATTTCCTTTTCCACCACAAACCACAAAGCCCTCCAAACGTCCACTTGCAGATTCTAGAAAAAGAGTGTTTCATAGCTGCTCTTTCCAAAGGAAAGTTCAACTCTGGGAGTTGAATACAAACATCACCAAAAGGTTCCTGAGAATGCATCTGTCTAGTTTTTCTATGAAGCTATTCCCTTTACTACCATAGGCCTCAAAGCGCTCCAAATCTCCACTTGCACATTCCACAACAAGAGTGTTTCCAAACTGCTCTATCAATAGGAATGTTCAACTCTGTGAGGTGAATGCAATCATCACAAAGCAGTTTCTGAGAATGCTTCCGTTTAGTTAGGTGCAGTTATCCCGTTTCCAACGAAATCCTCAGAGAGGTCCAAATATCCACTTGTAGATTCTACAAAAAGTGTGTCTCAAACCTGCTCCATCCAAAGGAATGGTCAGCTCTGTGATTTAAACTCAATCATCACAAAGTATTTTCTGAGAATGCTTCTGTCTAGATTTTATGCGAAGATATACCCGTTTCGAACGAAGGCCACAGAGTGGTCCAAATAGCCACTTGCAGATCCTACAGAAAGAGTGTTTCAAACCTGAACTATCAAAGGAAGGTTCAACTCTGGGATTTGAATGCAAACATCACCAAGAAGTTTCTGAGAATGCTTCTGTTTAGTTTTTATGTGAAGATATTCCCGTTTCCAAAGACATCTTCGGAGAGGTCCACATATCCACTTGCAGATTCCACAAAAAGAGAGTTTCAACACTGCTCTATCCATAGGAGGGTTCAACTCTGTGAGTTGAATGCAATCATCACAGAGAAGTTTCTGAGAAGGCTTCTCTCCAGTTTTTATGTGACCATAATTCGTTTTCCACCACAGGCCTGAAAGCGCTCCAAATGTCCACTTGCAGACACTACGAAAAGCATGTTTCAGAACTACTCTATGAAAAGCAACGTGAAACTCTGGGAGTTGAACACAAACATCACAGAGAAGTTTCTGAGAATGCTTCTGTTTTAGTTCTGTGCGTTTTATCCCGTTTCCAACGAAATCCTCAGAGAGGCCCAAATATCCACTTGCAGATTCCACAGAAAGAGTGATTGGAAACTGCTGTTTGAAAAGGAACCTTCAACTCTGTGAGTTGAATGCAATCATCACAAAGAAGTTTCTGACAATGCTTCTATCTAGCTTTTACGGGAAGATAATTCCTTTTCCACCACAGGCCTCAAAGCCCTCCAAATGATCCACTTGCAGATTCTGGAAAAAGACTGTTTCAAAGCTTCTCTCACGAAAGGAAAGTTCAACTCTGTGAGTTGAATGCAAGCATCACAAAGAAGTTTCTGAGAATGCTACTGTCTAGCTTTTATATGAAGCTATTTCCTTTACTACCATAGGCCTCAAAGCGTTCCATATCTCCACTTGCAGATTCTACACAAAGAGAGTTTCCAAACTGCTCTGTCAAAGGGAATGTTCAACTCTGTGACTTGAATGCAATCATCACAAAGTAGTTTCTGAGAATGCTTCTGTTTAGTTCTGTGCGGTTTATCCCGTTTCCAACGAAATCCTCAGAGAGGCCCACATATCCACTTGCACATTCTACAAATAGTGTGTTTCGAAACTGCTCCATCCAAAGGAATGTTCAGCTCTGTGAGTTAAACTCAGTCGTCACCAAGAGTTTTCTGTGAATGCTTCTGTTTTAGTTGTGTGCGGTTTATCCCGTTTCCAACGAAATCCTCAGAGAGGTCCAAATATCTACCTGCAGTTTCTACGGAAAGACCGTTTCAAACCTGAACTATCAAAGAAAGGTTCAACACTGTGAGTTGAATGCAAACATCACGAAGAAGGTTCTGAGAATGCTTCTGTTTAGTTCTGTGCGGTTTATCCCGTTTCCAACGAAATCCTCAGAGAGGACCAAATATCCACTTGCAGTTTCTACAAAAAGAGTGTTTCAAAGCTGAACTATCAAAGAAAGGTTCAGCACCGTGAGTTGAATGCAAACATCACGAAGAGGGTTCTGAGAATGCTTCTGTCTTCTTTTTATAGGAACTTATCTCCTTTACTACGGTAGGCCTCAAAGAAGTGCAATGATCCCCTTGCAGTTTCTACAAAAAGAGTGTTTCAAACCTGAACTATCAAAGAAAGGTTCCACACTGTGAGTTGAATGCAGACATCACGAAGAAGGTTCTGAGAATGCTTCTGTTTAGTCAGCTGAAATTATCCCATTTCCAACGAATTCCTCAGAGAGGTCCACATATGCACTTGCAGATTCTGCAGAAAGTGTGTTTCTAAACTGCTACATCGCAAGGAGTGTTCAGCTCTGTTTGCTCAACTCAATCATCCCAAAGAATTTTCTGAGAAAGCTTCTGTCTAGATGTCATGTGAAGATATACCCGTTTCGAACGAAGGACGCAGAGTGGTCCAAATATCGACTTGTAGATCCTGCAAAAAGAGTGTTTCAAACGTGAACTTGGAAAGGAAAGTTCAACTCTGGGATTTGAATGCAAACATCACAAAGAAGATTCTGGGACTGCTTCTGTATAGTTTTGATGTGAAGATGATTCCGTTTCCAACGAAATCTTCAAAGAGGTCTACATGTCCCCTTGCAGATGCCACAGAAAGAGAGTTTCAAAACTGCGCTCTCAAAAGGAGTGTTCAACTCCGTGAGTTCAATGCAGTCATCACAGAGAAGCTTCTGAGAATGCTTCTATCTAGTATTTAGGTGAAGATATTTCCTTTTCCACCACAAACCACAAAGCCCTCCAAACGTCCACTTGCAGATTCTAGAAAAAGAGTGTTTCATAGCTGCTCTTTCCAAAGGAAAGTTCAACTCTGGGAGTTGAATACAAACATCACCAAAAAGTTCCTGAGAATGCATCTGTCTAGTTTTTCTATGAAGCTATTCCCTTTACTACCATAGGCCTCAAAGCGCTCCAAATCTCCACTTGCACATTCCACAACAAGAGTGTTTCCAAACTGCTCTATCAATAGGAATGTTCAACTCTGTGAGGTGAATGCAATCATCACAAAGCAGTTTCTGAGAATGCTTCCGTTTAGTTAGGTGCAGTTATCCCGTTTCCAACGAAATCCTCAGAGAGGTCCAAATATCCACTTGTAGATTCTACAAAAAGTGTGTCTCAAACCTGCTCCATCCAAAGGAATGTTCAGCTCTGTGAGTTAAGCTCAATCATCACAAAGTATTTTCTGAGAATGCTTCTGTCTAGATTTTATGCGAAGATATACCCGTTTCGAACGAAGGCCACAGAGTGGTCCAAATATCCACTTGCAGATCCTACAAAAAGAGTGTTTCAAACCTGAACTATCAAAGGAAGGTTCAACTCTGGGATTTGAATGCAAACATCACCAAGAAGTTTCTGAGAATGCTTCTGTTTAGTTTTTATGTGAAGATATTCCCGTTTCCAAAGACATCTTCGGAGAGGTCCACATATCCACATGCAGATTCCACAAAAAGAGAGTTTCAACACTGCTCTATCCATAGGAGGGTTCAACTCTGTGAGTTGAATGCAATCATCACAGAGAAGTTTCTGAGAAGGCTTCTCTCCAGTTTTTATGTGACCATAATTCGTTTTCCACCACAGGCCTGAAAGCGCTCCAAATGTCCACTTGTAGACACTACGAAAAGCATGTTTCAGAACTACTCTATGAAAAGCAATGTGAAACTCTGGGAGTTGAACACAAACATCACAGAGAAGTTTCTGAGAATGCTTCTGTTTAGCTTTTCTGTGAAGATTCTCCCGTTTCCAACGAAATCTTCAAAATAGGTCCAAATATCCACTTGCAGATTCCACAGAAAGAGTGATTGGAAACTGCTCTTTGAAAAGGAACCTTCAACTCTGTGAGTTGAATGCAATCATCACAAAGAAGTTTCTGACAATGCTTCTATCTAGCTTTTACGGGAAGATAATTCCTTTTCCACCACAGGCCTCAAAGCCCTCCAAATGTCCACTTGCAGATTCTGGAAAAAGAGTGTTTCAAAGCTTCTCTCTCGAAAGGAAAGTTCAACTCTGTGAGTTGAATGCAAGCATCACAAAGAAGTTTCTGAGAATGCTACTGTCTAGCTTTTATATGAAGCTATTTCCTTTACTACCATAGGCCTCAAAGCGGTCCATATCTCCACTTGCAGATTCTACACAAAGAGAGTTTCCAAACTGCTCTGTCAAAGGGAATGTTCAACTCTGTGACTTGAATGCAATCATCACAAAGTAGTTTCTGAGAATGCTTCTGTTTAGTTCTGGGCGGTTTATCCCGTTTCCAACGAAATCCTCAGAGAGGCCCACATATCCACTTGCACATTCTACAAATAGTGTGTTTCGAAACTGCTCCATCCAAAGGAATGTTCAGCTCTGTGAGTTAAACTCAGTCGTCACCAAGAGTTTTCTGTGAAAGCTTCTGTTTTAGTTCTGTGCGGTTTATCCCGTTTCCAACGAAATCCTCAGAGAGGTCCAAATATCTACTTGCAGTTTCTACAGAAAGACCGTTTCAAACCTGAACTATCAAAGAAAGGTTCAACACTGTGAGTTGAATGCAAACATCACGAAGAAGGTTCTGAGAATGCTTCTGTTTAGTTCTGTGCGGTTTATCCCGTTTCCAACGAAATCCTCAGAGAGGACCAAATATCCAATTGCAGTTTCAACAAAAAGAGTGTTTCAAAGCTGAACTATCAAAGAAAGGTTCAGCACCGTGAGTTGAATGCAAACATCACGAAGAGGGTTCTGAGAATGCTTCTGTCTTCTTTTTATAGGAAGTTATCTCCTTTACTACGGTAGGCCTCAAAGAAGTGCAATGATCCCCTTGCAGTTTCTCCAAAAAGAGTGTTTCAAACCTGAACTATCAAAGAAAGGTTCCACACTGTGAGTTGAATGCAGACATCACGAAGAAGGTTCTGAGAATGCTTCTGTTTAGTCAGCTGAAATTATCCTATTTCCAACGAATTCCTCAGAGAGGTCCACATATGCACTTGCAGATTCTGCAGAAAGTGTGTTTCTAAACTGCTACATCGCAAGGAGTGTTCAGCTCTGTTTGCTCAACTCAATCATCCCAAAGAATTTTCTGAGAAAGCTTCAGTCTAGATGTCATGTGAAGATATACCCGTTTCGAACGAAGGACGCAGAGTGGTCCAAATATCGACTTGTAGATCCTGCAAAAAGAGTGTTTCAAACGTGAACTTTGAAAGGAAAGTTCAACTCTGGGATTTGAATGCAAACATCACAAAGAAGATTCTGGGACTGCTTCTGTATAGTTTTTATGTGAAGATGATTCCGTTTCCAACGAAATCTTCAAAGAGGTCTACATGTCCCCTTGCAGATGCCACAGAAAGAGAGTTTCAAAACTGCGCTCTCAAAAGGAGTGTTCAACTCCGTGAGTTGAATGCAGTCATCACAGAGAAGCTTCTGAGAATGCTTCTATCTAGTATTTAGGTGAAGATATTTCCTTTTCCACCACAAACCACAAAGCCCTCCAAACGTCCACTTGCAGATTCTAGAAAAAGAGTGTTTCATAGCTGCTCTTTCCAAAGGAAAGTTCAACTCTGGGAGTTGAATACAAACATCACCAAAAAGTTCCTGAGAATGCATCTGTCTAGTTTTTCTATGAAGCTATTCCCTTTACTACCATAGGCCTCAAAGCGCTCCAAATCTCCACTTGCACATTCCACAACAAGAGTGTTTCCAAACTGCTCTATCAATAGGAATGTTCAACTCTGTGAGGTGAATGCAATCATCACAAAGCAGTTTCTGAGAATGCTTCCCGTTTAGTTAGGTGCAGTTATCCCGTTTCCAACGAAATCCTCAGAGAGGTCCAAATATCCACTTGTAGATTCTACAAAAAGTGTGTCTCAAACCTGCTCCATCCAAAGGAATGTTCAGCTCTGTGAGTTAAACTCAATCATCACAAAGTATTTTCTGAGAATGCTTCTGTCTAGATTTTATGCGAAGATATACCCGTTTCGAACGAAGGCCACAGAGTGGTCCAAATATCCACTTGCAGATCCTACAAAAAGAGTGTTTCAAACCTGAACTATCAAAGGAAGGTTCAACTCTGGGATTTGAATGCAAACATCACCAAGAAGTTTCTGAGAATGCTTCTGTTTAGTTTTTATGTGAAGATATTCCCGTTTCCAAAGACATCTTCGGAGAGGTCCACGTATCCACTTGCAGATTCCACAAAAAGAGAGTTTCAACACTGCTCTATCCATAGGAGGGTTCAACTCTGTGAGTTGAATGCAATCATCACAGAGAAGTTTCTGAGAAGGCTTCTCTCCAGTTTTTATGTGACCATAATTCGTTTTCCACCACAGGCCTGAAAGCGCTCCAAATGTCCACTTGTAGACACTACGAAAAGCATGTTTCAGAACTACTCTATGAAAAGCAATGTGAAACTCTGGGAGTTGAACACAAACATCACAGAGAAGTTTCTGAGAATGCTTCTGTTTAGCTTTCCTGTGAAGATTCTCCCGTTTCCAACGAAATCTTCAAAATAGGTCCAAATATCCACTTGCAGATTCCACACAAAGAGTGATTGGAAACTGCTCTTTGAAAAGGAACCTTCAACTCTGTGAGTTGAATGCAATCATCACAAAGAAGTTTCTGACAATGCTTCTATCTAGCTTTTACGGGAAGATAATTCCTTTTCCACCACAGGCCTCAAAGCCCTCCAAATGTCCACTTGCAGATTCTGGAAAAAGAGTGTTTCAAAGCTTCTCTCTCGAAAGGAAAGTTCAACTCTGTGAGTTGAATGCAAGCATCACAAAGAAGTTTCTGAGAATGCTACTGTCTAGCTTTTATATGAAGCTATTTCCTTTACTACCATAGGCCTCAAAGCGGTCCATATCTCCACTTGCAGATTCTACACAAAGAGAGTTTCCAAACTGCTCTGTCAAAGGGAATGTTCAACTCTGTGACTTGAATGCAATCATCACAAAGTAGTTTCTGAGAATGCTTCTGTTTAGTTCTGTGCGGTTTATCCCGTTTCCAACGAAATCCTCAGAGAGGCCCACATATCCACTTGCACATTCTACAAATAGTGTGTTTCGAAACTGCTCCATCCAAAGGAATGTTCAGCTCTGTGAGTTAAACTCAGTCGTCACCAAGAGATTTCTGTGAATGCTTCTGTTTTAGTTCTGTGCGGGTTATCCCGTTTCCAACGAAATCCTCAGAGAGGTCCAAATATCTACTTGCAGTTTCTACAGAAAGACCGTTTCAAACCTGAACTATCAAAGAAAGGTTCAACACTGTGAGTTGAATGCAAACATCACGAAGAAGGTTCTGAGAATGCTTCTGTTTAGTTCTGTGCAGTTTATCCCGTTTCCAACGAAATGCTCAGAGAGGACCAAATATCCACTTGCAGTTTCTACAAAAAGAGTGTTTCATAGCTGAACTATCAAAGAAAGATTCAGCACTGTGAGTTGAATGCAAACATCACGAAGAGGGTTCTGAGAATGCTTCTGTCTTCTTTTTATAGGAAGTTATTTCCTTTACTACGGTACTCCTCAAAGAGTGCAATTATCCCCTTGCAGTTTCTACAGAAAGAGTGTTTCAAACCTGAACTATCAAAGAAAGGTTCCACACTGTGAGTTGAATGCAGACATCACGAAGAAGGTTCTGAGAATGCTTCTGTTTAGTCAGCTGAAATTATCCCGTTTCCAACGAATTCCTCAGAGAGGTCCAAATATGCACTTGCAGATTCTGCAGAAAGTGTGTTTCTAAACTGCTACATCGCAAGGAATGCTCAGCTCTGTGAGTTCAACTCAATCATCCCAAAGAATTTTCTGAGAAAGCTTCTGTCTAGATGTCATGTGAAGATATACCCGTTTCGAACGAAGGACACAGAGTGGTCCAAATATCCACTTGTAGATCCTGCAAAAAGAGTGTTTCAAACGTGAACTTTGAAAGGAAAGTTCAACTCGGGGATTTGAATGCAAACATCACAAAGAAGATTCTGAGACTGCTTCTGTATAGTTTTTATGTGAAGATGATTCCGTTTCCAACGAAATCTTCAAAGAGGTCTACATGTCCCCTTGCAGATGCCACAGAAAGAGAGTTTCAAAACTGCGCTCTCAAAAGGAGTGTTCAACTCCCTGAGTTGAATGCAGTCATCACAGAGAAGCTTCTGAGAATGCTTCTATCTAGTATTTAGGTGAAGATATTTCCTTTTCCACCACAAACCACAAAGCCCTCCAAACGTCCACTTGCAGATTCTAGAGAAACAGTGTTTCATAGCTGCTCTTTCCAAAGGAAAGTTCAACTCTGGGAGTTGAATACAAACATCACCAAAAAGTTCCTGAGAATGCATCTGTCTAGTTTTTCTATGAAGCTATTCCCTTTACTACCATAGGCCTCAAAGCGCTCCAAATCTCCACTTGCACATTCCACAACAAGAGTGTTTCCAAACTGCTCTATCAATAGGAATGTTCAACTCTGTGAGGTGAATGCAATCATCACAAAGCAGTTTCTGAGAATGCTTCCGTTTAGTTAGGTGCAGTTATCGCGTTTCCAACGAAATCCTCAGAGAGGTCCAAATATCCACTTGTAGATTCTACAAAAAGTGTGTCTCAAACCTGCTCCATCCAAAGGAATGTTCAGCTCTGTGAGTTAAACTCAATCATCACAAAGTATTTTCTGAGAATGCTTCTGTCTAGATTTTATGTGAAGATGTACCCGTTTCGAACGAAGGCCACAGAGTGGTCCAAATATCCACTTGCAGATCCTACAAAAAGAGTGTTTCAAACCTGAACTATCACAGGAAGGTTCAACTCTGGGATTTGAATGCAAACATCACCAAGAAGTTTCTGAGAATGCTTCTGTTTAGTTTTTATGTGAAGATATGCCCGTTTCCAAAGACATCTTCGGAGAGGTCCACATATCCACTTGCAGATTCCACAAAAAGAGAGTTTCAACAATGCTCTATCCATAGGAGGGTTCAAATCTGTGAGTTGAATGCAATCATCACAGAGAAGTTTCTGAGAAGGCTTCTCTCCAGTTTTTATGGGACCATAATTCGTTTTCCACCACAGGCCTGAAAGCACTCCAAATGTCCACTTGCAGACACTACGAAAAGCATGTTTCAGAACTACTCTATGAAAAGCAATGTGAAACTCTGGGAGTTGAACACAAACATCACAGAGAAGTTTCTGAGAATGCTTCTGTTTAGCTTTTCTGTGAAGATTCTCCCGTTTCCAACGAAATCTTCAAAGAGGTCCAAATATCCACTTGCAGATTCCACAGAAAGAGTGTTTGGAAACTGCTGTTTGTAAAGGAACCTTCATCTCTGTGAGTTGAATGCAATCATCACAAAGAAGTTTCTGACAATGCTTCTATCTAGCTTTTACGGGAAGTTAATTCCTTTTCCACCACAGGCCTCAAAGCCCTCCAAATGTCCACTTGCAGATTCTGGAAAAAGAGTGTTTCAAAGCTTCTCTCTCGAAAGGAAAGTTCAACTCTGTGAGTTGAATGCAAGCATCACAAAGAAGTTTCTGAGAATGCTACTGTCTAGCTTTTATATGAAGCTATTTCCTTTACTACCATAGGCCTCAAAGCGGTCCATATCTCCACTTGCAGATTCTACACAAAGAGAGTTTCCAAACTGCTCTGTCAAAGGGAATGTTCAACTCTGTGACTTGAATGCAATCATCACAAAGTAGTTTCTGAGAATGCTTCTGTTTAGTTCTGTGCGGTTTATCCCGTTTCCAACGAAATCCTCAGAGAGGCCCAAATATCCACTTGCACATTCTACAAATAGTGTGTTTCGAAACTGCTCCATCCAAAGGAATGTTCAGCTCTGTGAGTTAAACTCAGTCGTCACCAAGAGTTTTCTGTGAATGCTTCTGTTTTAGTTCTGTGCGGTTTATCCCGTTTCCAACGAAATCCTCAGAGAGGTCCAAATATCTTCTTGCAGTTTCTACAGAAAGACCGTTTGAAACCTGAACTATCAAAGAAAGGTTCAACACTGTGAGTTGAATGCAAACATCACGAAGAAGGTTCTGAGAATGCTTCTGTTTAGTTCTGTGTGGTTTATCCCGTTTCCAACGAAATCCTCAGAGAGGACCAAATATCCACTTGCAGTTTCTACAAGAAGAGTGTTTCAAAGCTGAACTATCAAAGAAAGTTTCAGCGCTGTGAGTTGAATGCAAACATCACGAAGAGGGTTCTGAGAATGCTTCTGTCTTCTTTCTATAGGAAGTTATTTCCTTTACTACGGTAGGCCTCAAAGAAGTGCAATTATCCCCTTGCAGTTTCTACAAAAAGAGTGTTTCAAACCTGAACTATCAAAGAAAGGTTCCACACTGTGAGTTGAATGCAGACATCACGAAGAAGGTTCTGAGAATGCTTCTGTTTAGTCAGCTGAAATTATCCCGTTTCCAACGAATTCCTCAGAGAGGTCCAAATATGCACTTGCAGATTCTACAGAAAGTGTGTTTCTAAACTGCTCCATCACAAGGAATGTTCAGCTCTGTGAGTTCAACTCAATCATCCCAAAGAATTTTCTGAGAAAGCTTCTGTCTAGATGTCATATGAAGATATACCCGTTTCGAACGAAGGACACAGAGTGGTCCAAATATCCACTTGTAGATCCTGCAAAAAGAGTGTTTCAAACGTGAACTTTGAAAGGAAAGTTCAACTCTGGGATTTGAATGCAAACATCACAAAGAAGATTCTGAGACTGCTTCTGTATAGTTTTTATGTGAAGATGATTCCGTTTCCAACGAAATCTTCAAAGAGGTCTACATGTCCCCTTGCAGATGCCACAGAAAGAGAGTTTCAAAACTGCGCTCTCAAAAGGAGTGTTCAACTCCGTGAGTTGAATGCAGTCATCACAGAGAAGCTTCTGAGAATGCTTCTATCTAGTATTTAGGTGAAGATATTTCCTTTTCCACCACAAACCACAAAGCCCTCCAAACGTCCACTTGCAGATTCTAGAAAAAGAGTGTTTCATAGCTGCTCTTTCCAAAGGAAAGTTCAACTCTGGGAGTTGAATACAAACATCACCAAAAAGTTCCTGAGAATGCATCTGTCTAGTTTTTCTATGAAGCTATTCCCTTTATTACCATAGGCCTCAAAGCGCTCCAAATCTCCACTTGCACATTCCACAACAAGAGTGTTTCCAAACTGCTCTATCAATAGGAATGTTCAACTCTGTGAGGTGAATGCAATCATCACAAAGCAGTTTCTGAGAATGCTTCCGTTTAGTTAGGTGCAGTTATCCCGTTTCCAACGAAATCCTCAGAGAGGTCCAAATATCCACTTGTAGATTCTACAAAAAGTGTGTCTCAAACCTGCTCCATCCAAAGGAATGGTCAGCTCTGTGATTTAAACTCAATCATCACAAAGTATTTTCTGAGAATGCTTCTGTCTAGATTTTATGCGAAGATATACCCGTTTCGAACGAAGGCCACAGAGTGGTCCAAATAGCCACTTGCAGATCCTACAGAAAGAGTGTTTCAAACCTGAACTATCAAAGGAAGGTTCAACTCTGGGATTTGAATGCAAACATCACCAAGAAGTTTCTGAGAATGCTTCTGTTTAGTTTTTATGTGAAGATATTCCCGTTTCCAAAGACATCTTCGGAGAGGTCCACATATCCACTTGCAGATTCCACAAAAAGAGAGTTTCAACACTGCTCTATCCATAGGAGGGTTCAACTCTGTGAGTTGAATGCAATCATCACAGAGAAGTTTCTGAGAAGGCTTCTCTCCAGTTTTTATGTGACCATAATTCGTTTTCTACCACAGGCCTGAAAGTGCTCCAAATGTCCACTTGCAGACACTACGAAAAGCATGTTTCAGAACTACTCTATGAAAAGCAACGTGAAACTCTGGGAGTTGAACACAAACATCACAGAGAAGTTTCTGAGAATGCTTCTGTTTTAGTTCTGTGGGTTTTATCCCGTTTCCAACGAAATCCTCAGAGAGGCCCAAATATCCACTTGCAGATTCCACAGAAAGAGTGATTGGAAACTGCTGTTTGAAAAGGAACCTTCAACTCTGTGAGTTGAATGCAATCATCACAAAGAAGTTTCTGACAATGCTTCTGTTTTAGTTCTGTGCGGTTTATCCCGTTTCCAACGAAATCCTCAGAGAGGACCAAATATCCACTTGCAGTTTCTACAAAAAGAGTGTTTCAAAGCTGCACTATCAAAGAAAGGTTCAGCACTGTGAGTTGAATGCAAACATCACGAAGAGGGCTCTGAGAATTCTTCTGTTTAGTTCTGTGCGGTTTACCCGTTTCCAACGAAATCCTCAGAGAGGACCAAATATCCACTTGCAGTTTCTACAAGAAGAGTGTTTCAAAGCTGAACTATCAAAGAAAGGTTCAGCACTGTGAGTTGAATGCAAACATCACGAAGAGGGTTCTGAGAATGCTTCTGTCTTCTTTCTATAGGAAGTTATTTCCTTTACTACGGTAGGCCTCAAAGAAGTGCAATTATCCCCTTGCAGTTTCTACAAAAAGAGTGTTTCAAACCTGAACTATCAAAGAAAGGTTCCACACTGTGAGTTGAATGCAGACATCACGAAGAAGGTTCTGAGAATGCTTCTGTTTAGTCAGCTGAAATTATCCCGTTTCCAAAGAATTCCTCAGAGATGTCCAAATATGCAGTTGCAGATTCTGCAGAAAGTGTGTTTCTAAACTGCTACATCGCAAGGAATGTTCAGCTCTGTGAGTTCCACTCAATCATCCCAAAGAATTTTCTGAGAAAGCTTCTGTCTAGATGTCATGTGAAGATATACCCGTTTCGAACGAAGGACACAGAGTGGTCCAAATATCCACTTGTAGATCCTGCAAAAAGAGTGTTTCAAACGTGAACTTTGAAAGGAAAGTTCAACTCTGGGATTTGAATGCAAACATCACAAAGAAGATTCTGAGACTGCTTCTGTATAGTTTTTATGTGAAGATGATTCCGTTTCCAACGAAATCTTCAAAGAGGTCCACATGTCCCCTTGCGGATGCCACAGAAAGAGAGTTTCAAAACTGCGCTCTCAAAAGGAGTGTTCAACTCCGTGAGTTGAATGCAGTCATCACAGAGAAGCTTCTGAGAATGCTTCTATCTAGTATTTAGGTGAAGATATTTCCTTTTCCACCACAAACCACAAAGCCCTCCAAACGTCCACTTGCAGATTCTAGAAAAAGAGTGTTTCATAGCTGCTCTTTCCAAAGGAAAGTTCAACTCTGGGAGTTGAATACAAACATCACCAAAAAGTTCCTGAGAATGCATCTGTCTAGTTTTTCTATGAAGCTATTCCCTTTACTACCATAGGCCTCAAAGCGCTCCAAATCTCCACTTGCACATTCCACAACAAGAGTGTTTCTAAACTGCTCTATCAATAGGAATGGTCAACTGTGTGAGGTGAATGCAATCATCACAAAGCAGTTTCTGAGAATGCTTCCGTTTAGTTAGGTGCAGTTATCCCGTTTCCAACGAAATCCTCAGAGAGGTCCAAATATCCACTTGTAGATTCTACAAAAAGTGTGTCTCAAACCTGCTCCATCCAAAGGAATGTTCAGCTCTGTGAGTTAAACTCAATCATCACAAAGTATTTTCTGAGAATGCTTCTGTCTAGATTTTATGCGAAGATGTACCCGTTTCGAACGAAGGCCACAGAGTGGTCCAAATATCCACTTGCAGATCCTACAAAAAGAGTGTTTCAAACCTGAACTATCAAAGGAAGGTTCGACTCTGGGATTTGAATGCAAACATCACCAAGAAGTTTCTGAGAATGCTTCTGTTTAGTTTTTATGTGAAGATATTCCCGTTTCCAAAGACATCTTCGGAGAGGTCCACATATCCACTTGCAGATTCCACAAAAAGAGAGTTTCAACACTGCTCTATCCATAGGAGGGTTCAACTCTGTGAGTTGAATGCAATCATCACAGAGAAGTTTCTGAGAAGGCTTCTCTCCAGTTTTTATGTGACCATAATTCGTTTTCCACCACAGGCCTGAAAGCGCTCCAAATGTCCACTTGTAGACACTACGAAAAGCATGTTTCAGAACTACTCTATGAAAAGCAATGTGAAACTCTGGGAGTTGAACACAAACATCACAGAGAAGTTTCTGAGAATGCTTCTGTTTAGCTTTTCTGTGAAGATTATCCCGTTTCCAACGAAATCTTCAAAATAGGTCCAAATATCCACTTGCAGATTCCACAGAAAGAGTGATTGGAAACTGCTCTTTGAAAAGGAACCTTCAACTCTGTGAGTTGAATGCAATCATCACAAAGAAGTTTCTGACAATGCTTCTATCTAGCTTTTACGGGAAGATAATTCCTTTTCCACCACAGGCCTCAAAGCCCTCCAAATGTCCACTTGCAGATTCTGGAAAAAGAGTGTTTCAAAGCTTCTCTCTCGAAAGGAAAGTTCAACTCTGTGAGTTGAATGCAAGCATCACAAAGAAGTTTCTGAGAATGCTACTGTCTAGCTTTTATATGAAGCTATTTCCTTTACTACCATAGGCCTCAAAGCGGTCCATATCTCCACTTGCAGATTCTACACAAAGAGAGTTTCCAAACTGCTCTGTCAAAGGGAATGTTCAACTCTGTGACTTGAATGCAATCATCACAAAGTAGTTTCTGAGAATGCTTCTGTTTAGTTCTGTGCGGTTTATCCCGTTTCCAACGAAATCCTCAGAGAGGCCTAAATATCCACTTGCACATTCTACAAATAGTGTGTTTCGAAACTGCTCCATCCAAAGGAATGTTCAGCTCTGTGAGTTAAACTCAGTCGTCACCAAGAGTTTTCTGTGAATGCTTCTGTTTTAGTTCTGTGCGGGTTATCCCGTTTCCAACGAAATCCTCAGAGAGGTCCAAATATCTACTTGCAGTTTCTACAGAAAGACCGTTTCAAACCTGAACTATCAAAGAAAGGTTCAACACTGTGAGTTGAATGCAAACATCACGAAGAAGGTTCTGAGAATGCTTCTGTTTAGTTCTGTGCAGTTTATCCCGTTTCCAACGAATTCCTCAGAGAGGACCAAATATCCACTTGCAGTTTCTACAAAAAGAGTGTTTCAAAGCTGAACTATCAAAGAAAGGTTCAGCACTGTGAGTTGAATGCAAACATCACGAAGAGGGTTCTGAGAATGCTTCTGTCTTCTTTTTATAGGAAGTTATTTCCTTTACTACGGTACTCCTCAAAGAGTGCAATTATCCCCTTGCAGTTTCTACAAAAAGAGTGTTTCAAACCTGAACTATCAAAGAAAGGTTCCACACTGTGAGTTGAATGCAGACATCACGAAGAAGGTTCTGAGAATGCTTCTGTTTAGTCAGCTGAAATTATCCCGTTTCCAACGAATTCCTCACAGAGGTCCAAATATGCACTTGCAGATTCTGCAGAAAGTGTGTTTCTAAACTGCTACATCGCAAGGAATGCTCAGCTCTGTGAGTTCAACTCAATCATCCCAAAGAATTTTCTGAGAAAGCTTCTGTCTAGATGTCATGTGAAGATATACCCGTTTCGAACGAAGGACACAGAGTGGTCCAAATATCCACTTGTAGATCCTGCAAAAAGAGTGTTTCAAACGTGAACTTTGAAAGGAAAGTTCAACTCGGGGATTTGAATGCAAACATCACAAAGAAGATTCTGAGACTGCTTCTGTGTAGTTTTTATGTGAAGATGATTCCGTTTCCAACGAAATCTTCAAAGAGGTCTACATGTCCCCTTGCAGATGCCACAGAAAGAGAGTTTCAAAACTGCGCTCTCAAAAGGAGTGTTCAACTCCGTGAGTTGAATGCAGTCATCACAGAGAAGCTTCTGAGGATGCTTCTATCTAGTATTTAGGTGAAGATATTTCCTTTTCCACCACAAACCACAAAGCCCTCCAAACGTCCACTTGCAGATTCTAGAAAAACAGTGTTTCATAGCTGCTCTTTCCAAAGGAAAGTTCAACTCTGGGAGTTGAATACAAACATCACCAAAAAGTTCCTGAGAATGCATCTGTCTAGTTTTTCTATGAAGCTATTCCCTTTACTACCATAGGCCTCAAAGCGCTCCAAATCTCCACTTGCACATTCCACAACAAGAGTGTTTCCAAACTGCTCTATCAATAGGAATGTTCAACTCTGTGAGGTGAATGCAATCATCACAAAGCAGTTTCTGAGAATGCTTCCGTTTAGTTAGGTGCAGTTATCCCGTTTCCAACGAAATCCTCAGAGAGGTCCAAATATCCACTTGTAGATTCTACAAAAGGTGTGTCTCAAACCTGCTCCATCCAAAGGAATGTTCAGCTCTGTGAGTTAAACTCAATCATCACAAAGTATTTTCTGAGAATGCTTCTGTCTAGATTTTATGCGAAGATATACCCGTTTCGAACGAAGGCCACAGAGTGGTCCAAATATCCACTTGCAGATCCTACAAAAAGAGTGTTTCAAACCTGAACTATCAAAGGAAGGTTCAACTCTGGGATTTGAATGCAAACATCACCAAGAAGTTTCTGAGAATGCTTCTGTTTAGTTTTTATGTGAAGATATTCCCGTTTCCAAAGACATCTTCGGAGAGGTCCACATATCCACTTGCAGATTCCACAAAAAGAGAGTTTCAACACTGCTCTATCCATAGGAGGGTTCAACTCTGTGAGTTGAATGCAATCATCACAGAGAAGTTTCTGAGAAGGCTTCTCTCCAGTTTTTATGTGACCATAATTCGTTTTCCACCACAGGCCTGAAAGCGCTCCAAATGTCCACTTGTAGACACTACGAAAAGCATGTTTCAGAACTACTCTATGAAAAGCAATGTGAAACTCTGGGAGTTGAACACAAACATCACAGAGAAGTTTCTGAGAATGCTTCTGTTTAGCTTTCCTGTGAAGATTCTCCCGTTTCCAACGAAATCTTCAAAATAGGTCCAAATATCCACTTGCAGATTCCACACAAAGAGTGATTGGAAACTGCTCTTTGAAAAGGAACCTTCAACTCTGTGAGTTGAATGCAATCATCACAAAGAAGTTTCTGACAATGCTTCTATCTAGCTTTTACGGGAAGATAATTCCTTTTCCACCACAGGCCTCAAAGCCCTCCAAATGTCCACTTGCAGATTCTGGAAAAAGAGTGTTTCAAAGCTTCTCTCTCGAAAGGAAAGTTCAACTCTGTGAGTTGAATGCAAGCATCACAAAGAAGTTTCTGAGAATGCTACTGTCTAGCTTTTATATGAAGCTATTTCCTTTACTACCATAGGCCTCAAAGCGGTCCATATCTCCACTTGCAGATTCTACACAAAGAGAGTTTCCAAACTGCTCTGTCAAAGGGAATGTTCAACTCTGTGACTTGAATGCAATCATCACAAAGTAGTTTCTGAGAATGCTTCTGTTTAGTTCTGTGCGGTTTATCCCGTTTCCAACGAAATCCTCAGAGAGGCCTAAATATCCACTTGCACATTCTACAAATAGTGTGTTTCGAAACTGCTCCATCCAAAGGAATGTTCAGCTCTGTGAGTTAAACTCAGTCGTCACCAAGAGTTTTCTGTGAATGCTTCTGTTTTAGTTCTGTGCGGGTTATCCCGTTTCCAACGAAATCCTCAGAGAGGTCCAAATATCTACTTGCAGTTTCTACAGAAAGACCGTTTCAAACCTGAACTATCAAAGAAAGGTTCAACACTGTGAGTTGAATGCAAACATCACGAAGAAGGTTCTGAGAATGCTTCTGTTTAGTTCTGTGCGTTTTATCCTGTTTCCAACGAAATCCTCAGAGAGGACCAAATATTCACTTGCAGTTTCTACAAAAAGAGTGTTTCAAAGCTGAACTATCAAAGAAAGGTTCAGCACTGTGAGTTGAATGCAAACATCACGAAGAGGGTTCTGAGAATGCTTCTGTCTTCTTTTTATAGGAAGTTATTTCCTTTACTACGGTACTCCTCAAAGAGTGCAATTATCCCCTTGCAGTTTCTACAAAAAGAGTTTTTAAAACCTGAACTATCAAAGAAAGGTTCCACACTTTGTGTTGAATGCAGACATCACGAAGAAGGTTCTGAGAATGCTTCTGTTTAGTCAGCTGAAATTATCCCGTTTCCAACGAATTCCTCAGAGAGGTCCAAATATGCACTTGCAGATTCTGCAGAAAGTGTGTTTCTAAACTGCTACATCGCAAGGAATGCTCAGCTCTGTGAGTTCAACTCAATCATCCCAAAGAATTTTCTGAGAAAGCTTCTGTCTAGATGTCATGTGAAGATATACCCGTTTCGAACGAAGGACACAGAGTGGTCCAAATATCCACTTGTAGATCCTGCAAAAAGAGTGTTTCAAACGTGAACTTTGAAAGGAAAGTTCAACTCTGGGATTTGAATGCAAACATCACGAAGAAGATTCTGAGACGGCTTCTGTATAGTTTTTATGTGAAGATGATTCCGTTTCCAACGAAATCTTCAAAGAGGTCTACATGTCCCCTTGCAGATGCCACAGAAAGAGAGTTTCAAAACTGCGCTCTCAAAAGGAGTGTTCAACTCCGTGAGTTGAATGCAGTCATCACAGAGAAGCTTCTGAGGATGCTTCTATCTAGTATTTAGGTGAAGATATTTCCTTTTCCACCACAAACCACAAAGCCCTCCAAACGTCCACTTGCAGATTCTAGAAAAAGAGTGTTTCATAGCTGCTCTTTCCAAAGGAAAGTTCAACTCTGGGAGTTGAATACAAACATCACCAAAAAGTTCCTGAGAATGCATCTGTCTAGTTTTTCTATGAAGCTATTCCCTTTACTACCATAGGCCTCAAAGCGCTCCAAATCTCCACTTGCACATTCCACAACAAGAGTGTTTCCAAACTGCTCTATCAATAGGAATGTTCAACTCTGTGAGGTGAATGCAATCATCACAAAGCAGTTTCTGAGAATGCTTCCGTTTAGTTAGGTGCAGTTATCCCGTTTCCAACGAAATCCTCAGAGAGGTCCAAATATCCACTTGTAGATTCTACAAAAAGTGTGTCTCAAACCTGCTCCATCCAAAGGAATGGTCAGCTCTGTGATTTAAACTCAATCATCACAAAGTATTTTCTGAGAATGCTTCTGTCTAGATTTTATGCGAAGATATACCCGTTTCGAACGAAGGCCACAGAGTGGTCCAAATAGCCACTTGCAGATCCTACAGAAAGAGTGTTTCAAACCTGAACTATCAAAGGAAGGTTCAACTCTGGGATTTGAATGCAAACATCACCAAGAAGTTTCTGAGAATGCTTCTGTTTAGTTTTTATGTGAAGATATTCCCGTTTCCAAAGACATCTTCGGAGAGGTCCACATATCCACTTGCAGATTCCACAAAAAGAGAGTTTCAACACTGCTCTATCCATAGGAGGGTTCAACTCTGTGAGTTGAATGCAATCATCACAGAGAAGTTTCTGAGAAGGCTTCTCTCCAGTTTTTATGTGACCATAATTCGTTTTCCACCACAGGCCTGAAAGCGCTCCAAATGTCCACTTGCAGACACTACGAAAAGCATGTTTCAGAACTACTCTATGAAAAGCAACGTGAAACTCTGGGAGTTGAACACAAACATCACAGAGAAGTTTCTGAGAATGCTTCTGTTTTAGTTCTGTGCGTTTTATCCCGTTTCCAACGAAATCCTCAGAGAGGCCCAAATATCCACTTGCAGATTCCACAGAAAGAGTGATTGGAAACTGCTGTTTGAAAAGGAACCTTCAACTCTGTGAGTTGAATGCAATCATCACAAAGAAGTTTCTGACAATGCTTCTGTTTTAGTTCTGTGCGGTTTATCCCGTTTCCAACGAAATCCTCAGAGAGGACCAAACATCCACTTGCAGTTTCTACAAGAAGAGTGTTTCAAAGCTGCACTATCAAAGAAAGGTTCAGCACTGTGAGTTGAATGCAAACATCACGAAGAGGGCTCTGAGAATTCTTCTGTTTAGTTCTGTGCGGTTTATCCCGTTTCCAACGAAGTCCTCAGAGAGGACCAAATATCCACTTGCAGTTTCTACAAGAAGAGTGTTTCAAAGCTGAACTATCAAAGAAAGGTTCAGCACTGTGAGTTGAATGCAAACATCACGAAGAGGGTTCTGAGAATGCTTCTGTCTTCTTTCTATAGGAAGTTATTTCCTTTACTACGGTAGGCCTCAAAGAAGTGCAATTATCCCCTTGCAGTTTCTACAAAAAGAGTGTTTCAAACCTGAACTATCAAAGAAAGGTTCCACACTGTGAGTTGAATGCAGACATCACGAAGAAGGTTCTGAGAATGCTTCTGTTTAGTCAGCTGAAATTATCCCGTTTCCAACGAATTCCTCAGAGAGGTCCAAATATGCACTTGCAGATTCTGCAGAAAGTGTGTTTCTAAACTGCTACATCGCAAGGAATGTTCAGCTCTGTGAGTTCCACTCAATCATCCCAAAGAATTTTCTGAGAAAGCTTCTGTCTAGATGTCGTGTGAAGATATACCCGTTTCGAACGAAGGACACAGAGTGGTCCAAATATCCACTTGTAGATCCTGCAAAAAGAGTGTTTCAAACGTGAACTTTGAAAGGAAAGTTCAACTCTGGGATTTGAATGCAAACATCACAAAGAAGATTCTGAGACTGCTTCTGTATAGTTTTTATGTGAAGATGATTCCGTTTCCAACGAAATCTTCAAAGAGGTCTACATGTCCCCTTGCAGATGCCACAGAAAGAGAGTTTCAAAACTGCGCTCTCAAAAGGAGTGTTCAACTCCGTGAGTTGAATGCAGTCATCACAGAGAAGCTTCTGAGAATGCTTCTATCTAGTATTTAGGTGAAGATATTTCCTTTTCCACCACAAACCACAAAGCCCTCCAAACGTCCACTTGCAGATTCTAGAAAAAGAGTGTTTCATAGCTGCTCTTTCCAAAGGAAAGTTCAACTCTGGGAGTTGAATACAAACATCACCAAAAGGTTCCTGAGAATGCATCTGTCTAGTTTTTCTATGAAGCTATTCCCTTTACTACCATAGACCTCAAAGCGCTCCAAATCTCCACTTGCACATTCCACAACAAGAGTGTTTCCAAACTGCTCTATCAATAGGAATGTTCAACTCTGTGAGGTGAATGCAATCATCACAAAGCAGTTTCTGAGAATGCTTCCGTTTAGTTAGGTGCAGTTATCCCGTTTCCAACGAAATCCTCAGAGAGGTCCAAATATCCACTTGTAGATTCTACAAAAAGTGTGTCTCAAACCTGCTCCATCCAAAGGAATGGTCAGCTCTGTGATTTAAACTCAATCATCACAAAGTATTTTCTGAGAATGCTTCTGTCTAGATTTTATGCGAAGATATACCCGTTTCGAACGAAGGCCACAGAGTGGTCCAAATAGCCACTTGCAGATCCTACAGAAAGAGTGTTTCAAACCTGAACTATCAAAGGAAGGTTCAACTCTGGGATTTGAATGCAAACATCACCAAGAAGTTTCTGAGAATGCTTCTGTTTAGTTTTTATGTGAAGATATTCCCGTTTCCAAAGACATCTTCGGAGAGGTCCACATATCCACTTGCAGATTCCACAAAAAGAGAGTTTCAACACTGCTCTATCCATAGGAGGGTTCAACTCTGTGAGTTGAATGCAATCATCACAGAGAAGTTTCTGAGAAGGCTTCTCTCCAGTTTTTATGTGACCATAATTCGTTTTCCACCACAGGCCTGAAAGCGCTCCAAATGTCCACTTGCAGACACTACGAAAAGCATGTTTCAGAACTACTCTATGAAAAGCAATGTGAAACTCTGGGAGTTGAACACAAACATCACAGAGAAGTTTCTGAGAATGCTTCTGTTTAGCTTTTCTGTGAAGATTCTCCCGTTTCCAACGAAATCTTCAAAGAGGTCCAAATATCCACTTGCAGATTCCACAGAAAGAGTGATTGGAAACTGCTGTTTGAAAAGGAACCTTCAACTCTGTGAGTTGAATGCAATCATCACAAAGAAGTTTCTGACAATGCTTCTATCTAGCTTTTACGGGAAGATAATTCCTTTTCCACCACAGGCCTCAAAGCCCTCCAAATGTCCACTTGCAGATTCTGGAAAAAGAGTGTTTCAAAGCTTCTCTCTCGATAGGAAAGTTCAACTCTGTGAGTTGAATGCAAGCATCACAAAGAAGTTTCTGAGAATGCTACTGTTTAGCTTTTATATGAAGCTATTTCCTTTACTACCATAGTCCTCAAAGCGGTCCATATCTCCACTTGCAGATTCTACACAAAGAGAGTTTCCAAACTGCTCTGTCAAAGGGAATGTTCAACTCTGTGACTTGAATGCAATCATCACGAAGTAGTTTCTGAGAATGCTTCTGTTTAGTTCTGTGTGGTTTATCCCGTTTCCAACGAAATCCTCAGAGAGGCCCCAATATCCACTTGCACATTCTACAAATAGTGTTTTTCGAAACTGCTCCATCCAAAGGGATTTTCAGCTCTGTGAGTTAAACGCAGTCGTCACAAAGAGTTTTCTGTGAATGCTTCTGTTTTAGTTCTGTGCGGTGTATCCCGTTTCCAACGAAATCCTCAGAGAGGTCCAAATATCTACTTGCAGTTTCTACAGAAAGACCGTTTCAAACCTGAACTATCAAAGAAAGGTTCAACACTGTGAGTTGAATGCAAACATCACGAAGAAGGTTCTGAGAATGCTTCTGTTTAGTTCTGTGCGGTTTATCCCGTTTCCAACGAAATCCTCAGAGAGGACCAAATATTCACTTGCAGTTTCTACAAAAAGAGTGTTTCAAAGCTGAACTATCAAACAAAGGTTCAGCACTGTGAGTTGAATGCAAACATCACGAAGAGGGTTCTGAGAATGCTTCTGTCTTCTTTTTATAGGAAGTTATTTCCTTTACTACGGTACTCCTCAAGAGTGCAATTATCCCCTTGCAGTTTCTACAAAAAGAGTTTTTAAAACCTGAACTATCAAAGAAAGGTTCCACACTTTGAGTTGAATGCAGACATCACGAAGAAGGTTCTGAGAATGCTTCTGTTTAGTCAGCTGAAATTATCCCGTTTCCAACGAATTCCTCAGAGAGGTCCAAATATGCACTTGCAGATTCTGCAGAAAGGGTGTTTCTAAACTGCTACATCGCAAGGAGTGTTCAGCTCTGTTTGCTCAACTCAATCATCCCAAAGAATTTTCTGAGAAAGCTTCTGTTTAGTCAGCTGAAATTATCCCGTTTCCAACGAATTCCTCAGAGAGGTCCAAATATGCACTTGCAGATTCTGCAGAAAGTGTGTTTCTAAACTGCTACATCGCAAGGAATGTTCAGCTCTGTGAGTTCCACTCAATCATCCCAAAGAATTTTCTGAGAAAGCTTCTGTCTAGATGTCGTGTGAAGATATACCCGTTTCGAACGAAGGACACAGAGTGGTCCAAATATCCACTTGTAGATCCTGCAAAAAGAGTGTTTCAAACGTGAACTTTGAAAGGAAAGTTCAACTCTGGGATTTGAATGCAAACATCACAAAGAAGATTCTGAGACTGCTTCTGTATAGTTTTTATGTGAAGATGATTCCGTTTCCAACGAAATCTTCAAAGAGGTCTACATGTCCCCTTGCAGATGCCACAGAAAGAGAGTTTCAAAACTGCGCTCTCAAAAGGAGTGTTCAACTCCGTGAGTTGAATGCAGTCATCACAGAGAAGCTTCTGAGAATGCTTCTATCTAGTATTTAGGTGAAGATATTTCCTTTTCCACCACAAACCACAAAGCCCTCCAAACGTCCACTTGCAGATTCTAGAAAAAGAGTGTTTCATAGCTGCTCTTTCCAAAGGAAAGTTCAACTCTGGGAGTTGAATACAAACATCACCAAAAGGTTCCTGAGAATGCATCTGTCTAGTTTTTCTATGAAGCTATTCCCTTTACTACCATAGGCCTCAAAGCGCTCCAAATCTCCACTTGCACATTCCACAACAAGAGTGTTTCCAAACTGCTCTATCAATAGGAATGTTCAACTCTGTGAGGTGAATGCAATCATCACAAAGCAGTTTCTGAGAATGCTTCCGTTTAGTTAGGTGCAGTTATCCCGTTTCCAACGAAATCCTCAGAGAGGTCCAAATATCCACTTGTAGATTCTACAAAAAGTGTGTCTCAAACCTGCTCCATCCAAAGGAATGGTCAGCTCTGTGATTTAAACTCAATCATCACAAAGTATTTTCTGAGAATGCTTCTGTCTAGATTTTATGCGAAGATATACCAGTTTCGAACGAAGGCCACAGAGTGGTCCAAATAGCCACTTGCAGATCCTACAAAAAGAGTGTTTCAAACCTGAACTATCAAAGGAAGGTTCAACTCTGGGATTTGAATGCAAACATCACCAAGAAGTTTCTGAGAATGCTTCTGTTTAGTTTTTATGTGAAGATATTCCCGTTTCCAAAGACATCTTCGGAGAGGTCCACATATCCACTTGCAGATTCCACAAAAAGAGAGTTTCAACACTGCTCTATCCATAGGAGGGTTCAACTCTGTGAGTTGAATGCAATCATCACAGAGAAGTTTCTGAGAAGGCTTCTCTCCAGTTTTTATGTGACCATAATTCGTTTTCCACCACAGGCCTGAAAGCGCTCCAAATGTCCACTTGCAGACACTACGAAAAGCATGTTTCAGAACTACTCTATGAAAAGCAACGTGAAACTCTGGGAGTTGAACACAAACATCACAGAGAAGTTTCTGAGAATGCTTCTGTTTTAGTTCTGTGCGTTTTATCCCGTTTCCAACGAAATCCTCAGAGAGGCCCAAATATCCACTTGCAGATTCCACAGAAAGAGTGATTGGAAACTGCTGTTTGAAAAGGAACCTTCAACTCTGTGAGTTGAATGCAATCATCACAAAGAAGTTTCTGACAATGCTTCTGTTTTAGTTCTGTGCGGTTTATCCCGTTTCCAACGAAATCCTCAGAGAGGACCAAACATCCACTTGCAGTTTCTACAAAAAGAGTGTTTCAAAGCTGCACTATCAAAGAAAGGTTCAGCACTGTGAGTTGAATGCAAACATCACGAAGAGGGCTCTGAGAATTCTTCTGTTTAGTTCTGTGCGGTTTATCCCGTTTCCAACGAAATCCTCAGAGAGGACCAAATATCCACTTGCAGTTTCTACAAGAAGAGTGTTTCAAAGCTGAACTATCAAAGAAAG
The DNA here is from genome assembly GCF_000001405.40 of Homo sapiens. Lineage (NCBI taxonomy): Eukaryota > Metazoa > Chordata > Mammalia > Primates > Hominidae > Homo > Homo sapiens. The sequence continues at coordinate 24,069,990 of NC_000017.11, read as the reverse complement.
GTTCAGCACTGTGAGTTGAATGCAAACATCACGAAGAGGGTTCTGAGAATGCTTCTGTCTTCTTTCTATAGGAAGTTATTTCCTTTACTACGGTAGGCCTCAAAGAAGTGCAATTATCCCCTTGCAGTTTCTACAAAAAGAGTGTTTCAAACCTGAACTATCAAAGAAAGGTTCCACACTGTGAGTTGAATGCAGACATCACGAAGAAGGTTCTGAGAATGCTTCTGTTTAGTCAGCTGAAATTATCCCGTTTCCAACGAATTCCTCAGAGAGGTCCAAATATGCACTTGCAGATTCTGCAGAAAGTGTGTTTCTAAACTGCTACATCGCAAGGAATGTTCAGCTCTGTGAGTTCCACTCAATCATCCCAAAGAATTTTCTGAGAAAGCTTCTGTCTAGATGTCATGTGAAGATATACCCGTTTCGAACGAAGGACACAGAGTGGTCCAAATATCCACTTGTAGATCCTGCAAAAAGAGTGTTTCAAACGTGAACTTTGAAAGGAAAGTTCAACTCTGGGATTTGAATGCAAACATCACAAAGAAGATTCTGAGACTGCTTCTGTATAGTTTTTATGTGAAGATGATTCCGTTTCCAACGAAATCTTCAAAGAGGTCCACATGTCCCCTTGCGGATGCCACAGAAGGAGAGTTTCAAAACTGCGCTCTCAAAAGGAGTGTTCAACTCCGTGAGTTGAATGCAGTCATCACAGAGAAGCTTCTGAGAATGCTTCTATCTAGTATTTAGGTGAAGATATTTCCTTTTCCACCACAAACCACAAAGCCCTCCAAACGTCCACTTGCAGATTCTAGAAAAAGAGTGTTTCATAGCTGCTCTTTCCAAAGGAAAGTTCAACTCTGGGAGTTGAATACAAACATCACCAAAAAGTTCCTGAGAATGCATCTGTCTAGTTTTTCTATGAAGCTATTCCCTTTACTACCATAGGCCTCAAAGCGCTCCAAATCTCCACTTGCACATTCCACAACAAGAGTGTTTCCAAACTGCTCTATCAATAGGAATGTTCAACTCTGTGAGGTGAATGCAATCATCACAAAGCAGTTTCTGAGAATGCTTCCGTTTAGTTAGGTGCAGTTATCGCGTTTCCAATGAAATCCTCAGAGAGGTCCAAATATCCACTTGTAGATTCTACAAAAAGTGTGTCTCAAACCTGCTCCATCCAAAGGAATGTTCAGCTCTGTGAGTTAAACTCAATCATCACAAAGTATTTTCTGAGAATGCTTCTGTCTAGATTTTATGCGAAGATGTACCCGTTTCGAACGAAGGCCACAGAGTGGTCCAAATATCCACTTGCAGATCCTACAAAAAGAGTGTTTCAAACCTGAACTCTCAAAGGAAGGTTCAACTCTGGGATTTGAATGCAAACATCACCAAGAAGTTTCTGAGAATGCTTCTGTTTAGTTTTTATGTGAAGATATTCCCGTTTCCAAAGACATCTTCGGAGAGGTCCACATATCCGCTTGCAGATTCCACAAAAAGAGAGTTTCAACACTGCTCTATCCATAGGAGGGTTCAACTCTGTGAGTTGAATGCAATCATCACAGAGAAGTTTCTGAGAAGGCTTCTCTCCAGTTTTTATGTGACCATAATTCGTTTTCCACCACAGGCCTGAAAGCGCTCCAAATGTCCACTTGCAGACACTACGAAAAGCATGTTTCAGAACTACTCTATGAGAAGCAATGTGAAACTCTGGGAGTTGAACACAAACATCACAGAGAAGTTTCTGAGAATGCTTCTGTTTAGCTTTTCTGTGAAGATTCTCCCGTTTCCAACGAAATCTTCAAAGAGGTCCAAATATCCACTTGCAGATTCCACAGAAAGAGTGATTGGAAACTGCTCTTTGAAAAGGAACCTTCAACTCTGTGACTTGAATGCAATCATCACAAAGAAGTTTCTGACAATGCTTCTATCTAGCTTTTACGGGAAGATAATTCCTTTTCCACCACAGGCCTCAAAGCCCTCCAAATGTCCACTTGCAGACTCTGGAAAAAGAGTGTTTCAAAGCTTCTCTCTCGATAGGAAAGTTCAACTCTGTGAGTTGAATGCAAGCATCACAAAGAAGTTTCTGAGAATGCTACTGTCTAGCTTTTATATGAAGCTATTTCCTTTACTACCATAGGCCTCAAAGCGGTCCATATCTCCACTTGCAGATTCTACACAAAGAGAGTTTCCAAACTGCTCTGTCAAAGGGAATGTTCAACTCTGTGACTTGAATGCAATCATCACAAAGTAGTTTCTGAGAATGCTTCTGTTTAGTTCTGTGCGGTTTATCCCGTTTCCAACGAAATCCTCAGAGAGGCCCACATATCCACTTGCACCTTCTAGAAATAGTGTGTTTCGAAACTGCTCCATCCAAAGGAATGTTCAGCTCTGTGAGTTAAACTCAGTCGTCACCAAGAGTTTTCTGTGAATGCTTCTGTTTTAATTCTGTGCGGTTTATCCCGTTTCCAATGAAATCCTCAGAGAGGTCCAAATATCTACTTGCAGTTTCTACAGAAAGACCGTTTCAAACCTGAACTATCAAAGAAAGGTTCAACACTGTGAGTTGAATGCAAACATCACGAAGAAGGTTCTGAGAATGCTTCTGTTTAGTTCTGTGCGGTTTATCCCGTTTCCAACGAAATCCTCAGAGAGGACCAAATATCCACTTGCAGTTTCTACAAAAAGAGTGTTTCAAAGCTGAACTATCAAAGAAAGGTTCAGCACCGTGAGTTGAATGCAAACATCACGAAGAGGGTCCTGAGAATGCTTCTGTTTAGTTCTGTGCGGTTTATCCCGTTTCCAACGAAATCCTCAGAGAGGACCAAATATCCACTTGCAGTTTCTACAAGAAGAGTGTTTCAAAGCTGAACTATCAAAGAAAGGTTCAGCACTGTGAGTTGAATGCAAACATCACGAAGAGGGTTCTGAGAATGCTTCTGTCTTCTTTCTATAGGAAGTTATTTCCTTTATTACGGTAGGCCTCAAAGAAGTGCAATTATCCCCTTGCAGTTTCTACAAAAAGAGTGTTTCAAACCTGAACTATCAAAGAAAGGTTCCACACTGTGAGTTGAATGCAGACATCACGAAGGAGGTTCTGAGAATGCTTCTGTTTAGTCAGCTGAAATTATCCCGTTTCCAACGAATTCCTCAGAGAGGTCCAAATATGCACTTGCAGATTCTGCAGAAAGTGTGTTTCTAAACTGCTACATCGCAAGGAATGTTCAGCTCTGTGAGTTCCACTCAATCATCCCAAAGAATTTTCTGAGAAAGCTTCTGTCTAGATGTCGTGTGAAGATATACCCGTTTCGAACGAAGGACACAGAGTGGTCCAAATATCCACTTGTAGATCCTGCAAAAAGAGTGTTTCAAACGTGAACTTTGAAAGGAAAGTTCAACTCTGGGATTTGAATGCAAACATCACAAAGAAGATTCTGAGACTGCTTCTGTATAGTTTTTATGTGAAGATGATTCCGTTTCCAACGAAATCTTCAAAGAGGTCTACATGTCCCCTTGCAGATGCCACAGAAAGAGAGTTTCAAAACTGCGCTCTCAAAAGGAGTGTTCAACTCCGTGAGTTGAATGCAGTCATCACAGAGAAGCTTCTGAGAATGCTTCTATCTAGTATTTAGGTGAAGATATTTCCTTTTCCACCACAAACCACAAAGCCCTCCAAACGTCCACTTGCAGATTCTAGAAAAAGAGTGTTTCATAGCTGCTCTTTCCAAAGGAAAGTTCAACTCTGGGAGTTGAATACAAACATCACCAAAAAGTTCCTGAGAATGCATCTGTCTAGTTTTTCTATGAAGCTATTCCCTTTACTACCATAGGCCTCAAAGCGCTCCAAATCTCCACTTGCACATTCCACAACAAGAGTGTTTCCAAACTGCTCTATCAATAGGAATGTTCAACTCTGTGAGGTGAATGCAATCATCACAAAGCAGTTTCTGAGAATGCTTCCGTTTAGTTAGGTGCAGTTATCCCGTTTCCAACGAAATCCTCAGAGAGGTCCAAATATCCACTTGTAGATTCTACAAAAAGTGTGTCTCAAACCTGCTCCATCCAAAGGAATGTTCAGCTCTGTGATTTAAACTCAATCATCACAAAGTATTTTCTGAGAATGCTTCTGTCTAGATTTTATGCGAAGATATACCCGTTTCGAACGAAGGCCACAGAGTGGTCCAAATAGCCACTTGCAGATCCTACAAAAAGAGTGTTTCAAACCTGAACTATCAAAGGAAGGTTCAACTCTGGGATTTGAATGCAAACATCACCAAGAAGTTTCTGAGAATGCTTCTGTTTAGTTTTTATGTGAAGATATTCCCGTTTCCAAAGACATCTTCGGAGAGGTCCACATATCCACTTGCAGATTCCACAAAAAGAGAGTTTCAACACTGCTCTATCCATAGGAGGGTTCAACTCTGTGAGTTGAATGCAATCATCACAGAGAAGTTTCTGAGAAGGCTTCTCTCCAGTTTTTATGTGACCATAATTCGTTTTCCACCACAGGCCTGAAAGCGCTCCAAATGTCCACTTGTAGACACTACGAAAAGCATGTTTCAGAACTACTCTATGAAAAGCAATGTGAAACTCTGGGAGTTGAACACAAACATCACAGAGAAGTTTCTGAGAATGCTTCTGTTTAGCTTTCCTGTGAAGATTCTCCCGTTTCCAACGAAATCTTCAAAATAGGTCCAAATATCCACTTGCAGATTCCACAGAAAGAGTGATTGGAAACTGCTCTTTGAAAAGGAACCTTCAACTCTGTGAGTTGAATGCAATCATCACAAAGAAGTTTCTGACAATGCTTCTATCTAGCTTTTACGGGAAGATAATTCCTTTTCCACCACAGGCCTCAAAGCCCTCCAAATGTCCACTTGCAGATTCTGGAAAAAGAGTGTTTCAAAGCTTCTCTCTCGAAAGGAAAGTTCAACTCTGTGAGTTGAATGCAAGCATCACAAAGAAGTTTCTGAGAATGCTACTGTCTAGCTTTTATATGAAGCTATTTCCTTTACTACCATAGGCCTCAAAGCGGTCCATATCTCCACTTGCAGATTCTACACAAAGAGAGTTTCCAAACTGCTCTGTCAAAGGGAATGTTCAACTCTGTGACTTGAATGCAATCATCACAAAGTAGTTTCTGAGAATGCTTCTGTTTAGTTCTGTGCGGTTTATCCCGTTTCCAACGAAATCCTCAGAGAGGCCTAAATATCCACTTGCACATTCTACAAATAGTGTGTTTCGAAACTGCTCCATCCAAAGGAATGTTCAGCTCTGTGAGTTAAACTCAGTCGTCACCAAGAGTTTTCTGTGAATGCTTCTGTTTTAGTTCTGTGCGGGTTATCCCGTTTCCAACGAAATCCTCAGAGAGGTCCAAATATCTACTTGCAGTTTCTACAGAAAGACCGTTTCAAACCTGAACTATCAAAGAAAGGTTCAACACTGTGAGTTGAATGCAAACATCACGAAGAAGGTTCTGAGAATGCTTCTGTTTAGTTCTGTGCAGTTTATCCCGTTTCCAACGAATTCCTCAGAGAGGACCAAATATCCACTTGCAGTTTCTACAAAAAGAGTGTTTCAAAGCTGAACTATCAAAGAAAGGTTCAGCACTGTGAGTTGAATGCAAACATCACGAAGAGGGTTCTGAGAATGCTTCTGTCTTCTTTTTATAGGAAGTTATTTCCTTTACTACGGTACTCCTCAAAGAGTGCAATTATCCCCTTGCAGTTTCTACAAAAAGAGTGTTTCAAACCTGAACTATCAAAGAAAGGTTCCACACTGTGAGTTGAATGCAGACATCACGAAGAAGGTTCTGAGAATGCTTCTGTTTAGTCAGCTGAAATTATCCCGTTTCCAACGAATTCCTCAGAGAGGTCCAAATATGCACTTGCAGATTCTGCAGAAAGTGTGTTTCTAAACTGCTCCATCACAAGGAATGTTCAGCTCTGTGAGTTCCACTCAATCATCCCAAAGAATTTTCTGAGAAAGCTTCTGTCTAGATGTCGTGTGAAGTTATACCCGTTTCGAACGAAGGACACAGAGTGGTCCAAATATCCACTTGTAGATCCTGCAAAAAGAGTGTTTCAAACGTGAACTTTGAAAGGAAAGTTCAACTCTGGGATTTGAATGCAAACATCACAAAGAAGATTCTGAGACTGCTTCTGTATAGTTTTTATGTGAAGATGATTCCGTTTCCAACGAAATCTTCAAAGAGGTCTACATGTCCCCTTGCAGATGCCACAGAAAGAGAGTTTCAAAACTGCGCTCTCAAAAGGAGTGTTCAACTCCGTGAGTTGAATGCAGTCATCACAGAGGAGCTTCTGAGAATGCTTCTATCTAGTATTTAGGTGAAGATATTTCCTTTTCCACCACAAACCACAAAGCCCTACAAACGTCCACTTGCAGATTCTAGAAAAAGAGTGTTTCATAGCTGCTCTTTCCAAAGGAAAGTTCAACTCTGGGAGTTGAATACAAACATCACCAAAAAGTTCCTGAGAATGCATCTGTGCTAGTTTTTCTATGAAGCTATTCCCTTTACTACCATAGGCCTCAAAGCGCTCCAAATCTCCACTTGCACATTCCACAACAAGAGTGTTTCCAAACTGCTCTATCAATAGGAATGTTCAACTCTGTGAGGTGAATGCAATCATCACAAAGCAGTTTCTGAGAATGCTTCCGTTTAGTTAGGTGCAGTTATCCCGTTTCCAACGAAATCCTCAGAGAGGTCCAAATATCCACTTGTAGATTCTACAAAAAGTGTGTCTCAAACCTGCTCCATCCAAAGGAATGGTCAGCTCTGTGATTTAAACTCAATCATCACAAAGTATTTTCTGAGAATGCTTCTGTCTAGATTTTATGCGAAGATATACCCGTTTCGAACGAAGGCCACAGAGTGGTCCAAATAGCCACTTGCAGATCCTACAGAAAGAGTGTTTCAAACCTGAACTATCAAAGGAAGGTTCAACTCTGGGATTTGAATGCAAACATCACCAAGAAGTTTCTGAGAATGCTTCTGTTTAGTTTTTATGTGAAGATATTCCCGTTTCCAAAGACATCTTCGGAGAGGTCCACATATCCACTTGCAGATTCCACAAAAAGAGAGTTTCAACACTGCTCTATCCATAGGAGGGTTCAACTCTGTGAGTTGAATGCAATCATCACAGAGAAGTTTCTGAGAAGGCTTCTCTCCAGTTTTTATGTGACCATAATTCGTTTTCCACCACAGGCCTGAAAGCGCTCCAAATGTCCACTTGCAGACACTACGAAAAGCATGTTTCAGAACTACTCTATGAAAAGCAACGTGAAACTCTGGGAGTTGAACACAAACATCACAGAGAAGTTTCTGAGAATGCTTCTGTTTTAGTTCTGTGGGTTTTATCCCGTTTCCAACGAAATCCTCAGAGAGGCCCAAATATCCACTTGCAGATTCCACAGAAAGAGTGATTGGAAACTGCTGTTTGAAAAGGAACCTTCAACTCTGTGAGTTGAATGCAATCATCACAAAGAAGTTTCTGACAATGCTTCTGTTTTAGTTCTGTGCGGTTTATCCCGTTTCCAACGAAATCCTCAGAGAGGACCAAATATCCACTTGCAGTTTCTACAAAAGGAGTGTTTCAAAGCTGCACTATCAAAGAAAGGTTCAGCACTGTGAGTTGAATGCAAACATCACGAAGAGGGCTCTGAGAATTCTTCTGTTTAGTTCTGTGCGGTTTATCCCGTTTCCAACGAAATCCTCAGAGAGGACCAAATATCCACTTGCAGTTTCTACAAGAAGAGTGTTTCAAAGCTGAACTATCAAAGAAAGGTTCAGCACTGTGAGTTGAATGCAAAGATCACGAAGAGGGTTCTGAGAATGCTTCTGTCTTCTTTCTATAGGAAGTTATTTCCTTTACTACGGTAGGCCTCAAAGAAGTGCAATTATCCCCTTGCAGTTTCTACAAAAAGAGTGTTTCAAACCTGAACTATCAAAGAAAGGTTCCACACTGTGAGTTGAATGCAGACATCACGAAGAAGGTTCTGAGAATGCTTCTGTTTAGTCAGCTGAAATTATCCCGTTTCCAACGAATTCCTCAGAGAGGTCCAAATATGCACTTGCAGATTCTGCAGAAAGTGTGTTTCTAAACTGCTACATCGCAAGGAATGTTCAGCTCTGTGAGTTCCACTCAATCATTCCAAAGAATTTTCTGAGAAAGCTTCTGTCTAGATGTCGTGTGAAGATATACCCGTTTCGAACGAAGGACACAGAGTGGTCCAAATATCCACTTGTAGATCCTGCAAAAAGAGTGTTTCAAACGTGAACTTTGAAAGGAAAGTTCAACTCTGGGATTTGAATGCAAACATCACAAAGAAGATTCTGAGACTGCTTCTGTATAGTTTTTATGTGAAGATGATTCCGTTTCCAACGAAATCTTCAAAGAGGTCTACATGTCCCCTTGCAGATGCCACAGAAAGAGAGTTTCAAAACTGCGCTCTCAAAAGGAGTGTTCAACTCCGTGAGTTGAATGCAGTCATCACAGAGAAGCTTCTGAGAATGCTTCTATCTAGTATTTAGGTGAAGATATTTCCTTTTCCACCACAAACCACAAAGCCCTCCAAACGTCCACTTGCAGATTCTAGAAAAAGAGTGTTTCATAGCTGCTCTTTCCAAAGGAAAGTTCAACTCTGGGAGTTGAATACAAACATCACCAAAAAGTTCCTGAGAATGCATCTGTCTAGTTTTTCTATGAAGCTATTCCCTTTACTACCACAGGCCTCAAAGCGCTCCAAATCTCCACTTGCACATTCCACAACAAGAGTGTTTCCAAACTGCTCTATCAATAGGAATGTTCAACTCTGTGAGGTGAATGCAATCATCACAAAGCAGTTTCTGAGAATGCTTCCGTTTAGTTAGGTGCAGTTATCCCGTTTCCAACGAAATCCTCAGAGAGGTCCAAATATCCACTTGTAGATTCTACAAAAAGTGTGTCTCAAACCTGCTCCATCCAAAGGAATGGTCAGCTCTGTGATTTAAACTCAATCATCACAAAGTATTTTCTGAGAATGCTTCTGTCTAGATTTTATGCGAAGATATACCCGTTTCGAACGAAGGCCACAGAGTGGTCCAAATAGCCACTTGCAGATCCTACAGAAAGAGTGTTTCAAACCTGAACTATCAAAGGAAGGTTCAACTCTGGGATTTGAATGCAAACATCACCAAGAAGTTTCTGAGAATGCTTCTGTTTAGTTTTTATGTGAAGATATTCCTGTTTCCAAAGACATCTTCGGAGAGGTCCACATATCCACTTGCAGATTCCACAAAAAGAGAGTTTCAACACTGCTCTATCCATAGGAGGGTTCAACTCTGTGAGTTGAATGCAATCATCACAGAGAAGTTTCTGAGAAGGCTTCTCTCCAGTTTTTATGTGACCATAATTCGTTTTCCACCACAGGCCTGAAAGCGCTCCAAATGTCCACTTGCAGACACTACGAAAAGCATGTTTCAGAACTACTCTATGAAAAGCAACGTGAAACTCTGGGAGTTGAACACAAACATCACAGAGAAGTTTCTGAGAATGCTTCTGTTTTAGTTCTGTGCGTTTTATCCCGTTTCCAACGAAATCCTCAGAGAGGCCCAAATATCCACTTGCAGATTCCACAGAAAGAGTGATTGGAAACTGCTGTTTGAAAAGGAACCTTCAACTCTGTGAGTTGAATGCAATCATCACAGAGAAGTTTCTGAGAAGGCTTCTGTTTAGTTCTGTGCGGTTTATCCCGTTTCCAACGAAATCCTCAGAGAGGACCAAATATCCACTTGCAGTTTCTACAAGAAGAGTGTTTCAAAGCTGAACTATCAAAGAAAGGTTCAGCACTGTGAGTTGAATGCAAACATCACGAAGAGGGTTCTGAGAATTCTTCTGTCTTCTTTCTATAGGAAGTTATTTCCTTTACTACGGTAGGCCTCAAAGAAGTGCAATTATCCCCTTGCAGTTTCTACAAAAAGAGTGTTTCAAACCTGAACTATCAAAGAAAGGTTCCACACTGTGAGTTGAATGCAGACATCACGAAGAAGGTTCTGAGAATGCTTCTGTTTAGTCAGCTGAAATTATCCCGTTTCCAACGAATTCCTCAGAGAGGTCCAAATATGCACTTGCAGATTCTGCAGAAAGTGTGTTTCTAAACTGCTCCATCGCAAGGAATGTTCAGCTCTGTGAGTTCCACTCAATCATCCCAAAGAATTTTCTGAGAAAGCTTCTGTCTAGATGTCGTGTGAAGATATACCCGTTTCGAACGAAGGACACAGAGTGGTCCAAATATCCACTTGTAGATCCTGCAAAAAGAGTGTTTCAAACGTGAACTTTGAAAGGAAAGTTCAACTCTGGGATTTGAATGCAAACATCACAAAGAAGATTCTGAGACTGCTTCTGTATAGTTTTTATGTGAAGATGATTCCGTTTCCAACGAAATCTTCAAAGAGGTCTACATGTCCCCTTGCAGATGCCACAGAAAGAGAGTTTCAAAACTGCGCTCTCAAAAGGAGTGTTCAACTCCGTGAGTTGAATGCAGTCATCACAGAGAAGCTTCTGAGAATGCTTCTATCTAGTATTTAGGTGAAGATATTTCCTTTTCCACCACAAACCACAAAGCCCTCCAAACGTCCACTTGCAGATTCTAGAAAAAGAGTGTTTCATAGCTGCTCTTTCCAAAGGAAAGTTCAACTCTGGGAGTTGAATACAAACATCACCAAAAAGTTCCTGAGAATGCATCTGTCTAGTTTTTCTATGAAGCTATTCCCTTTACTACCATAGGCCTCAAAGCGCTCCAAATCTCCACTTGCACATTCCACAACAAGAGTGTTTCCAAACTGCTCTATCAATAGGAATGTTCAACTCTGTGAGGTGAATGCAATCATCACAAAGCAGTTTCTGAGAATGCTTCCGTTTAGTTAGGTGCAGTTATCCCGTTTCCAACGAAATCCTCAGAGAGGTCCAAATATCCACTTGTAGATTCTACAAAAAGTGTGTCTCAAACCTGCTCCATCCAAAGGAATGGTCAGCTCTGTGATTTAAACTCAATCATCACAAAGTATTTTCTGAGAATGCTTCTGTCTAGATTTTATGCGAAGATATACCCGTTTCGAACGAAGGCCACAGAGTGGTCCAAATAGCCACTTGCAGATCCTACAGAAAGAGTGTTTCAAACCTGAACTATCAAAGGAAGGTTCAACTCTGGGATTTGAATGCAAACATCACCAAGAAGTTTCTGAGAATGCTTCTGTTTAGTTTTTATGTGAAGATATTCCCGTTTCCAAAGACATCTTCGGAGAGGTCCACATATCCACTTGCAGATTCCACAAAAAGAGAGTTTCAACACTGCTCTATCCATAGGAGGGTTCAACTCTGTGAGTTGAATGCAATCATCACAGAGAAGTTTCTGAGAAGGCTTCTCTCCAGTTTTTATGTGACCATAATTCGTTTTCCACCACAGGCCTGAAAGCGCTCCAAATGTCCACTTGCAGACACTACGAAAAGCATGTTTCAGAACTACTCTATGAAAAGCAACGTGAAACTCTGGGAGTTGAACACAAACATCACAGAGAAGTTTCTGAGAATGCTTCTGTTTTAGTTCTGTGCGTTTTATCCCGTTTCCAACGAAATCCTCAGAGAGGCCCAAATATCCACTTGCAGATTCCACAGAAAGAGTGATTGGAAACTGCTGTTTGAAAAGGAACCTTCAACTCTGTGAGTTGAATGCAATCATCACAAAGAAGTTTCTGACAATGCTTCTGTTTTAGTTCTGTGCGGTTTATCCCGTTTCCAACGAAATCCTCAGAGAGGACCAAACATCCACTTGCAGTTTCTACAAAAAGAGTGTTTCAAAGCTGCACTATCAAAGAAAGGTTCAGCACTGTGAGTTGAATGCAAACATCACGAAGAGGGCTCTGAGAATTCTTCTGTTTAGTTCTGTGCGGTTTATCCCGTTTCCAACGAAATCCTCAGAGAGGACCAAATATCCACTTGCAGTTTCTACAAGAAGAGTGTTTCAAAGCTGAACTATCAAAGAAAGGTTCAGCACTGTGAGTTGAATGCAAACATCACGAAGAGGGTTCTGAGAATGCTTCTGTCTTCTTTCTATAGGAAGTTATTTCCTTTACTACGGTAGGCCTCAAAGAAGTGCAATTATCCCCTTGCAGTTTCTACAAAAAGAGTGTTTCAAACCTGAACTATCAAAGAAAGGTTCCACACTGTGAGTTGAATGCAGACATCACGAAGAAGGTTCTGAGAATGCTTCTGTTTAGTCAGCTGAAATTATCCCGTTTCCAACGAATTCCTCAGAGAGGTCCAAATATGCACTTGCAGATTCTGCAGAAAGTGTGTTTCTAAACTGCTACATCGCAAGGAATGTTCAGCTCTGTGAGTTCCACTCAATCATCCCAAAGAATTTTCTGAGAAAGCTTCTGTCTAGATGTCGTGTGAAGATATACCCGTTTCGAACGAAGGACACAGAGTGGTCCAAATATCCACTTGTAGATCCTGCAAAAAGAGTGTTTCAAACGTGAACTTTGAAAGGAAAGTTCAACTCTGGGATTTGAATGCAAACATCACAAAGAAGATTCTGAGACTGCTTCTGTATAGTTTTTATGTGAAGATGATTCCGTTTCCAACGAAATCTTCAAAGAGGTCTACATGTCCCCTTGCAGATGCCACAGAAAGAGAGTTTCAAAACTGCGCTCTCAAAAGGAGTGTTCAACTCCGTGAGTTGAATGCAGTCATCACAGAGAAGCTTCTGAGAATGCTTCTATCTAGTATTTAGGTGAAGATATTTCCTTTTCCACCACAAACCACAAAGCCCTCCAAACGTCCACTTGCAGATTCTAGAAAAAGAGTGTTTCATAGCTGCTCTTTCCAAAGGAAAGTTCAACTCTGGGAGTTGAATACAAACATCACCAAAAAGTTCCTGAGAATGCATCTGTCTAGTTTTTCTATGAAGCTATTCCCTTTACTACCACAGGCCTCAAAGCGCTCCAAATCTCCACTTGCACATTCCACAACAAGAGTGTTTCCAAACTGCTCTATCAATAGGAATGTTCAACTCTGTGAGGTGAATGCAATCATCACAAAGCAGTTTCTGAGAATGCTTCCGTTTAGTTAGGTGCAGTTATCCCGTTTCCAACGAAATCCTCAGAGAGGTCCAAATATCCACTTGTAGATTCTACAAAAAGTGTGTCTCAAACCTGCTCCATCCAAAGGAATGGTCAGCTCTGTGATTTAAACTCAATCATCACAAAGTATTTTCTGAGAATGCTTCTGTCTAGATTTTATGCGAAGATATACCCGTTTCGAACGAAGGCCACAGAGTGGTCCAAATAGCCACTTGCAGATCCTACAGAAAGAGTGTTTCAAACCTGAACTATCAAAGGAAGGTTCAACTCTGGGATTTGAATGCAAACATCACCAAGAAGATTCTGAGAATGCTTCTGTTTAGTTTTTATGTGAAGATATTCCCGTTTCCAAAGACATCTTCGGAGAGGTCCACATATCCACTTGCAGATTCCACAAAAAGAGAGTTTCAACACTGCTCTATCCATAGGAGGGTTCAACTCTGTGAGTTGAATGCAATCATCACAGGGAAGTTTCTGAGAAGGCTTCTCTCCAGTTTTTATGTGACCATAATTCGTTTTCCACCACAGGCCTGAAAGCGCTCCAAATGTCCACTTGCAGACACTACGAAAAGCATGTTTCAGAACTACTCTATGAAAAGCAACGTGAAACTCTGGGAGTTGAACACAAACATCACAGAGAAGTTTCTGAGAATGCTTCTGTTTTAGTTCTGTGCGTTTTATCCCGTTTCCAACGAAATCCTCAGAGAGGCCCAAATATCCACTTGCAGATTCCACAGAAAGAGTGATTGGAAACTGCTGTTTGAAAAGGAACCTTCAACTCTGTGAGTTGAATGCAATCATCACAAAGAAGTTTCTGACAATGCTTCTGTTTTAGTTCTGTGCGGTTTATCCCGTTTCCAACGAAATCCTCAGAGAGGACCAAACATCCACTTGCAGTTTCTACAAAAAGAGTGTTTCAAAGCTGCACTATCAAAGAAAGGTTCAGCACTGTGAGTTGAATGCAAACATCACGAAGAGGGCTCTGAGAATTCTTCTGTTTAGTTCTGTGCGGTTTATCCCGTTTCCAACGAAATCCTCAGAGAGGACCAAATATCCACTTGCAGTTTCTACAAGAAGAGTGTTTCAAAGCTGAACTATCAAAGAAAGGTTCAGCACTGTGAGTTGAATGCAAACATCACGAAGAGGGTTCTGAGAATGCTTCTGTCTTCTTTCTATAGGAAGTTATTTCCTTTACTACGGTAGGCCTCAAAGAAGTGCAATTATCCCCTTGCAGTTTCTACAAAAAGAGTGTTTCAAACCTGAACTATCAAAGAAAGGTTCCACACTGTGAGTTGAATGCAGACATCACGAAGAAGGTTCTGAGAATGCTTCTGTTTAGTCAGCTGAAATTATCCCGTTTCCAACGAATTCCTCAGAGAGGTCCAAATATGCACTTGCAGATTCTGCAGAAAGTGTGTTTCTAAACTGCTCCATCGCAAGGAATGTTCAGCTCTGTGAGTTCCACTCAATCATCCCAAAGAATTTTCTGAGAAAGCTTCTGTCTAGATGTCGTGTGAAGATATACCCGTTTCGAACGAAGGACACAGAGTGGTCCAAATATCCACTTGTAGATCCTGCAAAAAGAGTGTTTCAAACGTGAACTTTGAAAGGAAAGTTCAACTCTGGGATTTGAATGCAAACATCACAAAGAAGATTCTGAGACTGCTTCTGTATAGTTTTTATGTGAAGATGATTCCGTTTCCAACGAAATCTTCAAAGAGGTCTACATGTCCCCTTGCAGATGCCACAGAAAGAGAGTTTCAAAACTGCGCTCTCAAAAGGAGTGTTCAACTCCGTGAGTTGAATGCAGTCATCACAGAGAAGCTTCTGAGAATGCTTCTATCTAGTATTTAGGTGAAGATATTTCCTTTTCCACCACAAACCACAAAGCCCTCCAAACGTCCACTTGCAGATTCTAGAAAAAGAGTGTTTCATAGCTGCTCTTTCCAAAGGAAAGTTCAACTCTGGGAGTTGAATACAAACATCACCAAAAAGTTCCTGAGAATGCATCTGTCTAGTTTTTCTATGAAGCTATTCCCTTTACTACCATAGGCCTCAAAGCGCTCCAAATCTCCACTTGCACATTCCACAACAAGAGTGTTTCCAAACTGCTCTATCAATAGGAATGTTCAACTCTGTGAGGTGAATGCAATCATCACAAAGCAGTTTCTGAGAATGCTTCCGTTTAGTTAGGTGCAGTTATCCCGTTTCCAACGAAATCCTCAGAGAGGTCCAAATATCCACTTGTAGATTCTACAAAAAGTGTGTCTCAAACCTGCTCCATCCAAAGGAATGGTCAGCTCTGTGATTTAAACTCAATCATCACAAAGTATTTTCTGAGAATGCTTCTGTCTAGATTTTATGCGAAGATATACCCGTTTCGAACGAAGGCCACAGAGTGGTCCAAATAGCCACTTGCAGATCCTACAGAAAGAGTGTTTCAAACCTGAACTATCAAAGGAAGGTTCAACTCTGGGATTTGAATGCAAACATCACCAAGAAGTTTCTGAGAATGCTTCTGTTTAGTTTTTATGTGAAGATATTCCCGTTTCCAAAGACATCTTCGGAGAGGTCCACATATCCACTTGCAGATTCCACAAAAAGAGAGTTTCAACACTGCTCTATCCATAGGAGGGTTCAACTCTGTGAGTTGAATGCAATCATCACAGAGAAGTTTCTGAGAAGGCTTCTCTCCAGTTTTTATGTGACCATAATTCGTTTTCCACCACAGGCCTGAAAGCGCTCCAAATGTCCACTTGCAGACACTACGAAAAGCATGTTTCAGAACTACTCTATGAAAAGCAACGTGAAACTCTGGGAGTTGAACACAAACATCACAGAGAAGTTTCTGAGAATGCTTCTGTTTTAGTTCTGTGCGTTTTATCCCGTTTCCAACGAAATCCTCAGAGAGGCCCAAATATCCACTTGCAGATTCCACAGAAAGAGTGATTGGAAACTGCTGTTTGAAAAGGAACCTTCAACTCTGTGAGTTGAATGCAATCATCACAAAGAAGTTTCTGACAATGCTTCTGTTTTAGTTCTGTGCGGTTTATCCCGTTTCCAACGAAATCCTCAGAGAGGACCAAACATCCACTTGCAGTTTCTACAAAAAGAGTGTTTCAAAGCTGCACTATCAAAGAAAGGTTCAGCACTGTGAGTTGAATGCAAACATCACGAAGAGGGCTCTGAGAATTCTTCTGTTTAGTTCTGTGCGGTTTATCCCGTTTCCAACGAAATCCTCAGAGAGGACCAAATATCCACTTGCAGTTTCTACAAGAAGAGTGTTTCAAAGCTGAACTATCAAAGAAAGGTTCAGCACTGTGAGTTGAATGCAAACATCACGAAGAGGGTTCTGAGAATGCTTCTGTCTTCTTTCTATAGGAAGTTATTTCCTTTACTACGGTAGGCCTCAAAGAAGTGCAATTATCCCCTTGCAGTTTCTACAAAAAGAGTGTTTCAAACCTGAACTATCAAAGAAAGGTTCCACACTGTGAGTTGAATGCAGACACCACGAAGAAGGTTCTGAGAATGCTTCTGTTTAGTCAGCTGAAATTATCCCGTTTCCAACGAATTCCTCAGAGAGGTCCAAATATGCACTTGCAGATTCTGCAGAAAGTGTGTTTCTAAACTGCTACATCGCAAGGAATGTTCAGCTCTGTGAGTTCCACTCAATCATCCCAAAGAATTTTCTGAGAAAGCTTCTGTCTAGATGTCATGTGAAGATATGCCCGTTTCGAAGGAAGGACACAGAGTGGTCCAAATATCCACTTGTAGATCCTGCAAAAAGAGTGTTTCAAACGTGAACTTTGAAAGGAATGTTCATCTCTGGGATTTGAATGCAAACATCACAAAGAAGATTCTGAGACTGCTTCTGTATAGTTTTTATGTGAAGATGATTCCGTTTCCAACGAAATCTTCAAAGAGGTCTACATGTCCCCTTGCAGATGCCACAGAAAGAGAGTTTCAAAACTGCGCTCTCAAAAGGAGTGTTCAACTCCGTGAGTTGAATGCAGTCATCACAGAGAAGCTTCTGAGAATGCTTCTATCTAGTATTTAGGTGAAGATATTTCCTTTTCCACCACAAACCACAAAGCCCTCCAAACGTCCACTTGCAGATTCTAGAAAAAGAGTGTTTCATAGCTGCTCTTTCCAAAGGAAAGTTCAACTCTGGGAGTTGAATACAAACATCACCAAAAAGTTCCTGAGAATGCATCTGTCTAGTTTTTCTATGAAGCTCTTCCCTTTACTACCATAGGCCTCAAAGCGCTCCAAATCTCCACTTGAACATTCCACAACAAGAGTGTTTCCAAACTGCTCTATCAATAGGAATGTTCAACTCTGTGAGGTGAATGCAATCATCACAAAGCAGTTTCTGAGAATGCTTCCGTTTAGTTAGGTGCAGTTATCCCGTTTCCAACGAAATCCTCAGAGAGGTCCAAATATCCACTTGTAGATTCTACAAAAAGTGTGTCTCAAACCTGCTCCATCCAAAGGAATGTTCAGCTCTGTGAGTTCAACTCAATCATCACAAAGTATTTTCTGAGAATGCTTCTGTCTAGATTTTATGCGAAGATATAGCCGTTTCGAACGAAGGCCACAGAGTGGTCCAAATATCCACTTGCAGATCCTACAAAAAGAGTGTTTCAAACCTGAACTATCAAAGGAAGGTTCAACTTCTGGGATTTGAATGCAAACATCACCAAGAAGTTTCTGAGAATGCTTCTGTTTAGTTTTTATGTGAAGATATTCCCGTTTCCAAAGACATCTTCGGAGAGGTCCACATATCCACTTGCAGATTCCACAAAAAGAGAGTTTCAACACTGCTCTATCCATAGGAGGGTTCAACTCTGTGAGTTGAATGCAATCATCACAGAGAAGTTTCTGAGAAGGCTTCTCTCCAGTTTTTATGTGACCATAATTCGTTTTCCACCACAGGCCTGAAAGCGCTCCAAATGTCCACTTGCAGACACTACGAAAAGCATGTTTCAGAACTACTCTATGAAAAGCAACGTGAAACTCTGGGAGTTGAACACAAACATCACAGAGAAGTTCTGAGAATGCTTCTGTTTAGCTTTTCTGTGAAGATTATCCCGTTTCCAACAAAATCTTCAAAATAGGTCCAAATATCCACTTGCAGATTCCACAGAAAGAGTGATTGGAAACTGCTGTTTGAAAAGGAACCTTCAACTCTGTGAATTGAATGCAATCATCACAAAGAAGTTTCTGACAATGCTTCCATCTAGCTTTTACGGGAAGATAATTCCTTTTCCACCACAGGCCTCAAAGCCCTCCAAATGTCCACTTGCAGATTCTGGAAAAAGAGTGTTTCAAAGCTTCTCTCTCGAAAGGAAAGTTCAACTCTGTGAGTTGAATGCAAGCATCACAAAGAAGTTTCTGAGAATGCTACTGTCTAGCTTTTATATGAAGCTATTTCCTTTACTACCATAGGCCTCAAAGCGGTCCATATCTCCACTTGCAGATTCTACACAAAGAGAGTTTCCAAACTGCTCTGTCAAAGGGAATGTTCAATTCTGTGACTTGAATGCAATCATCACAAAGTAGTTTCTGAGAATGCTTCTGTTTAGTTCTGTGCGGTTTATCCCGTTTCCAACGAAATCCTCAGAGAGGCCCAAATATCCACTTGCACATTCTACAAATAGTGTGTTTCGAAACTGCTCCATCCAAAGGAATGTTCAGCTCTGTGAGTTAAACTCAGTCGTCACCAAGAGTTTTCTGTGAATGCTTCTGTTTTAGTTCTGTGCGGGTTATCCCGTTTCCAACGAAATCCTCAGAGAGGTCCAAATATCTACTTGCAGTTTCTACAGAAAGACCGTTTCCAACCTGAACTATCAAAGAAAGGTTCAACACTGTGAGTTGAATGCAAACATCACGAAGAAGGTTCTGAGAATGCTTCTGTTTAGTTCTGTGCAGTTTATCCCGTTTCCAACGAAATCCTCAGAGAGGACCAAATATCCACTTGCAGTTTCTACAAAAAGAGTGTTTCAAAGCTGAACTATCAAAGAAAGGTTCAGCACTGTGAGTTGAATGCAAACATCACGAAGAGGGTTCTGAGAATGCTTCTGTCTTCTTTTTAGAGAAAGTTATTTCCTTTACTACGGTACTCCTCAAAGAGTGCAATTATCCCCTTGCAGTTTCTACAAAAAGAGTGTTTCAAACCTGAACTATCAAAGAAAGGTTCCACACTGTGAGTTGAATGCAGACATCACGAAGAAGGTTCTGAGAATGCTTCTGTTTAGTCAGCTGAAATTATCCCGTTTCCAACGAATTCCTCACAGAGGTCCAAATATGCACTTGCAGATTCTGCAGAAAGTGTGTTTCTAAACTGCTACATCGCAAGGAATGCTCAGCTCTGTGAGTTCAACTCAATCATCCCAAAGAATTTTCTGAGAAAGCTTCTGTCTAGATGTCATGTGAAGATATACCCGTTTCGAACGACGGACACAGAGTGGTCCAAATATCCACTTGTAGATCCTGCAAAAAGAGTGTTTCAAACGTGAACTTTGAAAGGAAAGTTCAACTCGGGGATTTGAATGCAAACATCACAAAGAAGATTCTGAGACTGCTTCTGTATAGTTTTTATGTGTTAGATGATTCCGTTTCCAACGAAATCTTCAAAGAGGTCTACATGTCCCCTTGCAGATGCCACAGAAAGAGAGTTTCAAAACTGCGCTCTCAAAAGGAGTGTTCAACTCCGTGAGTTGAATGCAGTCATCACAGAGAAGCTTCTGAGAATGCTTCTATCTAGTATTTAGGTGAAGATATTTCCTTTTCCACCACAAACCACAAAGCCCTCCAAACGTCCACTTGCAGATTCTAGAAAAAGAGTGTTTCATAGCTGCTCTTTCCAAAGGAAAGTTCAACTCTGGGAGTTGAATACAAACATCACCAAAAAGTTACCTGAGAATGCATCTGTCTAGTTTTTCTATGAAGCTATTCCCTTTACTACCACAGGCCTCAAAGCGCTCCAAATCTCCACTTGCACATTCCACAACAAGAGTGTTTCCAAACTGCTCTATCAATAGGAATGTTCAACTCTGTGAGGTGAATGCAATCATCACAAAGCAGTTTCTGAGAATGCTTCCGTTTAGTTAGGTGCAGTTATCCCGTTTCCAACGAAATCCTCAGAGAGGTCCAAATATCCACTTGTAGATTCTACAAAAAGTGTGTCTCAAACCTGCTCCATCCAAAGGAATGGTCAGCTCTGTGATTTAAACTCAATCATCACAAAGTATTTTCTGAGAATGCTTCTGTCTAGATTTTATGCGAAGATATACCCGTTTCGAACGAAGGCCACAGAGTGGTCCAAATAGCCACTTGCAGATCCTACAGAAAGAGTGTTTCAAACCTGAACTATCAAAGGAAGGTTCAACTCTGGGATTTGAATGCAAACATCACCAAGAAGTTTCTGAGAATGCTTCTGTTTAGTTTTTATGTGAAGATATTCCCGTTTCCAAAGACATCTTCGGAGAGGTCCACATATCCACTTGCAGGTTCCACAAAAAGAGAGTTTCAACACTGCTCTATCCATAGGAGGGTTCAACTCTGTGAGTTGAATGCAATCATCACAGAGAAGTTTCTGAGAAGGCTTCTCTCCAGTTTTTATGTGACCATAATTCGTTTTCCACCACAGGCCTGAAAGCGCTCCAAATGTCCACTTGCAGACACTACGAAAAGCATGTTTCAGAACTACTCTATGAAAAGCAACGTGAAACTCTGGGAGTTGAACACAAACATCACAGAGAAGTTTCTGAGAATGCTTCTGTTTTAGTTCTGTGCGTTTTATCCCGTTTCCAACGAAATCCTCAGAGAGGCCCAAATATCCACTTGCAGATTCCACAGAAAGAGTGATTGGAAACTGCTGTTTGAAAAGGAACCTTCAACTCTGTGAGTTGAATGCAATCATCACAAAGAAGTTTCTGACAATGCTTCTATCTAGCTTTTACGGGAAGATAATTCCTTTTCCACCACAGGCCTCAAAGCTCCCAAAATGTCCACTTGCACATTCTGGAAAAAGAGTGTTTCAAAGCTTCTCTCTCGAAAGGAAAGTTCAACTCTGTGAGTTGAATGCAAGCATCACAAAGAAGTTTCTGAGAATGCTACTGTCTAGCTTTTATATGAAGCTATTTCCTTTACTACCATAGGCCTGAAAGCGGTCCATATCTCCACTTGCAGATTCTACAGAAAGAGAGTTTCCAAACTGCTCTGTCAAAGGGAATGTTCAACTCTGTGACTTGAATGCAATCATCACAAAGTAGTTTCTGAGAATGCTTCTGTTTAGTTCTGTGCGGTTTATCCCGTTTCCAACGAAATCCTCAGAGAGGCCCAAATATCCACTTGCACATTCTACAAATAGTGTGTTTCGAAACTGCTCCATCCAAAGGAATGTTCAGCTCTGTGAGTTAAACTCAGTCGTCACCAAGAGTTTTCTGTGAATGCTTCTGTTTTAGTTCTGTGCGGTTTATCCCGTTTCCAACGAAATCCTCAGAGAGGTCCAAATATCTTCTTGCAGTTTCTACAGAAAGACCGTTTCAAACCTGAACTATCAAAGAAAGGTTCAACACTGTGAGTTGAATGCAAACATCACGAAGAAGGTTCTGAGAATGCTTCTGTTTAGTTCTGTGCGGTTTATCCCGTTTCCAACGAAATCCTCAGAGAGGACCAAATATCCACTTGCAGTTTCTACAAGAAGAGTGTTTCAAAGCTGAACTATCAAAGAAAGTTTCAGCACTGTGAGTTGAATGCAAACATCACGAAGAGGGTTCTGAGAATGCTTCTGTCTTCTTTCTATAGGAAGTTATTTCCTTTACTACGGTAGGCCTCAAAGAAGTGCAATTATCCCCTTGCAGTTTCTACAAAAAGAGTGTTTCAAACCTGAACTATCAAAGAAAGGTTCCACACTGTGAGTTGAATGCAGACATCACGAAGAAGGTTCTGAGAATGCTTCTGTTTAGTCAGCTGAAATTATCCCGTTTCCAACGAATTCCTCAGAGAGGTCCAAATATGCACTTGCAGATTCTGCAGAAAGTGTGTTTCTAAACTGCTACATCGCAAGGAATGTTCAGCTCTGTGAGTTCCACTCAATCATCCCAAAGAATTTTCTGAGAAAGCTTCTGTCTAGATGTCATGTGAAGATATACCCGTTTCGAACGAAGGACACAGAGTGGTCCAAATATCCACTTGTAGATCCTGCAAAAAGAGTGTTTCAAACGTGAACTTTGAAAGGAAAGTTCAACTCTGGGATTTGAATGCAAACATCACAAAGAAGATTCTGAGACTGCTTCTGTATAGTTTTTATGTGAAGATGATTCCGTTTCCAACGAAATCTTCAAAGAGGTCTACATGTCCCCTTGCAGATGCCACAGAAAGAGAGTTTCAAAAATGCGTTCTCAAAAGGAGTGCTCAACTCCGTGAGTTGAATGCAGTCATCACAGAGAAGCTTCTGAGA
This sequence comes from Homo sapiens, assembly GCF_000001405.40. Classification (NCBI taxonomy): domain Eukaryota; kingdom Metazoa; phylum Chordata; class Mammalia; order Primates; family Hominidae; genus Homo; species Homo sapiens. The sequence goes on along the minus strand of NC_000017.11, from coordinate 24,047,389 downwards.
ATGCTTCTATCTAGTATTTAGGTGAAGATATTTCCTTTTCCACCACAAACCACAAAGCCCTCCAAACGTCCACTTGCAGATTCTAGAAAAACAGTGTTTCATAGCTGCTCTTTCCAAAGGAAAGTTCAACTCTGGGAGTTGAATACAAACATCACCAAAATGTTCCTGAGAATGCATCTGTCTAGTTTTTCTATGAAGCTATTCCCTTTACTACCATAGGCCTCAAAGCGCTCCAAATCTCCACTTGCACATTCCACAACAAGAGTGTTTCCAAACTGCTCTATCAATAGGAATGTTCAACTCTGTGAGGTGAATGCAATCATCACAAAGCAGTTTCTGAGAATGCTTCCGTTTAGTTAGGTGCAGTTATCCCGTTTCCAACGAAATCCTCCGAGAGGTCCAAATATCCACTTGTAGATTCTACAAAAAGTGTGTCTCAAACCTGCTCCATCCAAAGGAATGTTCAGCTCTGTGATTTAAACTCAATCATCACAAAGTATTTTCTGAGAATGCTTCTGTCTAGATTTTATGCGAAGATATACCCGTTTCGAAAGAAGGCCACAGAGTGGTCCAAATAGCCACTTGCAGATCCTACAAAAAGAGTGTTTCAAACCTGAACTATCAAAGGAAGGTTCAACTCTGGGATTTGAATGCAAACATCACCAAGAAGTTTCTGAGAATGCTTCCTGTTTAGTTTTTATGTGAAGACATTCCCGTTTCCAAAGACATCTTCGGAGAGGTCCACATATCCACTTGCAGATTCCACAAAAAGAGAGTTTCAACAATGCTCTATCCATAGGAGGGTTCAAATCTGTGAGTTGAATGCAATCATCACAGAGAAGTTTCTGAGAAGGCTTCTCTCCAGTTTTTATGTGACCATAATTCGTTTTCCACCACAGGCCTGAAAGCGCTCCAAATGTCCACTTGCAGAGACTACGAAAAGCATGTTTCAGAACTACTCTATGAAAAGCAACGTGAAACTCTGGGAGTTGAACACAAACATCACAGAGAAGTTTCTGAGAATGCTTCTGTTTAGCTTTTCTGTGAAGATTCTCCCGTTTCCAACGAAATCTTCAAAGAGGTCGAAATATCCACTTGCAGATTCCACAGAAAGAGTGATTGGAAACTGCTGTTTGAAAAGGAACCTTCAACTCTGTGAGTTGAATGCAATCATCTCAAAGAAGTTTCTGACAATGCTTCTATCTAGCTTTTACGGGAAGATAATTCCTTTTCCACCCCAGGCCTCAAAGCTCCCCAAATGTCCACTTGCACATTCTGGAAAAAGAGTGTTTCAAAGCTTCTCTCTCGAAAGGAAAGTTCAACTCTGTGAGTTGAATGCAAGCATCACAAAGAAGTTTCTGAGAATGCTACTGTCTAGCTTTTATATGAAGCTATTTCCTTTACTACCATAGGCCTCAAAGCGGTCCATATCTCCACTTGCAGATTCTACACAAAGAGAGTTTCCAAACTGCTCTGTCAAAGGGAATGTTCAACTCTGTGACTTGAATGCAATCATCACAAAGTAGTTTCTGAGAATGCTTCTGTTTTAGTTCTGTGCGTTTTATCCCGTTTCCAACGAAATCCTCAGAGAGGCCCAAATATCCACTTGCAGATTCTACAAATAGTGTGTTTCGAAACTGCTCCATCCAAAGGAATGTTCAGCTCTGTGAGTTAAACTCAGTCGTCACCAAGAGTTTTCTGTGAATGCTTCTGTTTTAGTTCTGTGCGGTTTATCCCGTTTCCAACGAAATCCTCAGAGAGGACCAAATATCCACTTGCAGTTTCTACAAAAAGAGTGTTTCAAAGCTGCACTATCAAAGAAAGGTTCAGCACTGTGAGTTGAATGCAAACATCACGAAGAGGGCTCTGAGAATTCTTCTGTTTAGTTCTGTGCGGTTTATCCCGTTTCCAACGAAATCCTCAGAGAGGACCAAATATCCACTTGCAGTTTCTATAAGAAGAGTGTTTCAAAGCTGAACTATCAAAGAAAGGTTCAGCACTGTGAGTTGAATGCAAACATCACGAAGAGGGTTCTGAGAATGCTTCTGTCTTCTTTCTATAGGAAGTTATTTCCTTTACTACGGTAGGCCTCAAAGAAGTGCAATTATCCCCTTGCAGTTTCTACAAAAAGAGTGTTTCAAACCTGAACTATCAAAGAAAGGTTCCACACTGTGAGTTGAATGCAGACATCACGAAGAAGGTTCTGAGAATGCTTCTGTTTAGTCAGCTGAAATTATCCCGTTTCCAACGAATTCCTCAGAGAGGTCCAAATATGCACTTGCAGATTCTGCAGAAAGTGTGTTTCTAAACTGCTACATCGCAAGGAATGTTCAGCTCTGTGAGTTCCACTCAATCATCCCAAAGAATTTTCTGAGAAAGCTTCTGTCTAGATGTCGTGTGAAGATATACCCGTTTCGAACGAAGGACACAGAGTGGTCCAAATATCCACTTGTAGATCCTGCAAAAAGAGTGTTTCAAACGTGAACTTTGAAAGGAAAGTTCAACTCTGGGATTTGAATGCAAACATCACAAAGAAGATTCTGAGACTGCTTCTGTATAGTTTTTATGTGAAGATGATTCCGTTTCCAACGAAATCTTCAAAGAGGTCTACATGTCCCCTTGCAGATGCCACAGAAAGAGAGTTTCAAAACTGCGCTCTCAAAAGGAGTGTTCAACTCCGTGAGTTGAATGCAGTCATCACAGAGAAGCTTCTGAGAATGCTTCTATCTAGTATTTAGGTGAAGATATTTCCTTTTCCACCACAAACCACAAAGCCCTCCAAACGTCCACTTGCAGATTCTAGAAAAAGAGTGTTTCATAGCTGCTCTTTCCAAAGGAAAGTTCAACTCTGGGAGTTGAATACAAACATCACCAAAAAGTTCCTGAGAATGCATCTGTCTAGTTTTTCTATGAAGCTATTCCCTTTACTACCATAGGCCTCAAAGCGCTCCAAATCTCCACTTGCACATTCCACAACAAGAGTGTTTCCAAACTGCTCTATCAATAGGAATGTTCAACTCTGTGAGGTGAATGCAATCATCACAAAGCAGTTTCTGAGAATGCTTCCGTTTAGTTAGGTGCAGTTATCCCGTTTCCAACGAAATCCTCAGAGAGGTCCAAATATCCACTTGTAGATTCTACAAAAAGTGTGTCTCAAACCTGCTCCATCCAAAGGAATGTTCAGCTCTGTGATTTTAACTCAATCATCACAAAGTATTTTCTGAGAATGCTTCTGTCTAGATTTTATGCGAAGATGTACCCGTTTCGAACGAAGGCCACAGAGTGGTCCAAATATCCACTTGCAGATCCTACAAAAAGAGTGTTTCAAACCTGAACTATCAAAGGAAGGTTCAACTCTGGGATTTGAATGCAAACATCACCAAGAAGTTTCTGAGAATGCTTCTGTTTAGTTTTTATGTGAAGATATTCCCGTTTCCAAAGACATCTTCGGAGAGGTCCACATATCCACTTGCAGATTCCACAAAAAGAGAGTTTCAACACTGCTCTATCCATAGGAGGGTTCAACTCTGTGAGTTGAATGCAATCATCACAGAGAAGTTTCTGAGAAGGCTTCTCTCCAGTTTTTATGTGACCATAATTCGTTTTCCACCAAAGGCCTGAAAGCGCTCCAAATGTCCACTTGCAGACACTACGAAAAGCATGTTTCAGAACTACTCTATGAAAAGCAATGTGAAACTCTGGGAGTTGAACACAAACATCACAGAGAAGTTTCTGAGAATGCTTCTGTTTAGCTTTTCTGTGAAGATTCTCCCGTTTCCAACGAAATCTTCAAAGAGGTCGAAATATCCACTTGCAGATTCCACAGAAAGAGTGATTGGAAACTGCTGTTTGAAAAGGAACCTTCAACTCCTGTGAGTTGAATGCAATCATCACAAAGAAGTTTCTGACAATGCTTCTATCTAGCTTTTACAGGAAGATAATTCCTTTTCCACCACAGGCCTCAAAGCCCTCCAAATGTCCACTTGCAGATTCTGGAAAAAGAGTATTTCAAAGCTTCTCTCTCGAAAGGATAGTTCAACTCTGTGAGTTGAATGCAAGCATCACAAAGAAGTTTCTGAGAATGCTACTGTCTAGCTTTTATATGAAGCTATTTCCTTTACTACCATAGGCCTCAAAGCGGTCCATATCTCCACTTGCAGATTCTACACAAAGAGAGTTTCCAAACTGCTCTGTCAAAGGGAATGTTCAACTCTGTGACTTGAATGCAATCATCACAAAGTAGTTTCTGAGAATGCTTCTGTTTTAGTTCTGTGCGGTTTATCCCGTTTCCAACGAAATCCTCAGAGAGGCCCACATATCCACTTGCAGATTCTACAAATAGTGTGTTTTGAAACTGCTCCATCCAAAGGAATGTTCAGCTCTGTGAGTTAAACTCAGTCGTCACCAAGAGTTTTCTGTGAATGCTTCTGTTTAGTTCTGGGCGTTTTATCCCTTTTCCAACGAAATCCTCAGAGAGGACCAAATATCCATTTGCAGTTTCTACAAAAAGAGTGTTTCAAAGCTGAACTATCAAAGAAAGGTTCAGCACTGTGAGTTGAATGCAAACATCACGAAGAGGGTTCTGAGAATGCTTCTGTCTTCTTTTTATAGGAAGTTATTTCCTTTACTACGGTACTCCTCAAAGAGTGCAATTATCCCCTTGCAGTTTCTACAAAAAGAGTGTTTCAAACCTGAACTATCAAAGAAAGGTTCCACACTGTGAGTTGAATGCAGACATCACGAAGAAGGTTCTGAGAATGCTTCTGTTTAGTCAGCTGAAATTATCCCGTTTCCAACGAATTCCTCAGAGAGGTCCACATATGCACTTGCAGATTCTGCAGAAAGTGTGTTTCTAAACTGCTACATCGCAAGGAATGCTCAGCTCTGTGAGTTCAAATCAATCATCCCAAACAATTTTCTGAGAAAGCTTCTGTCTAGATGTCATGTGAAGATATACCCGTTTCGAACGAAGGACACAGAGTGGTCCAAATATCCACTTGTAGATCCTGCAAAAAGAGTGTTTCAAACGTGAACTTTGAAAGGAAAGTTCAACTCTGGGATTTGAATGCAAACATCACAAAGAAGATTCTGAGACTGCTTCTGTATAGTTTTTATGTGAAGATGATTCCGTTTCCAACGAAATCTTCAAAGAGGTCTACATGTCCCTTTGCAGATGCCACAGAAAGAGAGTTTCAAAACTGCGCTCTCAAAAGGAGTGTTCAACTCCGTGAGTTGATTGCAGTCATCACAGAGAAGCTTCTGAGAATGCTTCTATCTAGTATTTAGGTGAAGATATTTCCTTTTCCACCACAAACCACAAAGCCCTCCAAACGTCCACTTGCAGATTCTAGAAAAAGAGTGTTTCATAGCTGCTCTTTCCAAAGGAAAGTTCAACTCTGGGAGTTGAATACAAACATCACCAAAAAGTTTCTGAGAATGCATCTGTCTAGTTTTTCTATGAAGCTATTCCCTTTACTACCATAGGCCTCAAAGCGCTCCAAATCTCCACTTTCACATTCCACAACAAGAGTGTTTCCAAACTGCTCTATCAATAGGAATCTTCAACTCTGTGAGGTGAATGCAATCATCACAAAGCAGTTTCTGAGAATGCTTCCGTTTAGTTAGGTGCAGTTATCCCGTTTCCAACGAAATCCTCAGAGAGGTCCAAATATCCACTTGTAGATTCTACAAAAAGTGTGTCTCAAACCTGCTCCATCCAAAGGAATGTTCAGCTCTGTGAGTTCAACTCAATCATCACAAAGTATTTTCTGAGAATGCTTCTGTCTAGATTTTATGCGAAGATGTACCCGTTTCGAACGAAGGCCACAGAGTGGTCCAAATATCCACTTGCAGATCCTACAAAAAGAGTGTTGCAAACCTGAACTCTCAAAGGAAGGTTCAACTCTGGGATTTGAATGCAAACATCACCAAGAAGTTTCTGAGAATGCTTCTGTTTAGTTTTTATGTGAAGATATTCCCGTTGCCAAAGACATCTTCGGAGAGGTCCACATATCCGCTTGCAGATTCCACAAAAAGAGAGTTTCAACACTGCTCTATCCATAGGAGGGTTCAACTCTGTGAGTTGAATGCAATCATCACAGAGAAGTTTCTGAGAAGGCTTCTCTCCAGTTTTTATGTGACCATAATTCGTTTTCCACCACAGGCCTGAAAGCGCTCCAAATGTCCACTTGCAGACACTACGAAAAGCATGTTTCAGAACTACTCTATGAGAAGCAATGTGAAACTCTGGGAGTTGAACACAAACATCACAGAGAAGTTTCTGAGAATGCTTCTGTTTAGCTTTTCTGTGAAGATTATCCCGTTTCCAACGATATCTTCAAAGAGGCCCAAATATCCACTTGCAGATTCCACAGAAAGAGTGATTGGAAACTGCTCTTTGAAAAGCAACCTTCAACTCTGTGAGTTGAATGCAATCATCACAAAGAAGTTTCTGACAATGCTTCTATCTAGCTTTTACGGGAAGATAATTCCTTTTCCACCACAGGCCTCAAAGCCCTCCAAATGTCCACTTGCAGATTCTGGAAAAAGAGTGTTTCAAAGCTTCTCTCTCGAAAGGAAAGTTCAACTCTGTGAGTTGAATGCAAGCATCACAAAGAAGTTTCTGAGAATGCTACTGTCTAGCTTTTATATGAAGCTATTTCCTTTACTACCATAGGCCTCAAAGCGGTCCATATCTCCACTTGCAGATTCTACACAAAGAGAGTTTCCAAACTGCTCTGTCAAAGGGAATGTTCAACTCTGTGACTTGAATGCAATCATCACAAAGTAGTTTCTGAGAATGCTTCTGTTTAGTTCTGTGCGGTTTATCCCGTTTCCAACGAAATCCTCAGTAGAGGCCTAAATATCCACTTGCACATTCTACAAATAGTGTGTTTCGAAACTGCTCCATCCAAAGGAATGTTCAGCTCTGTGAGTTAAACTCAGTCGTCACCAAGAGTTTTCTGTGAATGCTTCTGTTTTAGTTCTGTGCGGGTTATCCCGTTTCCAACGAAATCCTCAGAGAGGTCCAAATATCTACTTGCAGTTTCTACAGAAAGACCGTTTCAAACCTGAACTATCAAAGAAAGGTTCAACACTGTGAGTTGAATGCAAACATCACGAAGAAGTTCTGAGAATGCTTCTGTTTAGTTCTGTGCAGTTTATCCCGTTTCCAACGAAATGCTCAGAGAGGACCAAATATCCACTTGCAGTTTCTACAAAAAGAGTGTTTCAAAGCTGAACTATCAAAGAAAGGTTCAGCACTGTGAGTTGAATGCAAACATCACGAAGAGGGTTCTGAGAATGCTTCTGTCTTCTTTTTATAGGAAGTTATTTCCTTTACTACGGTACTCCTCAAAGAGTGCAATGATCCCCTTGCAGTTTCTACAAAAAGAGTGTTTCAAACCTGAACTATCAAAGAAAGGTTCCACACTGTGAGTTGAATGCAGACATCACGAAGAAGGTTCTGAGAATGCTTCTGTTTAGTCAGCTGAAATTATCCCGTTTCCAACGAATTCCTCACAGAGGTCCAAATATGCACTTGCAGATTCTGCAGAAAGTGTGTTTCTAAACTGCTACATCGCAAGGAATGCTCAGCTCTGTGAGTTCAACTCAATCATCCCAAAGAATTTTCTGAGAAAGCTTCTGTCTAGATGTCATGTGAAGATATACCCGTTTCGAACGAAGGACACAGAGTGGTCCAAATATCCACTTGTAGATCCTGCAAAAAGAGTGTTTCAAACGTGAACTTTGAAAGGAAAGTTCAACTCGGGGATTTGAATGCAAACATCACAAAGAAGATTCTGAGACTGCTTCTGTATAGTTTTTATGTGAAGATGATTCCGTTTCCAACGAAATCTTCAAAGAGGTCTACATGTCCCCTTGCAGATGCCACAGAAAGAGAGTTTCAAAACTGCGCTCTCAAAAGGAGTGTTCAACTCCGTGAGTTGAATGCAGTCATCACAGAGAAGCTTCTGAGGATGCTTCTATCTAGTATTTAGGTGAAGATATTTCCTTTTCCACCACAAACCACAAAGCCCTCCAAACTGTCCACTTGCAGATTCTAGAAAAAGAGTGTTTCATAGCTGCTCTTTCCAAAGGAAAGTTCAACTCTGGGAGTTGAATACAAACATCACCAAAAAGTTCCTGAGAATGCATCTGTCTAGTTTTTCTATGAAGCTATTCCCTTTACTACCATAGGCCTCAAAGCGCTCCAAATCTCCACTTGCACATTCCACAACAAGAGTGTTTCCAAACTGCTCTATCAATAGGAATGTTCAACTCTGTGAGGTGAATGCAATCATCACAAAGCAGTTTCTGAGAATGCTTCCGTTTAGTTAGGTGCAGTTATCCCGTTTCCAACGAAATCCTCAGAGAGGTCCAAATATCCACTTGTAGATTCTACAAAAAGTGTGTCTCAAACCTGCTCCATCCAAAGGAATGTTCAGCTCTGTGATTTAAACTCAATCATCACAAAGTATTTTCTGAGAATGCTTCTGTCTAGATTTTATGCGAAGATATACCCGTTTCGAACGAAGGCCACAGAGTGGTCCAAATAGCCACTTGCAGATCCTACAAAAAGAGTGTTTCAAACCTGAACTATCAAAGGAAGGTTCAACTCTGGGATTTGAATGCAAACATCACCAAGAAGTTTCTGAGAATGCTTCTGTTTAGTTTTTATGTGAAGATATTCCCGTTTCCAAAGACATCTTCGGAGAGGTCCACATATCCACTTGCAGATTCCACAAAAAGAGAGTTTCAACACTGCTCTATCCATAGGAGGGTTCAACTCTGTGAGTTGAATGCAATCATCACAGAGAAGTTTCTGAGAAGGCTTCTCTCCAGTTTTTATGTGACCATAATTCGTTTTCCACCACAGGCCTGAAAGCGCTCCAAATGTCCACTTGCAGACACTACGAAAAGCATGTTTCAGAACTACTCTATGAAAAGCAACGTGAAACTCTGGGAGTTGAACACAAACATCACAGAGAAGTTTCTGAGAATGCTTCTGTTTTAGTTCTGTGCGTTTTATCCCGTTTCCAACGAAATCCTCAGAGAGGCCCAAATATCCACTTGCAGATTCCACAGAAAGAGTGATTGGAAACTGCTGTTTGAAAAGGAACCTTCAACTCTGTGAGTTGAATGCAATCATCACAAAGAAGTTTCTGACAATGCTTCTGTTTTAGTTCTGTGCGGTTTATCCCGTTTCCAACGAAATCCTCAGAGAGGACCAAACATCCACTTGCAGTTTCTACAAAAAGAGTGTTTCAAAGCTGCACTATCAAAGAAAGGTTCAGCACTGTGAGTTGAATGCAAACATCACGAAGAGGGCTCTGAGAATTCTTCTGTTTAGTTCTGTGCGGTTTATCCCGTTTCCAACGAAATCCTCAGAGAGGACCAAATATCCACTTGCAGTTTCTACAAGAAGAGTGTTTCAAAGCTGAACTATCAAAGAAAGGTTCAGCACTGTGAGTTGAATGCAAACATCACGAAGAGGGTTCTGAGAATGCTTCTGTCTTCTTTCTATAGGAAGTTATTTCCTTTACTACGGTAGGCCTCAAAGAAGTGCAATTATCCCCTTGCAGTTTCTACAAAAAGAGTGTTTCAAACCTGAACTATCAAAGAAAGGTTCCACACTGTGAGTTGAATGCAGACATCACGAAGAAGGTTCTGAGAATGCTTCTGTTTAGTCAGCTGAAATTATCCCGTTTCCAACGAATTCCTCAGAGAGGTCCAAATATGCACTTGCAGATTCTGCAGAAAGTGTGTTTCTAAACTGCTACATCGCAAGGAATGTTCAGCTCTGTGAGTTCCACTCAATCATCCCAAAGAATTTTCTGAGAAAGCTTCTGTCTAGATGTCGTGTGAAGATATACCCGTTTCGAACGAAGGACACAGAGTGGTCCAAATATCCACTTGTAGATCCTGCAAAAAGAGTGTTTCAAACGTGAACTTTGAAAGGAAAGTTCAACTCTGGGATTTGAATGCAAACATCACAAAGAAGATTCTGAGACTGCTTCTGTATAGTTTTTATGTGAAGATGATTCCGTTTCCAACGAAATCTTCAAAGAGGTCTACATGTCCCCATGCGGATGCCACAGAAAGAGAGTTTCAAAACTGCGCTCTCAAAAGGAGTGTTCAACTCCGTGAGTTGAATGCAGTCATCACAGAGAAGCTTCTGAGAATGCTTCTATCTAGTATTTAGGTGAAGATATTTCCTTTTCCACCACAAACCACAAAGCCCTCCAAACGTCCACTTGCAGATTCTAGAAAAAGAGTGTTTCATAGCTGCTCTTTCCAAAGGAAAGTTCAACTCTGGGAGTTGAATACAAACATCACCAAAAAGTTCCTGAGAATGCATCTGTCTAGTTTTTCTATGAAGCTATTCCCTTTACTACCATAGGCCTCAAAGCGCTCCAAATCTCCACTTGCACATTCCACAACAAGAGTGTTTCCAAACTGCTCTATCAATAGGAATGTTCAACTCTGTGAGGTGAATGCAATCATCACAAAGCAGTTTCTGAGAATGCTTCCGTTTAGTTAGGTGCAGTTATCCCGTTTCCAACGAAATCCTCAGAGAGGTCCAAATATCCACTTGTAGATTCTACAAAAAGTGTGTCTCAAACCTGCTCCATCCAAAGGAATGTTCAGCTCTGTGAGTTCAACTCAATCATCACAAAGTATTTTCTGAGAATGCTTCTGTCTAGATTTTATGCGAAGATATACCCGTTTCGAACGAAGGCCACAGAGTGGTCCAAATAGCCACTTGCAGATCCTACAAAAAGAGTGTTTCAAACCTGAACTATCAAAGGAAGGTTCAACTCTGGGATTTGAATGCAAACATCACCAAGAAGTTTCTGAGAATGCTTCTGTTTAGTTTTTATGTGAAGATATTCCCGTTTCCAAAGACATCTTCGGAGAGGTCCACATATCCACTTGCAGATTCCACAAAAAGAGAGTTTCAACACTGCTCTATCCATAGGAGGGTTCAACTCTGTGAGTTGAATGCAATCATCACAGAGAAGTTTCTGAGAAGGCTTCTCTCCAGTTTTTATGTGACCATAATTCGTTTTCCACCACAGGCCTGAAAGCGCTCCAAATGTCCACTTGCAGACACTACGAAAAGCATGTTTCAGAACTACTCTATGAAAAGCAATGTGAAACTCTGGGAGTTGAACACAAACATCACAGAGAAGTTTCTGAGAATGCTTCTGTTTAGCTTTTCTGTGAAGATTATCCCGTTTCCAACGAAATCTTCAAAATAGGTCCAAATATCCACTTGCAGATTCCACAGAAAGAGTGATTGGAAACTGCTGTTTGAAAAGGAACCTTCAACTCTGTGAGTTGAATGCAATCATCACAAAGAAGTTTCTGACAATGCTTCTATCTAGCTTTTACGGGAAGATAATTCCTTTTCCACCACAGGCCTCAAAGCCCTCCAAATGTCCACTTGCAGATTCTGGAAAAAGAGTGTTTCAAAGCTTCTCTCTCGAAAGGAAAGTTCAACTCTGTGAGTTGAATGCAAGCATCACAAAGAAGTTTCTGAGAATGCTACTGTCTAGCTTTTATATGAAGCTATTTCCTTTACTACCATAGGCCTCAAAGCGGTCCATATCTCCACTTGCAGATTCTACACAAAGAGAGTTTCCAAACTGCTCTGTCAAAGGGAATGTTCAACTCTGTGACTTGAATGCAATCATCACAAAGTAGTTTCTGAGAATGCTTCTGTTTAGTTCTGTGCGGTTTATCCCGTTTCCAACGAAATCCTCAGAGAGGCCCAAATATCCACTTGCACATTCTACAAATAGTGTGTTTCGAAACTGCTCCATCCAAAGGAATGTTCAGCTCTGTGAGTTAAACTCAGTCGTCACCAAGAGTTTTCTGTGAATGCTTCTGTTTTAGTTCTGTGCGGGTTATCCCGTTTCCAACGAAATCCTCAGAGAGGTCCAAATATCTACTTGCAGTTTCTACAGAAAGACCGTTTCAAACCTGAACTATCAAAGAAAGGTTCAACACTGTGAGTTGAATGCAAACATCACGAAGAAGGTTCTGAGAATGCTTCTGTTTAGTTCTGTGCGGTTTATCCCGTTTCCAACGAAATCCTCAGAGAGGACCAAATATCCACTTGCAGTTTCTACAAGAAGAGTGTTTCAAAGCTGAACTATCAAAGAAAGGTTCAGCACTGTGTGTTGAATGCAAACATCACGAAGAGGGTTCTGAGAATGCTTCTGTCTTCTTTCTATAGGAAGTTATTTCCTTTACTACGGTAGGCCTCAAAGAAGTGCAATTATCCCCTTGCAGTTTCTACAAAAAGAGTGTTTCAAACCTGAACTATCAAAGAAAGGTTCCACACTGTGAGTTGAATGCAGACATCACGAAGAAGGTTCTGAGAATGCTTCTGTTTAGTCAGCTGAAATTATCCCGTTTCCAACGAATTCCTCACAGAGGTCCAAATATGCACTTGCAGATTCTGCAGAAAGTGTGTTTCTAAACTGCTACATCGCAAGGAATGCTCAGCTCTGTGAGTTCAACTCAATCATCCCAAAAAATTTTCTGAGAAAGCTCTGTCTAGATGTCGTGTGAAGATATACCCGTTTCGAACGAAGGACACAGAGTGGTCCAAATATCCACTTGTAGATCCTGCAAAAAGAGTGTTTCAAACGTGAACTTTGAAAGGAAAGTTCAACTCTGGGATTTGAATGCAAACATCACAAAGAAGATTCTGAGACTGCTTTCTGTATAGTTTTTATGTGAAGATGATTCCGTTTCCAACGAAATCTTCAAAGAGGTCTACATGTCCCCTTGCAGATGCCACAGAAAGAGAGTTTCAAAACTGCGCTCTCAAAAGGAGTGTTCAACTCCGTGAGTTGAATGCAGTCATCACAGAGAAGCTTCTGAGAATGCTTCTATCTAGTATTTAGGTGAAGATATTTCCTTTTCCACCACAAACCACAAAGCCCTCCAAACGTCCACTTGCAGATTCTAGAAAAAGAGTGTTTCATAGCTGCTCTTTCCAAAGGAAAGTTCAACTCTGGGAGTTGAATACAAACATCACCAAAAAGTTCCTGAGAATGCATCTGTCTAGTTTTTCTATGAAGCTATTCCCTTTACTACCATAGGCCTCAAAGCGCTCCAAATCTCCACTTGCACATTCCACAACAAGAGTGTTTCCAAACTGCTCTATCAATAGGAATGTTCAACTCTGTGAGGTGAATGCAATCATCACAAAGCAGTTTCTGAGAATGCTTCCGTTTATTTAGGTGCAGTTATCGCGTTTCCAACGAAATCCTCAGAGAGGTCCAAATATCCACTTGTAGATTCTACAAAAAGTGTGTCTCAAACCTGCTCCATCCAAAGGAATGTTCAGCTCTGTGAGTTAAACTCAATCATCACAAAGTATTTTCTGAGAATGCTTGTGTCTAGATTTTATGTGAAGATGTACCCGTTTCGAATGAAGGCCACAGAGTGGTCCAAATATCCACTTGCAGATCCTACAAAAAGAGTGTTTCAAACCTGAACTATCACAGGAAGGTTCAACTCTGGGATTTGAATGCAAACATCACCAAGAAGTTTCTGAGAATGCTTCTGTTTAGTTTTTATGTGAAGATATTCCCGTTTCCAAAGACATCTTCGGAGAGGTCCACATATCCACTTGCAGATTCCACAAAAAGAGAGTTTCAACAATGCTCTATCCATAGGAGGGTTCAACTCTGTGAGTTGAATGCAATCATCACAGAGAAGTTTCTGAGAAGGCTTCTCTCCAGTTTTTATGGGACCATAATTCGTTTTCCACCACAGGCCTGAAAGCGCTCCAAATGTCTACTTGCAGACACTACGAAAAGCATGTTTCAGAACTACTCTATGAAAAGCAATGTGAAACTCTGGGAGTTGAACACAAACATCACAGAGAAGTTTCTGAGAATGCTTCTGTTTAGCTTTTCTGTGAAGATTCTCCCGTTTCCAACGAAATCTTCAAAGAGGTCCAAATATCCACTTGCAGATTCCACAGAAAGAGTGTTTGGAAACTGCTGTTTGTAAAGGAACCTTCATCTCCGTGAGTTGAATGCAATCATCACAAAGAAGTTTCTGACAATGCTTCTATCTAGCTTTTACGGGAAGTTAATTCCTTTTCCACCACAGGCCTCAAAGCCCTCCAAATGTCCACTTGCAGATTCTGGAAAAAGAGTGTTTCAAAGCTTCTCTCTCGAAAGGAAAGTTCAACTCTGTGAGTTGAATGCAAGCATCACAAAGAAGTTTCTGAGAATGCTACTGTCTAGCTTTCATATGAAGCTATTACCTTTACTACCATAGGCCTCAAAGCGGTCCATATCTCCACTTGCAGATTCTACACAAAGAGAGTTTCCAAACTGCTCTGTCAAAGGGAATGTTCAACTCTGTGACTTGAATGCAATCGTCACAAAGTAGTTTCTGAGAATGCTTCTGTTTAGTTCTGTGCGGTTTATCCCGTTTCCAACGAAATCCTCAGAGAGGCTCAAATATCCACTTGCACATTCTACAAATAGTGTGTTTCGAAACTGCTCCATCCAAAGGAATGTTCAGCTCTGTGAGTTAAACTCAGTCGTCACCAAGAGTTTTCTGTGAATGCTTCTGTTTTAGTTCTGTGCGGTTTATCCCGTTTCCAACGAAATCCTCAGAGAGGTCCAAATATCTACTTGCAGTTTCTACAGAAAGACCGTTTCAAACCTGAACTATCAAAGAAAGGTTCAACACTGTGAGTTGAATGCAAACATCACGAAGAAGGTTCTGAGAATGCTTCTGTTTAGTTCTGTGCGGTTTATCCCGTTTCCAACGAAATCCTCAGAGAGGACCAAATATCCACTTGCAGTTTCTACAAGAAGAGTGTTTCAAAGCTGAACTATCAAAGAAAGGTTCAGCACTGTGAGTTGAATGCAAACATCACGAAGAGGGTTCTGAGAATGCTTCTGTCTTCTTTCTATAGGAAGTTATTTCCTTTACTACGGTAGGCCTCAAAGAAGTGCAATTATCCCCTTGCAGTTTCTACAAAAAGAGTGTTTCAAACCTGAACTATCAAAGAAAGGTTCCACACTGTGAGTTGAATGCAGACATCACGAAGAAGGTTCTGAGAATGCTTCTGTTTAGTCAGCTGAAATTATCCCGTTTCCAACGAATTCCTCAGAGAGGTCCAAATATGCACTTGCAGATTCTGCAGAAAGTGTGTTTCTAAACTGCTACATCGCAAGGAATGTTCAGCTCTGTGAGTTCCACTCAATCATCCCAAAGAATTTTCTGAGAAAGCTTCTGTCTAGATGTCGTGTGAAGATATACCCGTTTCGAACGAAGGACACAGAGTGGTCCAAATATCCACTTGTAGATCCTGCAAAAAGAGTGTTTCAAACGTGAACTTTGAAAGGAAAGTTCAACTCTGGGATTTGAATGCAAACATCACAAAGAAGATTCTGAGACTGCTTCTGTATAGTTTTTATGTGAAGATGATTCCGTTTCCAACGAAATCTTCAAAGAGGTCTACATGTCCCCTTGCAGATGCCACAGAAAGAGAGTTTCAAAACTGCGCTCTCAAAAGGAGTGTTCAACTCCGTGAGTTGAATGCAGTCATCACAGAGAAGCTTCTGAGAATGCTTCTATCTAGTATTTAGGTGAAGATATTTCCTTTTCCACCACAAACCACAAAGCCCTCCAAACGTCCACTTGCAGATTCTAGAAAAAGAGTGTTTCATAGCTGCTCTTTCCAAAGGAAAGTTCAACTCTGGGAGTTGAATACAAACATCACCAAAAAGTTCCTGAGAATGCATCTGTCTAGTTTTTCTATGAAGCTATTCCCTTTACTACCATAGGCCTCAAAGCGCTCCAAATCTCCACTTGCACATTCCACAACAAGAGTGTTTCCAAACTGCTCTATCAATAGGAATGGTCAACTCTGTGAGGTGAATGCAATCATCACAAAGCAGTTTCTGAGAATGCTTCCGTTTAGTTCGGTGCAGTTATCCCGTTTCCAACGAAATCCTCAGAGAGGTCCAAATATCCACTTGTGGATTCTACAAAAAGTGTGTCTCAAGCCTGCTCCATCCAAAGGAATGTTCAGCTCTGTGAGTTAAACTCAATCATCACAAAGTATTTTCTGAGAATGCTTCTGTCTAGATTTTATGCGAAGATGTACCCGTTTCGAACGAAGGCCACAGAGTGGTCCAAATATCCACTTGCAGATCCTACAAAAAGAGTGTTTCAAACCTGAACTATCAAAGGAAGGTTCAACTCTGGGATTTGAATGCAAACATCACCAAGAAGTTTCTGAGAATGCTTCTGTTTAGTTTTTATGTGAAGATAGTCCCGTTTCCAAAGACATCTTCGGAGAGGTCCACATATCCACTTGCAGATTCCACAAAAAGAGAGTTTCAACACTGCTCTATCCATAGGAGGGTTCAACTCTGTGAGTTGAATGCAATCATCACAGAGAAGTTTCTGAGAAGGCTTCTCTCCAGTTTTTATGTGACCATAATTCGTTTTCCACCACAGGCCTGAAAGCGCTCCAAATGTCCCCTTGCAGACACTACGAAAAGCATGTTTCAGAACTACTCTATGAGAAGCAATGTGACACTCTGGGAGTTGAACACAAACATCACAGAGAAGTTTCTGAGAATGCTTCTGATTAGCTTTTCTGTGAAGGTTATCCCATTTCCAACGAAATCTTCAAAGAGGTCCAAATATCCACTTGCAGATTCCACAGAAAGAGTGTTTGGAAACTGCTGTTTGAAAAGGAACCTTCAACTCTGTGAGTTGAATGCAATCATCACAAAGAAGTTTCTGACAATGCTTCTATCCAGCTTTTACGGGAAGATAATTCCTTTTCCACCACAGGCCTCAAAGCCCTCCAAATGTCCACTTGCAGATTCTGGAAAAAGAGTGTTTCAAAGCTTCTCTCTCGAAAGGAAAGTTCAACTCTGTGAGTTGAATGCAAGCATCACAAAGAAGTTTCTGAGAATGCTACTGTCTAGCTTTTATATGAAGCTATTTCCTTTACTACCATAGTCCTCAAAGCATTCCATATCTCCACTTGCAGATTCTACACAAAGAGAGTTTCCAAACTGCTCTGTCAAAGGGAATGTTCAGCTCTGTGACTTGAATGCAATCATCACAAAGTTGTTTCCCAGAATGCTTCTGTTTTAGTTCTGTGCGGTTTATCCCTTTTCCAACGAAATCCTCAGAGAGGCCCAAATATCCACTTGCAGATTCTACAAATAGTGTGTTTCGAAACTGCTCCATCCAAAGGAATGTTCAGCTCTGTGAGTTAAACTCAGTCGTCACCAAGCGTTTTCTGTGAATGCTTCTGTTTAGTTCTGTGCGGTTTATCCCGTTTCCAACGAAATCCTCAGAGAGGACCAAATATCCACTTGCAGTTTCTACAAAAAGAGTGTTTCAAAGCTGAACTATCAAAGAAAGGTTCAGCACTGTGAGTTGAATGCAAACATCACGAAGAGGGTTCTGAGAATGCTTCTGTCTTCTTTTTATAGGAAGTTATTTCCTTTACTACGGTAGGCCTCAAAGAAGTGCAATTATCCCCTTGCAGTTTCTACAAAAAGAGTGTTTCAAACCTGAACTATCAAATAAAGGTTCCACACTGTGAGTTGAATGCAGACATCACGAAGAAGGTTCTGAGAATGCTTCTGTTTAGTCAGCTGAAATTATCCCGTTTCCAACGAATTCCTCAGAGAGGTCCAAATATGCACTTGCAGATTCTGCAGAAAGTGTGTTTCTAAACTGCTCCATCGCAAGGAATGTTCAGCTCTGTGAGTTCAACTCAATCATCCCAAAGAATTTTCTGAGAAAGCTTCTGTCTAGATGTCATGTGAAGATATACCCGTTTCGAACGAAGGACACAGAGTGGTCCAAATATCCACTTGTAGATCCTGCAAAAAGAGTGTTTCAAACGTGAACTTTGAAAGGAAAGTTCAACTCTGGGATTTGAATGCAAACATCACAAAGAAGATTCTGAGACTGCTTCTGTATAGTTTTGATGTGAAGATGATTCCGTTTCCAACGAAATCTTCAAAGAGGTCTACATGTCCCCTTGCAGATGACACAGAAAGAGAGTTTCAAAACTGCGCTCTCAAAAGGAGTGTTCAACTCCGTGAGTTGAATGCAGTCATCACAGAGAAGCTTCTGAGAATGCTTCTATGTAGTATTTAGGTGAAGATATTTCCTTTTCCACCACAAACCACAAAGCCCTCCAAACGTCCACTTGCAGATTCTAGAAAAAGAGTGTTTCATAGCTGCTCTTTCCAAAGGAAAGTTCAACTCTGGGAGTTGAATACAAACATCACCAAAAAGTTCCTGAGAATGCATCTGTCTAGTTTTTCTATGAAGCTATTCCCTTTACTACCATAGGCCTCAAAGCGCTCCAAATCTCCACTTGCACATTCCACAACAAGAGTGTTTCCAAAGTGCTCTATCAATAGGAATGGTCAACTCTGTGAGGTGAATGCAATCATCACAAAGCAGTTTCTGAGAATGCTTCCGTTTAGTTAGGTGCAGTTATCCCGTTTCCAACGAAATCCTCAGAGAGGTCCAAATATCCACTTGTAGATTCTACAAAAAGTGTGTCTCAAACCTGCTCCATCCAAAGGAATGTTCAGCTCTGTGAGTTCAACTCAATCATCACAAAGTATTTTCTGAGAATGCTTCTGTCTAGATTTTATGCGAAGATATACCCGTCTCGAACGAAGGCCACTGAGTGGTCCAAATAGCCACTTGCAGATCCTACAAAAAGAGTGTTTCAAACCTGAACTATCAAAGGAAGGTTCAACTCTGGGATTTGAATGCAAACATCACCAAGAAGTTTCTGAGAATGCTTCTGTTTAGTTTTTATGTGAAGATATTCCCGTTTCCAAAGACATCTTCGGAGAGGTCCACATATCCACTTGCAGATTCCACAAAAAGAGAGTTTCAACACTGCTCTATCCATAGGAGGGTTCAACTCTGTGAGTTGAATGCAATCATCACAGAGAAGTTTCTGAGAAGGCTTCTCTCCAGTTTTTATGTGACCATAATTCGTTTTCCACCACAGGCCTGAAAGCGCTCCAAATGTCCACTTGCAGACACTACGAAAAGCATGTTTCAGAACTACTCTATGAAAAGCAACGTGAAACTCTGGGAGTTGAACACAAACATCACAGAGAAGTTTCTGAGAATGCTTCTGTTTTAGTTCTGTGCGTTTTATCCCGTTTCCAACGAAATCCTCAGAGAGGCCCAAATATCCACTTGCAGATTCCACAGAAAGAGTGATTGGAAACTGCTGTTTGAAAAGGAACCTTCAACTCTGTGAGTTGAATGCAATCATCACAAAGAAGTTTCTGACAATGCTTCTGTTTTAGTTCTGTGCGGTTTATCCCGTTTCCAATGAAATCCTCAGAGAGGACCAAACATCCACTTGCAGTTTCTACAAAAAGAGTGTTTCAAAGCTGCACTATCAAAGAAAGGTTCAGCACTGTGAGTTGAATGCAAACATCACGAAGAGGGCTCTGAGAATTCTTCTGTTTAGTTCTGTGCGGTTTATCCCGTTTCCAACGAAATCCTCAGAGAGGACCAAATATCCACTTGCAGTTTCTACAAGAAGAGTGTTTCAAAGCTGAACTATCAAAGAAAGGTTCAGCACTGTGAGTTGAATGCAAACATCACGAAGAGGGTTCTGAGAATGCTTCTGTCTTCTTTCTATAGGAAGTTATTTCCTTTACTACGGTAGGCCTCAAAGAAGTGCAATTATCCCCTTGCAGTTTCTACAAAAAGAGTGTTTCAAACCTGAACTATCAAAGAAAGGTTCCACACTGTGAGTTGAATGCAGACATCACGAAGAAGGTTCTGAGAATGCTTCTGTTTAGTCAGCTGAAATTATCCCGTTTCCAACGAATTCCTCAGAGAGGTCCAAATATGCACTTGCAGATTCTGCAGAAAGTGTGTTTCTAAACTGCTACATCGCAAGGAATGTTCAGCTCTGTGAGTTCCACTCAATCATCCCAAAGAATTTTCTGAGAAAGCTTCTGTCTAGATGTCGTGTGAAGATATACCCGTTTCGAACGAAGGACACAGAGTGGTCCAAATATCCACTTGTAGATCCTGCAAAAAGAGTGTTTCAAACGTGAACTTTGAAAGGAAAGTTCAACTCTGGGATTTGAATGCAAACATCACAAAGAAGATTCTGAGACTGCTTCTGTATAGTTTTTATGTGAAGATGATTCCGTTTCCAACGAAATCTTCAAAGAGGTCTACATGTCCCCTTGCAGATGCCACAGAAAGAGAGTTTCAAAACTGCGCTCTCAAAAGGAGTGTTCAACTCCGTGAGTTGAATGCAGTCATCACAGAGAAGCTTCTGAGAATGCTTCTATCTAGTATTTAGGTGAAGATATTTCCTTTTCCACCACAAACCACAAAGCCCTCCAAACGTCCACTTGCAGATTCTAGAAAAAGAGTGTTTCATAGCTGCTCTTTCCAAAGGAAAGTTCAACTCTGGGAGTTGAATACAAACATCACCAAAAAGTTCCTGAGAATGCATCTGTCTAGTTTTTCTATGAAGCTATTCCCTTTACTACCACAGGCCTCAAAGCGCTCCAAATCTCCACTTGCACATTCCACAACAAGAGTGTTTCCAAACTGCTCTATCAATAGGAATGTTCAACTCTGTGAGGTGAATGCAATCATCACAAAGCAGTTTCTGAGAATGCTTCCGTTTAGTTAGGTGCAGTTATCCCGTTTCCAACGAAATCCTCAGAGAGGTCCAAATATCCACTTGTAGATTCTACAAAAAGTGTGTCTCAAACCTGCTCCATCCAAAGGAATGGTCAGCTCTGTGATTTAAACTCAATCATCACAAAGTATTTTCTGAGAATGCTTCTGTCTAGATTTTATGCGAAGATATACCCGTTTCGAACGAAGGCCACAGAGTGGTCCAAATAGCCACTTGCAGATCCTACAGAAAGAGTGTTTCAAACCTGAACTATCAAAGGAAGGTTCAACTCTGGGATTTGAATGCAAACATCACCAAGAAGTTTCTGAGAATGCTTCTGTTTAGTTTTTATGTGAAGATATTCCCGTTTCCAAAGACATCTTCGGAGAGGTCCACATATCCACTTGCAGATTCCACAAAAAGAGAGTTTCAACACTGCTCTACCCATAGGAGGGTTCAACTCTGTGAGTTGAATGCAATCATCACAGAGAAGTTTCTGAGAAGGCTTCTCTCCAGTTTTTATGTGACCATAATTCGTTTTCCACCACAGGCCTGAAAGCGCTCCAAATGTCCACTTGCAGACACTACGAAAAGCATGTTTCAGAACTACTCTATGAAAAGCAACGTGAAACTCTGGGAGTTGAACACAAACATCACAGAGAAGTTTCTGAGAATGCTTCTGTTTTAGTTCTGTGCGTTTTATCCCGTTTCCAACGAAATCCTCAGAGAGGCCCAAATATCCACTTGCAGATTCCACAGAAAGAGTGATTGGAAACTGCTGTTTGAAAAGGAACCTTCAACTCTGTGAGTTGAATGCAATCATCACAAAGAAGTTTCTGACAATGCTTCTGTTTTAGTTCTTTGCGGTTTATCCCGTTTCCAACGAAATCCTCAGAGAGGACCAAATATCCACTTGCAGTTTCTACAAAAAGAGTGTTTCAAAGCTGCACTATCAAAGAAAGGTTCAGCACTGTGAGTTGAATGCAAACATCACGAAGAGGGCTCTGAGAATTCTTCTGTTTAGTTCTGTGCGGTTTATCCCGTTTCCAACGAAATCCTCAGAGAGGACCAAATATCCACTTGCAGTTTCTACAAGAAGAGTGTTTCAAAGCTGAACTATCAAAGAAAGGTTCAGCACTGTGAGTTGAATGCAAACATCACGAAGAGGGTTCTGAGAATGCTTCTGTCTTCTTTTTATAGGAAGTTATTTCCTTTACTACGGTACTCCTCAAAGAGTGCAATTATCCCCTTGCAGTTTCTACAGAAAGAGTGTTTCAAACCTGAACTATCAAAGAAAGGTTCCACACTGTGAGTTGAATGCAGACATCACGAAGAAGTTCTGAGAATGCTTCTGTTTAGTCAGCTGAAATTATCCCGTTTCCAACGAATTCCTCACAGAGGTCCAAATATGCACTTGCAGATTCTGCAGAAAGTGTGTTTCTAAACTGCTACATCGCAAGGAATGCTCAGCTCTGTGAGTTCAACTCAATCATCCCAAAGAATTTTCTGAGAAAGCTTCTGTCTAGATGTCATGTGAAGATATACCCGTTTCGAACGAAGGACACAGAGTGGTCCAAATATCCACTTGTAGATCCTGCAAAAAGAGTGTTTCAAACGTGAACTTTGAAAGGAAAGTTCAACTCGGGGATTTGAATGCAAACATCACAAAGAAGATTCTGAGACTGCTTCTGTATAGTTTTTATGTGAAGATGATTCCGTTTCCAACGAAATCTTCAAAGAGGTCTACATGTCCCCTTGCAGATGCCACAGAAAGAGAGTTTCAAAACTGCGCTCTCAAAAGGAGTGTTCAACTCCGTGAGTTGAATGCAGTCATCTCAGAGAAGCTTCTGAGAATGCTTCTATCTAGTATTTAGGTGAAGATATTTCCTTTTCCACCACAAACCACAAAGCCCTCCAAACGTCCACTTGCAGATTCTAGAAAAAGAGTGTTTCATAGCTGCTCTTTCCAAAGGAAAGTTCAACTCTGGGAGTTGAATACAAACATCACCAAAAAGTTCCTGAGAATGCATCTGTCTAGTTTTTCTATGAAGCTATTCCCTTTACTACCATAGGCCTCAAAGCGCTCCAAATCTCCACTTGCACATTCCACAACAAGAGTGTTTCCAAACTGCTCTATCAATAGGAATGTTCAACTCTGTGAGGTGAATGCAATCATCACAAAGCAGTTTCTGAGAATGCTTCCGTTTAGTTAGGTGCAGTTATCCCGTTTCCAACGAAATCCTCAGAGAGGTCCAAATATCCACTTGTAGATTCTACAAAATGTGTGTCTCAAACCTGCTCCATCCAAAGGAATGTTCAGCTCTGTGATTTAAACTCAATCATCACAAAGTATTTTCTGAGAATGCTTCTGTCTAGATTTTATGCGAAGATATACCCGTTTCGAACGAAGGCCACAGAGTGGTCCAAATAGCCACTTGCAGATCCTACAAAAAGAGTGTTTCAAACCTGAACTATCAAAGGAAGGTTCAACTCTGGGATTTGAATGCAAACATCACCAAGAAGTTTCTGAGAATGCTTCTGTTTAGTTTTTATGTGAAGATATTCCCGTTTCCAAAGACATCTTCGGAGAGGTCCACATATCCACTTGCAGATTCCACAAAAAGAGAGTTTCAACACTGCTCTATCCATAGGAGGGTTCAACTCTGTGAGTTGAATGCAATCATCACAGAGAAGTTTCTGAGAAGGCTTCTCTCCAGTTTTTATGTGACCATAATTCGTTTTCCACCACAGGCCTGAAAGCGCTCCAAATGTCCACTTGCAGACACTACGAAAAGCATGTTTCAGAACTACTCTATGAAAAGCAACGTGAAACTCTGGGAGTTGAACACAAACATCACAGAGAAGTTTCTGAGAATGCTTCTGTTTTAGTTCTGTGCGTTTTATCCCGTTTCCAACGAAATCCTCAGAGAGGCCCAAATATCCACTTGCAGATTCCACAGAAAGAGTGATTGGAAACTGCTGTTTGAAAAGGAACCTTCAACTCTGTGAGTTGAATGCAATCATCACAAAGAAGTTTCTGACAATGCTTCTGTTTTAGTTCTGTGCGGTTTATCCCGTTTCCAACGAAATCCTCAGAGAGGACCAAACATCCACTTGCAGTTTCTACAAAAAGAGTGTTTCAAAGCTGCACTATCAAAGAAAAGTTCAGCACTGTGAGTTGAATGCAAACATCACGAAGAGGGCTCTGAGAATTCTTCTGTCTTCTTTTTATAGGAAGTTATTTCCATTACTACGGTAGGCCTCAAAGAAGTGCAATTATCCCCTTGCAGTTTCCACAAAAAGAGTGTTTCAAACCTGAACTATCAAAGAAAGGTTCCACACTGTGAGTTGAATGCAGACATCTCGAAGAAGGTTCTGAGAATGCTTCTGTTTAGTCAGCTGAAATTATCCCGTTTCCAACGAATTCCTCAGAGAGGTCCAAATATGCACTTGCAGATTCTGCAGAAAGTGTGTTTCTAAACTGCTACATCGCAAGGAATGTTCAGCACTGTGAGTTCCACTCAATCATCCCAAAGAATTTTCCTGAGAAAGCTTCTGTCTAGATGTCGTGTGAAGATATACCCGTTTCGAACGAAGGACACAGAGTGGTCCAAATATCCACTTGTAGATCCTGCAAAAAGAGTGTTTCAAACGTGAACTTTGAAAGGAAAGTTCAACTCTGGGATTTGAATGCAAACATCACAAAGAAGATTCTGAGACTGCTTCTGTATAGTTTTTATGTGAAGATGATTCCGTTTCCAACGAAATCTTCAAAGAGGTCTACATGTCCCCTTGCAGATGCCACAGAAAGAGAGTTTCAAAACTGCGCTCTCAAAAGGAGTGTTCAACTCCGTGAGTTGAATGCAGTCATCACAGAGAAGCTTCTGAGAATGCTTCTATCTAGTATTTAGGTGAAGATATTTCCTTTTCCACCACAAACCACAAAGCCCTCCAAACGTCCACTTGCAGATTCTAGAAAAAGAGTGTTTCATAGCTGCTCTTTCCAAAGGAAAGTTCAACTCTGGGAGTTGAATACAAACATCACCAAAAAGTTCCTGAGAATGCATCTGTCTAGTTTTTCTATGAAGCTATTCCCTTTACTACCACAGGCCTCAAAGCGCTCCAAATCTCCACTTGCACATTCCACAACAAGAGTGTTTCCAAACTGCTCTATCAATAGGAATGTTCAACTCTGTGAGGTGAATGCAATCATCACAAAGCAGTTTCTGAGAATGCTTCCGTTTAGTTAGGTGCAGTTATCCCGTTTCCAACGAAATCCTCAGAGAGGTCCAAATATCCACTTGTAGATTCTACAAAAAGTGTGTCTCAAACCTGCTCCATCCAAAGGAATGGTCAGCTCTGTGATTTAAACTCAATCATCACAAAGTATTTTCTGAGAATGCTTCTGTCTAGATTTTATGCGAAGATATACCCGTTTCGAACGAAGGCCACAGAGTGGTCCAAATAGCCACTTGCAGATCCTACAGAAAGAGTGTTTCAAACCTGAACTATCAAAGGAAGGTTCAACTCTGGGATTTGAA
Organism: Homo sapiens; assembly: GCF_000001405.40. Lineage (NCBI taxonomy): Eukaryota > Metazoa > Chordata > Mammalia > Primates > Hominidae > Homo > Homo sapiens. Next base: position 24,022,135 of record NC_000017.11, on the reverse strand, counting down.
TGCAAACATCACCAAGAAGTTTCTGAGAATGCTTCTGTTTAGTTTTTATGTGAAGATATTCCCGTTTCCAAAGACATCTTCGGAGAGGTCCACATATCCACTTGCAGATTCCACAAAAAGAGAGTTTCAACACTGCTCTATCCATAGGAGGGTTCAACTCTGTGAGTTGAATGCAATCATCACAGAGAAGTTTCTGAGAAGGCTTCTCTCCAGTTTTTATGTGACCATTATTCGTTTTCCACCACAGGCCTGAAAGCGCTCCAAATGTCCACTTGTAGACACTACGAAAAGCATGTTTCAGAACTACTCTATGAAATGCAATGTGAAACTCTGGGAGTTGAACAAAAACATCACAGAGAAGTTTCTGAGAATGCTTCTGTTTAGCTTTTCTGTGAAGATACTCCCGTTTCCAACGAAATCTTCAAAATAGGTCCAAATATCCACTTGCAGATTCCACAAAAAAAGTGATTGGAAACTGCTCTTTGAAAAGGAACCTTCAACTCTGTGAGTTGAATGCAATCATCACAAAGAAGTTTCTGACAATGCTTCTATCTAGCTTTTACGGGAAGATAATTCCTTTTCCAACACAGGCCTCAAAGCCCTCCAAATGTCCACTTGCTCATTCTGGAAAAAGAGTGTTTCAAAGCTTCTCTCTCGAAAGGAAAGTTCAACTCTGTGAGTTGAATGCAAGCATCACAAAGAAGTTTCTGAGAATGCTTCTGTCTTCTTTCTATAGGAAGTTATTTCCTTTACTACGTAGGCCTCAAAGAAGTGCAATTATCCCCTTGCAGTTTCTACAAAAAGAGTGTTTCAAACCTGAACTATCAAAGAAAGGTTCCACACTGTGAGTTGAATGCAGACATCACGAAGAAGGTTCTGAGAATGCTTCTGTTTAGTCAGCTGAAATTATCCCGTTTCCAACGAATTCCTCAGAGAGGTCCAAATATGCACTTGCAGATTCTGCAGAAAGTGTGTTTCTAAACTGCTACATCGCAAGGAATGTTCAGCTCTGTGAGTTCCACTCAATCATCCCAAAGAATTTTCTGAGAAAGCTTTCTGTCTAGATGTCGTGTGAAGATATACCCGTTTCGAACGAAGGACACAGAGTGGTCCAAATATCCACTTGTAGATCCTGCAAAAAGAGTGTTTCAAACGTGAACTTTGAAAGGAAAGTTCAACTCTGGGATTTGAATGCAAACATCACAAAGAAGATTCTGAGACTGCTTCTGTATAGTTTTTATGTGAAGATGATTCCGTTTCCAACGAAATCTTCAAAGAGGTCTACATGTCCCCTTGCAGATGCCACAGAAAGAGAGTTTCAAAACTGCGCTCTCAAAAGGAGTGTTCAACTCCGTGAGTTGAATGCAGTCATCACAGAGAAGCTTCTGAGAATGCTTCTATCTAGTATTTAGGTGAAGATATTTCCTTTTCCACCACAAACCACAAAGCCCTCCAAACGTCCACTTGCAGATTCTAGAAAAAGAGTGTTTCATAGCTGCTCTTTCCAAAGGAAAGTTCAACTCTGGGAGTTGAATACAAACATCACCAAAAAGTTCCTGAGAATGCATCTGTCTAGTTTTTCTATGAAGCTATTCCCTTTACTACCATAGGCCTCAAAGCGCTCCAAATCTCCACTTGCACATTCCACAACAAGAGTGTTTCCAAACTGCTCTATCAATAGGAATGTTCAACTCTGTGAGGTGAATGCAATCATCACAAAGCAGTTTCTGAGAATGCTTCCGTTTAGTTAGGTGCAGTTATCCCGTTTCCAACGAAATCCTCAGAGAGGTCCAAATATCCACTTGTAGATTCTACAAAAAGTGTGTCTCAAACCTGCTCCATCCAAAGGAATGGTCAGCTCTGTGATTTAAACTCAATCATCACAAAGTATTTTCTGAGAATGCTTCTGTCTAGATTTTATGCGAAGATATACCCGTTTCGAACGAAGGCCACAGAGTGGTCCAAATAGCCACTTGCAGATCCTACAGAAAGAGTGTTTCAAACCTGAACTATCAAAGGAAGGTTCAACTCTGGGATTTGAATGCAAACATCACCAAGAAGTTTCTGAGAATGCTTCTGTTTAGTTTTTATGTGAAGATATTCCCGTTTCCAAAGACATCTTCGGAGAGGTCCACATATCCACTTGCAGATTCCACAAAAAGAGAGTTTCAACACTGCTCTATCCATAGGAGGGTTCAACTCTGTGAGTTGAATGCAATCATCACAGAGAAGTTTCTGAGAAGGCTTCTCTCCAGTTTTTATGTGACCATAATTCGTTTTCCACCACAGGCCTGAAAGCGCTCCAAATGTCCACTTGCAGACACTACGAAAAGCATGTTTCAGAACTACTCTATGAAAAGCAACGTGAAACTCTGGGAGTTGAACACAAACATCACAGAGAAGTTTCTGAGAATGCTTCTGTTTTAGTTCTGTGCGTTTTATCCCGTTTCCAACGAAATCCTCAGAGAGGCCCAAATATCCACTTGCAGATTCCACAGAAAGAGTGATTGGAAACTGCTGTTTGAAAAGGAACCTTCAACTCTGTGAGTTGAATGCAATCATCACAAAGAAGTTTCTGACAATGCTTCTGTTTTAGTTCTGTGCGGTTTATCCCGTTTCCAACGAAATCCTCAGAGAGGACCAAACATCCACTTGCAGTTTCTACAAGAAGAGTGTTTCAAAGCTGCACTATCAAAGAAAGGTTCAGCACTGTGAGTTGAATGCAAACATCACGAAGAGGGCTCTGAGAATTCTTCTGTTTAGTTCTGTGCGGTTTATCCCGTTTCCAACGAAATCCTCAGAGAGGACCAAATATCCACTTGCAGTTTCTACAAGAAGAGTGTTTCAAAGCTGAACTATCAAAGAAAGGTTCAGCACTGTGAGTTGAATGCAAACATCACGAAGAGGGTTCTGAGAATGCTTCTGTCTTCTTTCTATAGGAAGTTATTTCCTTTACTACGGTAGGCCTCAAAGAAGTGCAATTATCCCCTTGCAGTTTCTACAAAAAGAGTGTTTCAAACCTGAACTATCAAAGAAAGGTTCCACACTGTGAGTTGAATGCAGACATCACGAAGAAGGTTCTGAGAATGCTTCTGTTTAGTCAGCTGAAATTATCCCGTTTCCAACGAATTCCTGAGAGAGGTCCAAATATGCACTTGCAGATTCTGCAGAAAGTGTGTTTCTAAACTGCTACATCGCAAGGAATGTTCAGATCTGTGAGTTCCACTCAATCATCCCAAAGAATTTTCTGAGAAAGCTTCTGTCTAGATGTCTTGTGAAGATATACCCGTTTCGAACGAAGGACACAGAGTGGTCCAAATATCCACTTGTAGATCCTGCAAAAAGAGTGTTTCAAACGTGAACTTTGAAAGGAAAGTTCAACTCTGGGATTTGAATGCAAACATCACAAAGAAGATTCTGAGACTGCTTCTGTATAGTTTTTATGTGAAGATGATTCCGTTTCCAACGAAATCTTCAAAGAGGTCTACATGTCCCCTTGCAGATGCCACAGAAAGAGAGTTTCAAAACTGCGCTCTCAAAAGGAGTGTTCAACTCCGTGAGTTGAATGCAGTCATCACAGAGAAGCTTCTGAGAATGCTTCTATCTAGTATTTAGGTGAAGATATTTCCTTTTCCACCACAAACCACAAAGCCCTCCAAACGTCCACTTGCAGATTCTAGAAAAAGAGTGTTTCATAGCTGCTCTTTCCAAAGGAAAGTTCAACTCTGGGAGTTGAATACAAACATCACCAAAAAGTTCCTGAGAATGCATCTGTCTAGTTTTTCTATGAAGCTATTCCCTTTACTACCATAGGCCTCAAAGCGCTCCAAATCTCCACTTGCACATTCCACATGAAGAGTGTTTCCAAACTGCTCTATCAATAGGAATGTTCAACTCTGTGAGGTGAATGCAATCATCACAAAGCAGTTTCTGAGAATGCTTCCGTTTAGTTAGGTGCAGTTATACCGTTTCCAACGAAATCCTCAGAGAGGTCTAAATATCCACTTGTAGATTCTACAAAAAGTGTGTCTCAAACGTGGTCCATCCAAAGGAATGTTCAGCTCTGTGAGTTAAACTCAATCATCACAAAGAATTTTCTGAGAATGCTTCTGTCTAGATTTTATGCGAAGATGTACCCGTTTCGAACGAAGGCCACAGAGTGGTCCAAATATCCACTTGCAGATCGTACAGAAAGAGTGTTTCAAATCTGACCTATCAAAGGAAGTTTCAACTCTGGGATTTGAATGCAAACATCACCAAGAAGTTTCTGAGAATGCTTCTGTTTAGCTTTTATGTGAAGATATTCCCGTTTCCAAAGACATCTTCGGAGAGGTCCACATATCCACTTGCAGATTCCACAAAAAGAGAGTTTCAACACTGCTCTATCCATAGGAGGGTTCAACTCTGTGAGTTGAATGCAATCATCACAGAGAAGTTTCTGAGAAGGCTTCTCTCCAGTTTTTATGTGACCATAATTCGTTTTCCACCACAGGCCTGAAAGCGCTCCAAATGTCCACTTGCAGACACTACGAAAAGCATGTTTCAGAACTACTCTATGAAAAGCAATGTGAAACTCTGGGAGTTGAACACAAACATCACAGAGAAGTTTCTGAGAATGCTTCTGTTTAGCTTTTCTGTGAAGATTCTCCCGTTTCCAACGAAATCTTCAAAGAGGTCCAAATATCCACTTGCAGATTCCACAGAAAGAGTGATTGGAAACTGCTCTTTGAAAAGGAACCTTCAACTCTGTGACTTGAATGCAATCATCACAAAGAAGTTTCTGACAATGCTTCTATCTAGGCTTTTACGGGAAGATAATTCCTTTTCCACCACAGGCCTCAAAGCCCTCCAAATGTCCACTTGCAGATTCTGGAAAAAGAGTGTTTCAAAGCTTCTCTCTCGAAAGGAAAGTTCAACTCTGTGAGTTGAATGCAAGCATCACAAAGAAGTTTCTGAGAATGCTACTGTCTAGCTTTTATATGAAGCTATTTCCTTTACTACCATAGGCCTCAAAGCGGTCCATATCTCCACTTGCAGATTCTACACAAAGAGAGTTTCCAAACTGCTCTGTCAAAGGGAATGTTCAACTCTGTGACTTGAATGCAATCATCACAAAGTAGTTTCTGAGAATGCTTCTGTTTTAGTTCTGTGCGGTTTATCCCGTTTCCAACGAAATCCTCAGAGAGGCCCCAATATCCACTTGCACATTCTACAAATAGTGTGTTTCGAAACTGCTCCATCCAAAGGGATGTTCAGCTCTGTGAGTTAAACTCAGTCGTCACCAAGAGTTTTCTGTGAATGCTTCTGTTTAGTTCTGTGCGGTTTATCCCGTTTCCAAAGAAATCCTCAGAGAGGACCAAATATCCACTTGCAGTTTCTACAAAAAGAGTGTTTCAAAGCTGAAGTATCAAAGAAACGTTCAGCACTGTGAGTTTAATGCAAACATCACGAAGAGGGTTCTGAGAATGCTTCTGTCTTCTTTTTATAGGAAGTTATTTCCTTTACTACGGTAGGCCTCAAAGAAGTGCAGTTATACCCTTGCAGTTTCTACAAAAAGAGTGTTTCAAACCTGAACTATCAAAGAAAGGTTCCACACTGTGAGTTGAATGCAGACATCACGAAGAAGGTTCTGAGAATGCTTCTGTTTAGTCAGCTGAAATTATCCCGTTTCCAACGAATTCCTCAGGGAGGTCCAAATATGCACTTGCAGATTCTGCAGAAAGTGTGTTTCTAAACTGCTACATCGCAAGGAATGTTCAGCTCTGTGAGTTCAACTCAATCATCCCAAAGAATTTTCTGAGAAAGCTTCTGTCTAGATGTCATGTGAAGATATACCCGTTTCGAACGAAGGACACAGAGTGGTCCAAATATCCACTTGTAGATCCTGCAAAAAGAGTGTTTCAAACGTGAACTTTGAAAGGAAAGTTCAACTCTGGGATTTGAATGCAAACATCACAAAGAAGATTCTGAGACTGCTTCTGTATAGTTTTTATGTGAAGATGATTCCGTTTCCAATGAAATCTTCAAAGAGGTCTACATGTCCCCTTGCAGATGCCACAGAAAGAGAGTTTCAAAACTGCGCTCTCAAAAGGAGTGTTCAACTCCGTGAGTTGAATGCAGTCATCACAGAGAAGCTTCTGAGAATGCTTCTATCTAGTATTTAGGTGAAGATATTTCCTTTTCCACCACAAACCACAAAGCCCTCCAAACGTCCACTTGCAGATTCTAGAAAAAGAGTGTTTCATAGCTGCTCTTTCCAAAGGAAAGTTCAACTCTGGGAGTTGAATACAAACATCACCAAAAAGTTCCTGAGAATGCATCTGTCTAGTTTTTCTATGAAGCTATTCCCTTTACTACCATAGACCTCAAAGCGCTCCAAATCTCCACTTGCACATTCCACAACAAGAGTGTTTCCAAACTGCTCTATCAATAGGAATGTTCAACTCTGTGAGGTGAATGCAATCATCACAAAGCAGTTTCTGAGAATGCTTCCGTTTAGTTAGGTGCAGTTATCCCGTTTCCAACGAAATCCTCAGAGAGGTCCAAATATCCACTTGTAGATTCTACAAAAAGTGTGTCTCAAACCTGCTCCATCCAAAGGAATGTTCAGCTCTGTGATTTTAACTCAATCATCACAAAGTATTTTCTGAGAATGCTTCTGTCTAGATTTTATGCGAAGATATACCCGTTTCGAACGAAGGCCACAGAGTGGTCCAAATAGCCACTTGCAGATCCTACAGAAAGAGTGTTTCAAACCTGAACTATCAAAGGAAGGTTCAACTCTGGGATTTGAATGCAAACATCACCAAGAAGTTTCTGAGAATGCTTCTGTTTAGTTTTTATGTGAAGATATTCCCGTTTCCAAAGACATCTTCGGAGAGGTCCACATATCCACTTGCAGATTCCACAAAAAGAGAGTTTCAACACTGCTCTATCCATAGGAGGGTTCAACTCTGTGAGTTGAATGCAATCATCACAGAGAAGTTTCTGAGAAGGCTTCTCTCCAGTTTTTATGTGACCATAATTCGTTTTCCACCACAGGCCTGAAAGCGCTCCAAATGTCCACTTGCAGACACTACGAAAAGCATGTTTCAGAACTACTCTATGAAAAGCAACGTGAAACTCTGGGAGTTGAACACAAACATCACAGAGAAGTTTCTGAGAATGCTTCTGTTTTAGTTCTGTGCGTTTTATCCCGTTTCCAACGAAATCCTCAGAGAGGCCCAAATATCCACTTGCAGATTCCACAGAAAGAGTGATTGGAAACTGCTGTTTGAAAAGGAACCTTCAACTCTGTGAGTTGAATGCAATCATCACAAAGAAGTTTCTGACAATGCTTCTGTTTTAGTTCTGTGCGGTTTATCCCGTTTCCAACGAAATCCTCAGAGAGGACCAAACATCCACTTGCAGTTTCTACAAAAAGAGTGTTTCAAAGCTGCACTATCAAAGAAAGGTTCAGCACTGTGAGTTGAATGCAAACATCACGAAGAGGGCTCTGAGAATTCTTCTGTTTAGTTCTGTGCGGTTTATCCCGTTTCCAACGAAATCCTCAGAGAGGACCAAATATCCACTTGCAGTTTCTACAAGAAGAGTGTTTCAAAGCTGAACTATCAAAGAAAGGTTCAGCACTGTGAGTTGAATGCAAACATCACGAAGAGGGTTCTGAGAATGCTTCTGTCTTCTTTCTATAGGAAGTTATTTCCTTTACTACGGTAGGCCTCAAAGAAGTGCAATTATCCCCTTGCAGTTTCTACAAAAAGAGTGTTTCAAACCTGAACTATCAAAGAAAGGTTCCACACTGTGAGTTGAATGCAGACATCACGAAGAAGGTTCTGAGAATGCTTCTGTTTAGTCAGCTGAAATTATCCCGTTTCCAACGAATTCCTCAGAGAGGTCCAAATATGCACTTGCAGATTCTGCAGAAAGTGTGTTTCTAAACTGCTACATTACAAGGAATGTTCAGCTCTGTGAGTTCCACTCAATCATCCCAAAGAATTTTCTGAGAAAGCTTCTGTCTAGATGTCGTGTGAAGATATACCCGTTTCGAACGAAGGACACAGAGTGGTCCAAATATCCACTTGTAGATCCTGCAAAAAGAGTGTTTCAAACGTGAACTTTGAAAGGAAAGTTCAACTCTGGGATTTGAATGCAAACATCACAAAGAAGATTCTGAGACTGCTTCTGTATAGTTTTTATGTGAAGATGATTCCGTTTCCAACGAAATCTTCAAAGAGGTCTACATGTCCCCTTGCAGATGCCACAGAAAGAGAGTTTCAAAACTGCGCTCTCAAAAGGAGTGTTCAACTCCGTGAGTTGAATGCAGTCATCACAGAGAAGCTTCTGAGAATGCTTCTATCTAGTATTTAGGTGAAGATATTTCCTTTTCCACCACAAACCACAAAGCCCTCCAAACGTCCACTTGCAGATTCTAGAAAAAGAGTGTTTCATAGCTGCTCTTTCCAAAGGAAAGTTCAACTCTGGGAGTTGAATACAAACATCACCAAAAAGTTCCTGAGAATGCATCTGTCTAGTTTTTCTATGAAGCTATTCCCTTTACTACCATAGGCCTCAAAGCGCTCCAAATTTCCACTTGCACATTCCACAACAAGAGTGTTTCCAAACTGCTCTATCAATAGGAATGTTCAACTCTGTGAGGTGAATGCAATCATCACAAAGCAGTTTCTGAGAATGCTTCCGTTTAGTTAGGTGCAGTTATCCCGTTTCCAACGAAATCCTCAGAGAGGTCCCAATATCCACTTGTAGATTCTACAAAAAGTGTGTCTCAAACCTGCTCCATCCAAAGGAATGTTCAGCTCTGTGGGTTAAACTCAATCATCACAAAGTATTTTCTGAGAATGCTTCTGTCTAGATTTTATGCGAAGATATACCCGTTTCGAACGAAGGCCACAGAGTGGTCCAAATATCCACTTGCAGATCCTACAAAAAGAGTGTTTCAAACCTGAACTATCAAAGGAAGGTTCAACTCTGGGATTTGAATGCAAACATCACCAAGAAGTTTCTGAGAATGCTTCTGTTTAGTTTTTATGTGAAGATATTCCCGTTTCCAAAGACATCTTCGGAGAGGTCCACATATCCACTTGCAGATTCCACAAAAAGAGAGTTTCAACACTGCTCTATCCATAGGAGGGTTCAACTCTGTGAGTTGAATGCAATCATCACAGAGAAGTTTCTGAGAAGGCTTCTCTCCAGTTTTTATGTGACCATAATTCGTTTTCCACCACAGGCCTGAAAGCGCTCCAAATGTCCACTTGCAGACACTACGAAAAGCATGTTTCAGAACTACTCTATGAAAAGCAATGTGAAACTCTGGGAGTTGAACACAAACATCACAGAGAAGTTTCTGAGAATGCTTCTGTTTAGCTTTTCTGTGAAGATTCTCCCGTTTCCAACGAAATCTTCAAAGAGGTCCAAATATCCACTTGCAGATTCCACAGAAAGAGTGTTTGGAAACTGCTGTTTGTAAAGGAACCTTCATCTCTGTGAGTTGAATGCAATCATCACAAAGAAGTTTCTGACAATGCTTCTATCTAGCTTTTACGGGAAGATAATTCCTTTTCCACCACAGGCCTCAAAGCCCTCCAAATGTCCACTTGCAGATTCTGGAAAAAGAGTGTTTCAAAGCTTCTCTCTCGAAAGGAAAGTTCAACTCTGTGAGTTGAATGCAAGCATCACAAAGAAGTTTCTGAGAATGCTACTGTCTAGCTTTTATATGAAGCTATTTCCTTTACTACCATAGGCCTCAAAGCGGTCCATATCTCCACTTGCAGATTCTACACAAAGAGAGTTTCCAAACTGCTCTGTCAAAGGGAATGTTCAACTCTGTGACTTGAATGCAATCATCACAAAGTAGTTTCTGAGAATGCTTCTGTTTAGTTCTGTGCGGTTTATCCCGTTTCCAACGAAATCCTCAGAGAGGCCTAAATATCCACTTGCACATTCTACAAATAGTGTGTTTCGAAACTGCTCCATCCAAAGGAATGTTCAGCTCTGTGAGTTAAACTCAGTCGTCACCAAGAGTTTTCTGTGAATGCTTCTGTTTTAGTTCTGTGCGGGGTATCCCGTTTCCAACGAAATCCTCAGAGAGGTCCAAATATCTACTTGCAGTTTCTGCAGAAAGACCGTTTCAAACCTGAACTATCAAAGAAAGGTTCAACACTGTGGGTTGAATGCAAACATCACGAAGAAGGTTCTGAGAATGCTTCTGTTTAGTTCTGTGCAGTTTATCCCGTTTCCAACGAAATCCTCAGAGAGGACCAAATATCCACTTGCAGTTTCTACAAAAAGAGTGTTTCAAAGCTGAACTATCAAAGAAAGGTTCAGCACTGTGAGTTGAATGCAAACATCACGAAGAGGGTTCTGAGAATGCTTCTGTCTTCTTTTTATAGGAAGTTATTTCCTTTACTACGGTACTCCTCAAAGAGTGCAATTATCCCCTTGCAGTTTCTACAAAAAGAGTGTTTCAAACCTGAACTATCAAAGAAAGGTTCCACACTGTGAGTTGAATGCAGACATCACGAAGAAGGTTCTGAGAATGCTTCTGTTTAGTCAGCTGAAATTATCCCGTTTCCAACGAATTCCTCACAGAGGTCCAAATATGCACTTGCAGATTCTGCAGAAAGTGTGTTTCTAAACTGCTACATCGCAAGGAATGCTCAGCTCTGTGAGTTCAACTCAATCATCCCAAAGAATTTTCTGAGAAAGCTTCTGTCTAGATGTCATGTGAAGATATACCCGTTTCGAACGAAGGACACAGAGTGGTCCAAATATCCACTTGTAGATCCTGCAAAAAGAGTGTTTCAAACGTGAACTTTGAAAGGAAAGTTCAACTCGGGGATTTGAATGCAAACATCACAAAGAAGATTCTGAGACTGCTTCTGTATAGTTTTTATGTGAAGATGATTCCGTTTCCAACGAAATCTTCAAAGAGGTCTACATGTCCCCTTGCAGATGCCACAGAAAGAGAGTTTCAAAACTGCGCTCTCAAAAGGAGTGTTCAACTCCGTGAGTTGAATGCAGTCATCACAGAGAAGCTTCTGAGGATGCTTCTATCTAGTATTTAGGTGAAGATATTTCCTTTTCCACCACAAACCACAAAGCCCTCCAAACGTCCACTTGCAGATTCTAGAAAAAGAGTGTTTCATAGCTGCTCTTTCCAAAGGAAAGTTCAACTCTGGGAGTTGAATACAAACATCACCAAAAAGTTCCTGAGAATGCATCTGTCTAGTTTTTCTATGAAGCTATTCCCTTTACTACCATAGGCCTCAAAGCGCTCCAAATCTCCACTTGCACATTCCACAACAAGAGTGTTTCCAAACTGCTCTATCAATAGGAATGTTCAACTCTGTGAGGTGAATGCAATCATCACAAAGCAGTTTCTGAGAATGCTTCCGTTTAGTTAGGTGCAGTTATCCCGTTTCCAACGAAATCCTCAGAGAGGTCCAAATATCCACTTGTAGATTCTACAAAAAGTGTGTCTCAAACCTGCTCCATCCAAAGGAATGGTCAGCTCTGTGATTTAAACTCAATCATCACAAAGTATTTTCTGAGAATGCTTCTGTCTAGATTTTATGCGAAGATATACCCGTTTCGAACGAAGGCCACAGAGTGGTCCAAATAGCCACTTGCAGATCCTACAGAAAGAGTGTTTCAAACCTGAACTATCAAAGGAAGGTTCAACTCTGGGATTTGAATGCAAACATCACCAAGAAGTTTCTGAGAATGCTTCTGTTTAGTTTTTATGTGAAGATATTCCCGTTTCCAAAGACATCTTCGGAGAGGTCCACATATCCACTTGCAGATTCCACAAAAAGAGAGTTTCAACACTGCTCTATCCATAGGAGGGTTCAACTCTGTGAGTTGAATGCAATCATCACAGAGAAGTTTCTGAGAAGGCTTCTCTCCAGTTTTTATGTGACCATAATTCGTTTTCCACCACAGGCCTGAAAGCGCTCCAAATGTCCACTTGCAGACACTACGAAAAGCATGTTTCAGAACTACTCTATGAAAAGCAACGTGAAACTCTGGGAGTTGAACACAAACATCACAGAGAAGTTTCTGAGAATGCTTCTGTTTTAGTTCTGTGCGTTTTATCCCGTTTCCAACGAAATCCTCAGAGAGGCCCAAATATCCACTTGCAGATTCCACAGAAAGAGTGATTGGAAACTGCTGTTTGAAAAGGAACCTTCAACTCTGTGAGTTGAATGCAATCATCACAAAGAAGTTTCTGACAATGCTTCTGTTTTAGTTCTGTGCGGTTTATCCCGTTTCCAACGAAATCCTCAGAGAGGACCAAACATCCACTTGCAGTTTCTACAAAAAGAGTGTTTCAAAGCTGCACTATCAAAGAAAGGTTCAGCACTGTGAGTTGAATGCAAACATCACGAAGAGGGCTCTGAGAATTCTTCTGTTTAGTTCTGTGCGGTTTATCCCGTTTCCAACGAAATCCTCAGAGAGGACCAAATATCCACTTGCAGTTTCTACAAGAAGAGTGTTTCAAAGCTGAACTATCAAAGAAAGGTTCAGCACTGTGAGTTGAATGCAAACATCACGAAGAGGGTTCTGAGAATGCTTCTGTCTTCTTTCTATAGGAAGTTATTTCCTTTACTACGGTAGGCCTCAAAGAAGTGCAATTATCCCCTTGCAGTTTCTACAAAAAGAGTGTTTCAAACCTGAACTATCAAAGAAAGGTTCCACACTGTGAGTTGAATGCAGACATCACGAAGAAGGTTCTGAGAATGCTTCTGTTTAGTCAGCTGAAATTATCCCGTTTCCAACGAATTCCTCAGAGAGGTCCAAATATGCACTTGCAGATTCTGCAGAAAGTGTGTTTCTAAACTGCTACATCGCAAGGAATGTTCAGCTCTGTGAGTTCCACTCAATCATCCCAAAGAATTTTCTGAGAAAGCTTCTGTCTAGATGTCGTGTGAAGATATACCCGTTTCGAACGAAGGACACAGAGTGGTCCAAATATCCACTTGTAGATCCTGCAAAAAGAGTGTTTCAAACGTGAACTTTGAAAGGAAAGTTCAACTCTGGGATTTGAATGCAAACATCACAAAGAAGATTCTGAGACTGCTTCTGTATAGTTTTTATGTGAAGATGATTCCGTTTCCAACGAAATCTTCAAAGAGGTCTACATGTCCCCTTGCAGATGCCACAGAAAGAGAGTTTCAAAACTGCGCTCTCAAAAGGAGTGTTCAACTCCGTGAGTTGAATGCAGTCATCACAGAGAAGCTTCTGAGAATGCTTCTATCTAGTATTTAGGTGAAGATATTTCCTTTTCCACCACAAACCACAAAGCCCTCCAAACGTCCACTTGCAGATTCTAGAAAAAGAGTGTTTCATAGCTGCTCTTTCCAAAGGAAAGTTCAACTCTGGGAGTTGAATACAAACATCACCAAAAGGTTCCTGAGAATGCATCTGTCTAGTTTTTCTATGAAGCTATTCCCTTTACTACCATAGGCCTCAAAGCGCTCCAAATCTCCACTTGCACATTCCACAACAAGAGTGTTTCCAAACTGCTCTATCAATAGGAATGTTCAACTCTGTGAGGTGAATGCAACCATCACAAAGCAGTTTCTGAGAATGCTTCCGTTTAGTTAGGTGCAGTTATCCCGTTTCCAACGAAATCCTCAGAGAGGTCCAAATATCCACTTGTAGATTCTACAAAAAGTGTGTCTCAAACCTGCTCCATCCAAAGGAATGGTCAGCTCTGTGATTTAAACTCAATCATCACAAAGTATTTTCTGAGAATGCTTCTGTCTAGATTTTATGCGAAGATATACCCGTTTCGAACGAAGGCCACAGAGTGGTCCAAATAGCCACTTGCAGATCCTACAGAAAGAGTGTTTCAAACCTGAACTATCAAAGGAAGGTTCAACTCTGGGATTTGAATGCAAACATCACCAAGAAGTTTCTGAGAATGCTTCTGTTTAGTTTTTATGTGAAGATATTCCCGTTTCCAAAGACATCTTCGGAGAGGTCCACATATCCACTTGCAGATTCCACAAAAAGAGAGTTTCAACACTGCTCTATCCATAGGAGGGTTCAACTCTGTGAGTTGAATGCAATCATCACAGAGAAGTTTCTGAGAAGGCTTCTCTCCAGTTTTTATGTGACCATAATTCGTTTTCCACCACAGGCCTGAAAGCGCTCCAAATGTCCACTTGCAGACACTACGAAAAGCATGTTTCAGAACTACTCTATGAAAAGCAACGTGAAACTCTGGGAGTTGAACACAAACATCACAGAGAAGTTTCTGAGAATGCTTCTGTTTTAGTTCTGTGCGTTTTATCCCGTTTCCAACGAAATCCTCAGAGAGGCCCAAATATCCACTTGCAGATTCCACAGAAAGAGTGATTGGAAACTGCTGTTTGAAAAGGAACCTTCAACTCTGTGAGTTGAATGCAATCATCACAAAGAAGTTTCTGACAATGCTTCTGTTTTAGTTCTGTGCGGTTTATCCCGTTTCCAACGAAATCCTCAGAGAGGACCAAACATCCACTTGCAGTTTCTACAAAAAGAGTGTTTCAAAGCTGCACTATCAAAGAAAGGTTCAGCACTGTGAGTTGAATGCAAACATCACGAAGAGGGCTCTGAGAATTCTTCTGTTTAGTTCTGTGCGGTTTATCCCGTTTCCAACGAAATCCTCAGAGAGGACCAAATATCCACTTGCAGTTTCTACAAGAAGAGTGTTTCAAAGCTGAACTATCAAAGAAAGGTTCAGCACTGTGAGTTGAATGCAAACATCACGAAGAGGGTTCTGAGAATGCTTCTGTCTTCTTTCTATAGGAAGTTATTTCCTTTACTACGGTAGGCCTCAAAGAAGTGCAATTATCCCCTTGCAGTTTCTACAAAAAGAGTGTTTCAAACCTGAACTATCAAAGAAAGGTTCCACACTGTGAGTTGAATGCAGACATCACGAAGAAGGTTCTGAGAATGCTTCTGTTTAGTCAGCTGAAATTATCCCGTTTCCAACGAATTCCTCAGAGAGGTCCAAATATGCACTTGCAGATTCTGCAGAAAGTGTGTTTCTAAACTGCTACATCGCAAGGAATGTTCAGCTCTGTGAGTTCCACTCAATCATCCCAAAGAATTTTCTGAGAAAGCTTCTGTCTAGATGTCGTGTGAAGATATACCCGTTTCGAACGAAGGACACAGAGTGGTCCAAATATCCACTTGTAGATCCTGCAAAAAGAGTGTTTCAAACGTGAACTTTGAAAGGAAAGTTCAACTCTGGGATTTGAATGCAAACATCACAAAGAAGATTCTGAGACTGCTTCTGTATAGTTTTTATGTGAAGATGATTCCGTTTCCAACGAAATCTTCAAAGAGGTCTACATGTCCCCTTGCAGATGCCACAGAAAGAGAGTTTCAAAACTGCGCTCTCAAAAGGAGTGTTCAACTCCGTGAGTTGAATGCAGTCATCACAGAGAAGCTTCTGAGAATGCTTCTATCTAGTATTTAGGTGAAGATATTTCCTTTTCCACCACAAACCACAAAGCCCTCCAAACGTCCACTTGCAGATTCTAGAAAAAGAGTGTTTCATAGCTGCTCTTTCCAAAGGAAAGTTCAACTCTGGGAGTTGAATACAAACATCACCAAAAAGTTCCTGAGAATGCATCTGTCTAGTTTTTCTATGAAGCTATTCCCTTTACTACCATAGGCCTCAAAGCGCTCCAAATCTCCACTTGCACATTCCACAACAAGAGTGTTTCCAAACTGCTCTATCAATAGGAATGTTCAACTCTGTGAGGTGAATGCAATCATCACAAAGCAGTTTCTGAGAATGCTTCCGTTTAGTTAGGTGCAGTTATCCCGTTTCCAACGAAATCCTCAGAGAGGTCCAAATATCCACTTGTAGATTCTACAAAAAGTGTGTCTCAAACCTGCTCCATCCAAAGGAATGGTCAGCTCTGTGATTTAAACTCAATCATCACAAAGTATTTTCTGAGAATGCTTCTGTCTAGATTTTATGCGAAGATATACCCGTTTCGAACGAAGGCCACAGAGTGGTCCAAATAGCCACTTGCAGATCCTACAGAAAGAGTGTTTCAAACCTGAACTATCAAAGGAAGGTTCAACTCTGGGATTTGAATGCAAACATCACCAAGAAGTTTCTGAGAATGCTTCTGTTTAGTTTTTATGTGAAGATATTCCCGTTTCCAAAGACATCTTCGGAGAGGTCCACATATCCACTTGCAGATTCCACAAAAAGAGAGTTTCAACACTGCTCTATCCATAGGAGGGTTCAACTCTGTGAGTTGAATGCAATCATCACAGAGAAGTTTCTGAGAAGGCTTCTCTCCAGTTTTTATGTGACCATAATTCGTTTTCCACCACAGGCCTGAAAGCGCTCCAAATGTCCACTTGCAGACACTACGAAAAGCATGTTTCAGAACTACTCTATGAAAAGCAACGTGAAACTCTGGGAGTTGAACACAAACATCACAGAGAAGTTTCTGAGAATGCTTCTGTTTTAGTTCTGTGCGTTTTATCCCGTTTCCAACGAAATCCTCAGAGAGGCCCAAATATCCACTTGCAGATTCCACAGAAAGAGTGATTGGAAACTGCTGTTTGAAAAGGAACCTTCAACTCTGTGAGTTGAATGCAATCATCACAAAGAAGTTTCTGACAATGCTTCTGTTTTAGTTCTGTGCGGTTTATCCCGTTTCCAACGAAATCCTCAGAGAGGACCAAACATCCACTTGCAGTTTCTACAAAAAGAGTGTTTCAAAGCTGCACTATCAAAGAAAGGTTCAGCACTTGTGAGTTGAATGCAAACATCACGAAGAGGGCTCTGAGAATTCTTCTGTTTAGTTCTGTGCGGTTTATCCCGTTTCCAACGAAATCCTCAGAGAGGACCAAATATCCACTTGCAGTTTCTACAAGAAGAGTGTTTCAAAGCTGAACTATCAAAGAAAGGTTCAGCACTGTGAGTTGAATGCAAACATCACGAAGAGGGTTCTGAGAATGCTTCTGTCTTCTTTCTATAGGAAGTTATTTCCTTTACTACGGTAGGCCTCAAAGAAGTGCAATTATCCCCTTGCAGTTTCTACAAAAAGAGTGTTTCAAACCTGAACTATCAAAGAAAGGTTCCACACTGTGAGTTGAATGCAGACATCACGAAGAAGGTTCTGAGAATGCTTCTGTTTAGTCAGCTGAAATTATCCCGTTTCCAACGAATTCCTCAGAGAGGTCCAAATATGCACTTGCAGATTCTGCAGAAAGTGTGTTTCTAAACTGCTACATCGCAAGGAATGTTCAGCTCTGTGAGTTCCACTCAATCATCCCAAAGAATTTTCTGAGAAAGCTTCTGTCTAGATGTCGTGTGAAGATATACCCGTTTCGAACGAAGGACACAGAGTGGTCCAAATATCCACTTGTAGATCCTGCAAAAAGAGTGTTTCAAACGTGAACTTTGAAAGGAAAGTTCAACTCTGGGATTTGAATGCAAACATCACAAAGAAGATTCTGAGACTGCTTCTGTATAGTTTTTATGTGAAGATGATTCCGTTTCCAATGAAATCTTCAAAGAGGTCTACATGTCCCCTTGCAGATGCCACAGAAAGAGAGTTTCAAAACTGCGCTCTCAAAAGGAGTGTTCAACTCCGTGAGTTGAATGCAGTCATCACAGAGAAGCTTCTGAGAATGCTTCTATGTAGTATTTAGGTGAAGATATTTCCTTTTCCACCACAAACCACAAAGCCCTCCAAACGTCCACTTGCAGATTCTAGAAAAAGAGTGTTTCATATCTGCTCTTTCCAAAGGAAAGTTCAACTCTGGGAGTTGAATACAAACATCACCAAAAAGTTCCTGAGAATGCATCTGTCTAGTTTTTCTATGAAGCTATTCCCTTTACTACCATAGGCCTCAAAGCGCTCCAAATCTCCACTTGCACATTCCACAACAAGAGTGTTTCCAAACTGCTCTATCAATAGGAATGTTCAACTCTGTGAGGTGAATGCAATCATCACAAAGCAGTTTCTGAGAATGCTTCCGTTTAGTTAGGTGCAGTTATCCCGTTTCCAACGAAATCCTCAGAGAGGTCCAAATATCCACTTGTAGATTCTACAAAAAGTGTGTCTCAAACCTGCTCCATCCAAAGGAATGTTCAGCTCTGTGATTTAAACTCAATCATCACAAAGTATTTTCTGAGAATGCTTCTGTCTAGATTTTATGCGAAGATATACCCGTTTCGAACGAAGGCCACAGAGTGGTCCAAATAGCCACTTGCAGATCCTACAAAAAGAGTGTTTCAAACCTGAACTATCAAAGGAAGGTTCAACTCTGGGATTTGAATGCAAACATCACCAAGAAGTTTCTGAGAATGCTTCTGTTTAGTTTTTATGTGAAGATATTCCCGTTTCCAAAGACATCTTCGGAGAGGTCCACATATCCACTTGCAGATTCCACAAAAAGAGAGTTTCAACACTGCTCTATCCATAGGAGGGTTCAACTCTGTGAGTTGAATGCAATCATCACAGAGAAGTTTCTGAGAAGGCTTCTCTCCAGGTTTTATGGGACCATAAATCGTTTTCCACCACAGGCCTGAAAGCGCTCCAAATGTCCACTTGCAGACACTACGAAAAGCATGTTTCAGAACTACTCTATGAAAGGCAATCTGAAATTCTGGGAGTTGAACACAAACATCACAGAGAAGTTTCTGAGAATGCTTCTGTTTAGCTTTTCTGTGAAGATTCTCCCGTTTCCAACGAAATCTTCAAAGAGGTCCAAATATCCACTTGCAGATTCCACAGAAAGAGTGATTGGAAACTGCTCTTTGAAAAGGAACCTTCAACTCTGTGAGTTGAATGCAATCATCACAAAGAAGTTTCTGACAATGCTTCTATCTAGCTTTTACGGGAAGATAATTCCTTTTCCACCACAGGCCTCAAAGCCCTCCAAATGTCCACTTGCAGATTCTGGAAAAAGAGTGTTTCAAAGCTTCTCTCTCGAAAGGAAAGTTCAACTCTGTGAGTTGAATGCAAGCATCACAAAGAAGTTTCTGAGAATGCTACTGTCTAGCTTTTATATGAAGCTATTTCCTTTACTACCATAGGCCTCAAAGCGGTCCATATCTCCACTTGCAGATTCTACACAAAGAGAGTTTCCAAACTGCTCTGTCAAAGGGAATGTTCAACTCTGTGACTTGAATGCAATCATCACAAAGTAGTTTCTGAGAATGCTTCTGTTTATTTCTGTGCGGTTTATCCCGTTTACAGCGAAATCCTCAGAGAGGCCCAAATATCCACTTGCACATTCTACAAATAGTGTGTTTTGAAACTGCTCCAACCAAAGGAATGTTCAGCTCTGTGAGTTAAACTCAGTCGTCACCAAGAGTTTTCTGTGAATGCTTCTGTTTTAGTTCTGTGCGGGTTATCCCGTTTCCAACGAAATCCTCAGAGAGGTCCAAATATCTACTTGCAGTTTCTACAGAAAGACCGTTTCAAACCTGAACTATCAAAGAAAGGTTCAACACTGTGAGTTGAATGCAAACATCACGAAGAAGGTTCTGAGAATGCTTCTGTTTAGTTCTGTGCAGTTTATCCCGTTTCCAACGAAATCCTCAGAGAGGACCAAATATCCACTTGCAGTTTCTACAAAAAGAGTGTTTCAAAGCTGAACTATCAAAGAAAGGTTCAGCACTGTGAGTTGAATGCAAACATCACGAAGAGGGTTCTGAGAATGCTTCTGTCTTCTTTTTATAGGAAGTTATTTCCTTTACTACGGTACTCCTCAAAGAGTGCAATTATCCCCTTGCAGTTTCTACAAAAAGAGTGTTTCAAACCTGAACTATCAAAGAAAGGTTCCACACTGTGAGTTGAATGCAGACATCACGAAGAAGGTTCTGAGAATGCTTCTGTTTAGTCAGCTGAAATTATCCCGTTTCCAACGAATTCCTCACAGAGGTCCAAATATGCACTTGCAGATTCTGCAGAAAGTGTGTTTCTAAACTGCTACATCGCAAGGAATGCTCAGCTCTGTGAGTTCAACTCAATCATCCCAAAGAATTTTCTGAGAAAGCTTCTGTCTAGATGTCATGTGAAGATATACCCGTTTCGAACGAAGGACACAGAGTGGTCCAAATATCCACTTGTAGATCCTGCAAAAAGAGTGTTTCAAACGTGAACTTTGAAAGGAAAGTTCAACTCGGGGATTTGAATGCAAACATCACAAAGAAGATTCTGAGACTGCTTCTGTGTAGTTTTTATGTGAAGATGATTCCGTTTCCAACGAAATCTTCAAAGAGGTCTACATGTCCCCTTGCAGATGCCACAGAAAGAGAGTTTCAAAACTGCGCTCTCAAAAGGAGTGTTCAACTCCCGTGAGTTGAATGCAGTCATCACAGAGAAGCTTCTGAGGATGCTTCTATCTAGTATTTAGGTGAAGATATTTCCTTTTCCACCACAAACCACAAAGCCCTCCAAACGTCCACTTGCAGATTCTAGAAAAACAGTGTTTCATAGCTGCTCTTTCCAAAGGAAAGTTCAACTCTGGGAGTTGAATACAAACATCACCAAAAAGTTCCTGAGAATGCATCTGTCTAGTTTTTCTATGAAGCTATTCCCTTTACTACCATAGGCCTCAAAGCGCTCCAAATCTCCACTTGCACATTCCACAACAAGAGTGTTTCCAAACTGCTCTATCAATAGGAATGTTCAACTCTGTGAGGTGAATGCAATCATCACAAAGCAGTTTCTGAGAATGCTTCCGTTTAGTTAGGTGCAGTTATCCCGTTTCCAACGAAATCCTCAGAGAGGTCCAAATATCCACTTGTAGATTCTACAAAAGGTGTGTCTCAAACCTGCTCCATCCAAAGGAATGTTCAGCTCTGTGAGTTAAACTCAATCATCACAAAGTATTTTCTGAGAATGCTTCTGTCTAGATTTTATGCGAAGATATACCCGTTTCGAACGAAGGCCACAGAGTGGTCCAAATATCCACTTGCAGATCCTACAAAAAGAGTGTTTCAAACCTGAACTATCAAAGGAAGGTTCAACTCTGGGATTTGAATGCAAACATCACCAAGAAGTTTCTGAGAATGCTTCTGTTTAGTTTTTATGTGAAGATATTCCCGTTTCCAAAGACATCTTCGGAGAGGTCCACATATCCACTTGCAGATTCCACAAAAAGAGAGTTTCAACACTGCTCTATCCATAGGAGGGTTCAACTCTGTGAGTTGAATGCAATCATCACAGAGAAGTTTCTGAGAAGGCTTCTCTCCAGTTTTTATGTGACCATAATTCGTTTTCCACCACAGGCCTGAAAGCGCTCCAAATGTCCACTTGTAGACACTACGAAAAGCATGTTTCAGAACTACTCTATGAAAAGCAATGTGAAACTCTGGGAGTTGAACACAAACATCACAGAGAAGTTTCTGAGAATGCTTCTGTTTAGCTTTCCTGTGAAGATTCTCCCGTTTCCAACGAAATCTTCAAAATAGGTCCAAATATCCACTTGCAGATTCCACACAAAGAGTGATTGGAAACTGCTCTTTGAAAAGGAACCTTCAACTCTGTGAGTTGAATGCAATCATCACAAAGAAGTTTCTGACAATGCTTCTATCTAGCTTTTACGGGAAGATAATTCCTTTTCCACCACAGGCCTCAAAGCCCTCCAAATGTCCACTTGCAGATTCTGGAAAAAGAGTGTTTCAAAGCTTCTCTCTCGAAAGGAAAGTTCAACTCTGTGAGTTGAATGCAAGCATCACAAAGAAGTTTCTGAGAATGCTACTGTCTAGCTTTTATATGAAGCTATTTCCTTTACTACCATAGGCCTCAAAGCGGTCCATATCTCCACTTGCAGATTCTACACAAAGAGAGTTTCCAAACTGCTCTGTCAAAGGGAATGTTCAACTCTGTGACTTGAATGCAATCATCACAAAGTAGTTTCTGAGAATGCTTCTGTTTAGTTCTGTGCGGTTTATCCCGTTTCCAACGAAATCCTCAGAGAGGCCTAAATATCCACTTGCACATTCTACAAATAGTGTGTTTCGAAACTGCTCCATCCAAAGGAATGTTCAGCTCTGTGAGTTAAACTCAGTCGTCACCAAGAGTTTTCTGTGAATGCTTCTGTTTTAGTTCTGTGCGGGTTATCCCGTTTCCAACGAAATCCTCAGAGCGGTCCAAATATCTACTTGCAGTTTCTGCAGAAAGACCGTTTCAAACCTGAACTATCAAAGAAAGGTTCAACACTGTGAGTTGAATGCAAACATCACGAAGAAGGTTCTGAGAATGCTTCTGTTTAGTTCTGTGCAGTTTATCCCGTTTCCAACGAAATCCTCAGAGAGGACCAAATATCCACTTGCAGTTTCTACAAAAAGAGTGTTTCAAAGCTGAACTATCAAAGAAAGGTTCAGCACTGTGAGTTGAATGCAAA
Organism: Homo sapiens; assembly: GCF_000001405.40. Taxonomy (NCBI): domain Eukaryota; kingdom Metazoa; phylum Chordata; class Mammalia; order Primates; family Hominidae; genus Homo; species Homo sapiens. The sequence continues at coordinate 23,999,734 of NC_000017.11, read as the reverse complement.
CATCACGAAGAGGGTTCTGAGAATGCTTCTGTCTTCTTTTTATAGGAAGTTATTTCCTTTACTACGGTACTCCTCAAAGAGTGCAATTATCCCCTTGCAGTTTCTACAAAAAGAGTGTTTCAAACCTGAACTATCAAAGAAAGGTTCCACACTGTGAGTTGAATGCAGACATCACGAAGAAGGTTCTGAGAATGCTTCTGTTTAGTCAGCTGAAATTATCCCGTTTCCAACGAATTCCTCACAGAGGTCCAAATATGCACTTGCAGATTCTGCAGAAAGTGTGTTTCTAAACTGCTACATCGCAAGGAATGCTCAGCTCTGTGAGTTCAACTCAATCATCCCAAAGAATTTTCTGAGAAAGCTTCTGTCTAGATGTCATGTGAAGATATACCCGTTTCGAACGAAGGACACAGAGTGGTCCAAATATCCACTTGTAGATCCTGCAAAAAGAGTGTTTCAAACGTGAACTTTGAAAGGAAAGTTCAACTCGGGGATTTGAATGCAAACATCACAAAGAAGATTCTGAGACTGCTTCTGTATAGTTTTTATGTGAAGATGATTCCGTTTCCAACGAAATCTTCAAAGAGGTCTACATGTCCCCTTGCGGATGTCACAGAAAGAGAGTTTCAAAACTGCGCTCTCAAAAGGAGTGTTCAACTCCGTGAGTTGAATGCAGTCATCACAGAGAAGCTTCTGAGAATGCTTCTCTCTAGTATTTAGGTGAAGATATTTCCTTTTCCACCACAAACCACAAAGCCCTCCAAACGTCCACTTGCAGATTCTAGAAAAAGAGTGTTTCATAGCTGCTCTTTCCAAAGGAAAGTTCAACTCTGGGAGTTGAATACAAACATCACCAAAAAGTTCCTGAGAATGCATCTGTCTAGTTTTTCTATGAAGCTATTCCCTTTACTACCATAGGCCTCAAAGCGCTCCAAATCTCCACTTGCACATTCCACAACAAGAGTGTTTCCAAACTGCTCTATCAATAGGAATGTTCAACTCTGTGAGGTGAATGCAATCGTCACAAAGCAGTTTCTGAGAATGCTTCCGTTTAGTTAGGTGCAGTTATCCCGTTTCCAACGAAATCCTCAGAGAGGTCCAAATATCCACTTGTAGATTCTACAAAAAGTGTGTCTCAAACCTGCTCCATCCAAAGGAATGTTCAGCTCTGTGAGTTCAACTCAATCATCACAAAGTATTTTCTGAGAATGCTTCTGTCTAGATTTTATGCGAAGATGTACCCGTTTCGAACGAAGGCCACAGAGTGGTCCAAATAGCCACTTGCAGATCCTACAAAAAGAGTGTTTCAAACCTGAACTGTCAAAGGAAGGTTCAACTCTGGGATTTGAATGCAAACATCACCAAGAAGTTTCTGAGAATGCTTCTGTTTAGTTTTTATGTGAAGATATTCCCGTTTCCAAAGACATCTTCGGAGAGGTCCACATATCCACTTGCAGATTCCACAAAAAGAGAGTTTCAACACTGCTCTATCCATAGGAGGGTTCAACTCTGTGAGTTGAATGCAATCATCACAGAGAAGTTTCTGAGAAGGCTTCTCTCCAGTTTTTATGGGACCATAATTCGTTTTCCACCACAGGCCTGAAAGCGCTCCAAATGTCCACTTGCAGATACTACGAAAAGCATGTTTCAGAACTACTCTATGAAAAGCAATGTGAAACTCTGGGAGTTGAACACAAACATCACAGAGAAGTTTCTGAGAATGCTTCTGTTTAGCTTTTCTGTGAAGATTCTCCCGTTTCCAACGAAATCTTCAAAGAGGTCCAAATATCCACTTGCAGATTCCACAGAAAGAGTGTTTGGAAACTGCTGTTTGTAAAGGAACCTTCATTCTCTGTGAGTTGAATGCAATCATCACAAAGAAGTTTCTGACAATGCTTCTATCTAGCTTTTACGGGAAGATAATTCCTTTTCCACCACAGGCCTCAAAGCCCTCCAAATGTCCACTTGCAGATTCTGGAAAAAGAGTGTTTCAAAGCTTCTCTCTCAAAAGGAAAGTTCAACTCTGTGAGTTGAATGCAAGCATCACAAAGAAGTTTCTGAGAATGCTACTGTCTAGCTTTTATATGAAGCTATTTCCTTTACTACCATAGGCCTCAAAGCGGTCCATATCTCCACTTGCAGATTTTACACAAAGAGAGTTTCCAAACTGCTCTGTCAAAGGGAATGTTCAACTCTGTGACTTGAATGCAATCATCACAAAGTAGTTTCTGAGAATGCTTCTGTTTAGTTCTGTGCGGTTTATCCCGTTTCCAACGAAATCCTCAGAGAGGCCCAAATATCCACTTGCACATTCTACAAATAGTGTGTTTCGAAACTGCTCCATCCAAAGGAATGTTCAGCTCTGTGAGTTAAACTCAGTCGTCACCAAGAGTTTTCTGTGAATGCTTCTGTTTTAGTTCTGTGCGGGTTATCCCGTTTCCAACGAAATCCTCAGAGAGGTCCAAATATCTACTTGCAGTTTCTACAGAAAGACCGTTTCAAACCTGAACTATCAAAGAAAGGTTCCACACTGTGAGTTGAATGCAAACATCACGAAGAAGGTTCTGAGAATGCTTCTGTTTTAGTTCTGTGCGGTTTATCCCGTTTCCAACGAAATCCTCAGCAGAGGACCAAACATCCACTTGCAGTTTCTACAAAAAGAGTGTTTCAAAGCTGCACTATCAAAGAAAGGTTCAGCACTGTGAGTTGAATGCAAACATCACGAAGAGGGCTCTGAGAATTCTTCTGTCTTCTTTCTATAGGAAGTTATTTCCTTTACTACGGTAGGCCTCAAAGAAGTGCAATTATCCCCTTGCAGTTTCTACAAAAAGAGTGTTTCAAACCTGAACTATCAAAGAAAGGTTCCACACTGTGAGTTGAATGCAGACATCACGAAGAAGTTCTGAGAATGCTTCTGTTTAGTCAGCTGAAATTATCCCGTTTCCAACGAATTCCTCAGAGAGGTCCAAATATGCACTTGCAGATTCTGCAGAAAGTGTGTTTCTAAACTGCTACATCGCAAGGAATGTTCAGCTCTGTGAGTTCCACTCAATCATCCCAAAGAATTTTCTGAGAAAGCTTCTGTCTAGATGTCATGTGAAGATATACCCGTTTCGAACGAAGGACACAGAGTGGTCCAAATATCCACTTGTAGATCCTGCAAAAAGAGTGTTTCAAACGTGAACTTTGAAAGGAAAGTTCAACTCTGGGATTTGAATGCAAACATCACGAAGAAGATTCTGAGACTGCTTCTGTATAGTTTTTATGTGAAGATGATTCCGTTTCCAAAGAAATCTTCAAAGAGGTCTACATGTCCCCTTGCAGATGCCACAGAAAGAGAGTTTCAAAACTGCGCTCTCAAAAGGAGTGTTCAACTCCGTGAGTTGAATGCAGTCATCACAGAGAAGCTTCTGAGAATGCTTCTATCTAGTATTTAGGTGAAGATATTTCCTTTTCCACCACAAACCACAAAGCCCTCCAAACGTCCACTTGCAGATTCTAGAAAAAGAGTGTTTCATAGCTGCTCTTTCCAAAGGAAAGTTCAACTCTGGGAGTTGAATACAAACATCACCAAAAAGTTCCTGAGAATGCATCTGTCTAGTTTTTCTATGAAGCTATTCCCTTTACTACCATAGGCCTCAAAGCGCTCCAAATCTCCACTTGCACATTCCACAAGAAGAGTGTTTCCAAACTGCTCTATCAATAGGAATGTTCAACTCTGTGAGGTGAATGCAATCATCACAAAGCAGTTTACTGAGAATGCTTCCGTTTAGTTAGGTGCAGTTATCCCGTTTCCAACGAAATCCTCAGAGAGGTCCAAATATCCACTTGTAGATTCTACAAAAGGTGTGTCTCAAACCTGCTCCATCCAAAGGAATGTTCAGCTCTGTGAGTTAAACTCAATCATCACAAAGTATTTTCTGAGAATGCTTCTGTCTAGATTTTATGCGAAGATGTACCCGTTTCGAACGAAGGCCACAGAGTGGTCCAAATATCCACTTGCAGATCCTACAAAAAGTGTGTTTCAAACCTGAACTATCAAAGGAAGGTTGAACTCTGGGATTTGAATGCAAACATCACCAAGAAGTTTCTGAGAATGCTTCTGTTTAGTTTTTATCTGAAGATATTCCCGTTTCCAAAGACATCTTCGGAGAGGTCCACATATCCGCTTGCAGATTCCACAAAAAGAGAGTTTCAACACTGCTCTATCCATAGGAGGGTTCAACTCTGTGAGTTGAATGCAATCATCACAGAGAAGTTTCTGAGAAGGCTTCTCTCCAGTTTTTATGTTACCATAATTCGTTTTCCACCACAGGCCTGAAAGCCCTCCAAATGTCCACTTGCAGACACTACGAAAAGCATGTTTCAGAACTACTCTATGAGAAGCAATGTGAAACTCTGGGAGTTGAACACAAACATCACAGAGAAGTTTCTGAGAATGCTTCTGTTTAGCTTTTCTGTGAAGATTCTCCCGTTTCCAACGAAATCTTCAAAGAGGTCCAAATATCCACTTGCAGATTCCACAGAAAGAGTGATTGGAAACTGCTCTTTGAAAAGGAACCTTCAACTCTGTGACTTGAATGCAATCATCACAAAGAAGTTTCTGACAATGCTTCTATCTAGCTTTTACGGGAAGATAATTCCTTTTCCACCACAGGCCTCAAAGCCCTCCAAATGTCCACTTGCAGATTCTGGAAAAAGAGTGTTTCAAAGCTTCTCTCTCGAAAGGAAAGTTCAACTCTGTGAGTTGAATGCAAGCATCACAAAGAAGTTTCTGAGAATGCTACTGTCTAGCTTTTATATGAAGCTATTTCCTTTACTACCATAGGCCTCAAAGCGGTCCATATCTCCACTTGCAGATTCTACACAAAGAGAGTTTCCAAACTGCTCTGTCAAAGGGAATGTTCAACTCTGTGACTTGAATGCAATCATCACAAAGTAGTTTCTGAGAATGCTTCTGTTTAGTTCTGTGCGGTTTATCCCGTTTCCAACGAAATCCTCAGAGAGGCCTAAATATCCACTTGCACATTCTACAAATAGTGTGTTTCGAAACTGCTCCATCCAAAGGAATGTTCAGCTCTGTGAGTTAAACTCAGTCGTCACCAAGAGTTTTCTGTGAATGCTTCTGTTTTAGTTCTGTGCGGGTTATCCCGTTTCCAACGAAATCCTCAGAGAGGTCCAAATATCTACTTGCAGTTTCTACAGAAAGACCGTTTCAAACCTGAACTATCAAAGAAAGGTTCAACACTGTGAGTTGAATGCAAACATCACGAAGAAGGTTCTGAGAATGCTTCTGTTTAGTTCTGTGCAGTTTATCCCGTTTCCAACGAAATGCTCAGAGAGGACCAAATATCCACTTGCAGTTTCTACAAAAAGAGTGTTTCAAAGCTGAACTATCAAAGAAAGGTTCAGCACTGTGAGTTGAATGCAAACATCACGAAGAGGGTTCTGAGAATGCTTCTGTCTTCTTTTTATAGGAAGTTATTTCCTTTACTACGGTACTCCTCAAAGAGTGCAATGATCCCCTTGCAGTTTCTACAGAAAGAGTGTTTCAAACCTGAACTATCAAAGAAAGGTTCCACACTGTGAGTTGAATGCAGACATCACGAAGAAGGTTCTGAGAATGCTTCTGTTTAGTCAGCTGAAATTATCCCGTTTCCAACGAATTCCTCACAGAGGTCCAAATATGCACTTGCAGATTCTGCAGAAAGTGTGTTTCTAAACTGCTACATCGCAAGGAATGCTCAGCTCTGTGAGTTCAACTCAATCATCCCAAAGAATTTTCTGAGAAAGCTTCTGTCTAGATGTCATGTGAAGATATACCCGTTTCGAACGAAGGACACAGAGTGGTCCAAATATCCACTTGTAGATCCTGCAAAAAGAGTGTTTCAAACGTGAACTTTGAAAGGAAAGTTCAACTCGGGGATTTGAATGCAAACATCACAAAGAAGATTCTGAGACTGCTTCTGTATAGTTTTTATGTGAAGATGATTCCGTTTCCAACGAAATCTTCAAAGAGGTCTACTTATCCCCTTGCAGATGCCACAGAAAGAGAGTTTCAAAACTGCACTCTCAAAAGGAGTGTTCAACTCCGTGAGTTGAATGCAGTCATCACAGAGAAGCTTCTGAGAATGCTTCTATCTAGTATTTAGGTGAAGATATTTCCTTTTCCACCACAAACCACAAAGCCCTCCAAACGTCCACTTGCAGATTCTAGAAAAAGAGTGTTTCATAGCTGCTCTTTCCAAAGGAAAGTTCAACTCTGGGAGTTGAATACAAACATCACCAAAAAGTTCCTGAGAATGCATCTGTCTAGTTTTTCTATGAAGCTATTCCCTTTACTACCATAGGCCTCAAAGCGCTCCAAATCTCCACTTGCACATTCCACAACAAGAGTGTTTCCAAACTGCTCTATCAATAGGAATGTTCAACTCTGTGAGGTGAATGCAATCATCACAAAGCAGTTTCTGAGAATGCTTCCGTTTAGTTACGTGCAGTTATCCCGTTTCCAACGAAATCCTCAGAGAGGTCCCAATATCCACTTGCAGATTCTACAAAAAGTGTGTCTCAAACCTGCTCCATCCAAAGGAATGTTCAGCTCTGTGAGTTCAACTCAATCATCACAAAGTATTTTCTGAGAATGCTTCTGTCTAGATTTTATGCGAAGATATACCCGTTTCGAACGAAGGCCACAGAGTGGTCCAAATAGCCACTTGCAGATCCTACAGAAAGAGTGTTTCAAACCTGAACTATCAAAGGAAGGTTCAACTCTGGGATTTGAATGCAAACATCACCAAGAAGTTTCTGAGAATGCTTCTGTTTAGTTTTTATGTGAAGATATTCCCGTTTCCAAAGACATCTTCGGAGAGGTCCACATATCCACTTGCAGATTCCACAAAAAGAGAGTTTCAACACTGCTCTATCCATAGGAGGGTTCAACTCTGTGAGTTGAATGCAATCATCACAGAGAAGTTTCTGAGAAGGCTTCTCTCCAGTTTTTATGTGACCATAATTCGTTTTCCACCACAGGCCTGAAAGCGCTCCAAATGTCCACTTGCAGACACTACGAAAAGCATGTTTCAGAACTACTCTATGAAAAGCAACGTGAAACTCTGGGAGTTGAACACAAACATCACAGAGAAGTTTCTGAGAATGCTTCTGTTTTAGTTCTGTGCGTTTTATCCCGTTTCCAACGAAATCCTCAGAGAGGCCCAAATATCCACTTGCAGATTCCACAGAAAGAGTGATTGGAAACTGCTGTTTGAAAAGGAACCTTCAACTCTGTGAGTTGAATGCAATCATCACAAAGAAGTTTCTGACAATGCTTCTGTTTTAGTTCTGTGCGGTTTATCCCGTTTCCAACGAAATCCTCAGAGAGGACCAAACATCCACTTGCAGTTTCTACAAAAAGAGTGTTTCAAAGCTGCACTATCAAAGAAAGGTTCAGCACTGTGAGTTGAATGCAAACATCACGAAGAGGGCTCTGAGAATTCTTCTGTTTAGTTCTGTGCGGTTTATCCCGTTTCCAACGAAATCCTCAGAGAGGACCAAATATCCACTTGCAGTTTCTACAAGAAGAGTGTTTCAAAGCTGAACTATCAAAGAAAGGTTCAGCACTGTGAGTTGAATGCAAACATCACGAAGAGGGTTCTGAGAATGCTTCTGTCTTCTTTCTATAGGAAGTTATTTCCTTTACTACGGTAGGCCTCAAAGAAGTGCAATTATCCCCTTGCAGTTTCTACAAAAAGAGTGTTTCAAACCTGAACTATCAAAGAAAGGTTCCACACTGTGAGTTGAATGCAGACATCACGAAGAAGGTTCTGAGAATGCTTCTGTTTAGTCAGCTGAAATTATCCCGTTTCCAACGAATTCCTCAGAGAGGTCCAAATATGCACTTGCAGATTCTGCAGAAAGTGTGTTTCTAAACTGCTACATCGCAAGGAATGTTCAGCTCTGTGAGTTCCACTCAATCATCCCAAAGAATTTTCTGAGAAAGCTTCTGTCTAGATGTCCTGTGAAGATATACCCGTTTCGAACGAAGGACACAGAGTGGTCCAAATATCCACTTGTAGATCCTGCAAAAAGAGTGTTTCAAACGTGAACTTTGAAAGGAAAGTTCAACTCTGGGATTTGAATGCAAACATCACAAAGAAGATTCTGAGACTGCTTCTGTATAGTTTTTATGTGAAGATATTCCGTTTCCAACGAAATCTTCAAAGAGGTCTACATGTCCCCTTGCAGATGCCACAGAAAGAGAGTTTCAAAACTGCGCTCTCAAAAGGAGTGTTCAACTCCGTGAGTTGAATGCAGTCATCACAGAGAAGCTTCTGAGAATGCTTCTATCTAGTATTTAGGTGAAGATATTTCCTTTTCCACCACAAACCACAAAGCCCTCCAAACGTCCACTTGCAGATTCTAGAAAAAGAGTGTTTCATAGCTGCTCTTTCCAAAGGAAAGTTCAACTCTGGGAGTTGAATACAAACATCACCAAAAGGTTCCTGAGAATGCATCTGTCTAGTTTTTCTATGAAGCTATTCCCTTTACTACCATAGGCCTCAAAGCGCTCCAAATCTCCACTTGCACATTCCACAACAAGAGTGTTTCCAAACTGCTCTATCAATAGGAATGTTCAACTCTGTGAGGTGAATGCAATCATCACAAAGCAGTTTCTGAGAATGCTTCCGTTTAGTTAGGTGCAGTTATCCCGTTTCCAACGAAATCCTCAGAGAGGTCCAAATATCCACTTGTAGATTCTACAAAAAGTGTGTCTCAAACCTGCTCCATCCAAAGGAATGGTCAGCTCTGTGATTTAAACTCAATCATCACAAAGTATTTTCTGAGAATGCTTCTGTCTAGATTTTATGCGAAGATATACCCGTTTCGAACGAAGGCCACAGAGTGGTCCAAATAGCCACTTGCAGATCCTACAGAAAGAGTGTTTCAAACCTGAACTATCAAAGGAAGGTTCAACTCTGGGATTTGAATGCAAACATCACCAAGAAGTTTCTGAGAATGCTTCTGTTTAGTTTTTATGTGAAGATATACCCGTTTCCAAAGACATCTTCGGAGAGGTCCACATATCCACTTGCAGATTCCACAAAAAGAGAGTTTCAACACTGCTCTATCCATAGGAGGGTTCAACTCTGTGAGTTGAATGCAATCATCACAGAGAAGTTTCTGAGAAGGCTTCTCTCCAGTTTTTATGTGACCATAATTCGTTTTCCACCACAGGCCTGAAAGCGCTCCAAATGTCCACTTGCAGACACTACGAAAAGCATGTTTCAGAACTACTCTATGAAAAGCAACGTGAAACTCTGGGAGTTGAACACAAACATCACAGAGAAGTTTCTGAGAATGCTTCTGTTTTAGTTCTGTGCGTTTTATCCCGTTTCCAACGAAATCCTCAGAGAGGCCCAAATATCCACTTGCAGATTCCACAGAAAGAGTGATTGGAAACTGCTGTTTGAAAAGGAACCTTCAACTCTGTGAGTTGAATGCAATCATCACAAAGAAGTTTCTGACAATGCTTCTGTTTTAGTTCTGTGCGGTTTATCCCGTTTCCAACGAAATCCTCAGAGAGGACCAAACATCCACTTGCAGTTTCTACAAAAAGAGTGTTTCAAAGCTGCACTATCAAAGAAAGGTTCAGCACTGTGAGTTGAATGCAAACATCACGAAGAGGGCTCTGAGAATTCTTCTGTTTAGTTCTGTGCGGTTTATCCCGTTTCCAACGAAATCCTCAGAGAGGACCAAATATCCACTTGCAGTTTCTACAAGAAGAGTGTTTCAAAGCTGAACTATCAAAGAAAGGTTCAGCACTGTGAGTTGAATGCAAACATCACGAAGAGGGTTCTGAAGAATGCTTCTGTCTTCTTTCTATAGGAAGTTATTTCCTTTACTACGGTAGGCCTCAAAGAAGTGCAATTATCCCCTTGCAGTTTCTACAAAAAGAGTGTTTCAAACCTGAACTATCAAAGAAAGGTTCCACACTGTGAGTTGAATGCAGACATCACGAAGAAGGTTCTGAGAATGCTTCTGTTTAGTCAGCTGAAATTATCCCGTTTCCAACGAATTCCTCAGAGAGGTCCAAATATGCACTTGCAGATTCTGCAGAAAGTGTGTTTCTAAACTGCTACATCGCAAGGAATGTTCAGCTCTGTGAGTTCCACTCAATCATCCCAAAGAATTTTCTGAGAAAGCTTCTGTCTAGATGTCGTGTGAAGATATACCCGTTTCGAACGAAGGACACAGAGTGGTCCAAATATCCACTTGTAGATCCTGCAAAAAGAGTGTTTCAAACGTGAACTTTGAAAGGAAAGTTCAACTCTGGGATTTGAATGCAAACATCACAAAGAAGATTCTGAGACTGCTTCTGTATAGTTTTTATGTGAAGATGATTCCGTTTCCAACGAAATCTTCAAAGAGGTCTACATGTCCCCTTGCAGATGCCACAGAAAGAGAGTTTCAAAACTGCGCTCTCAAAAGGAGTGTTCAACTCCGTGAGTTGAATGCAGTCATCACAGAGAAGCTTCTGAGAATGCTTCTATCTAGTATTTAGGTGAAGATATTTCCTTTTCCACCACAAACCACAAAGCCCTCCAAACGTCCACTTGCAGATTCTAGAAAAAGAGTGTTTCATAGCTGCTCTTTCCAAAGGAAAGTTCAACTCTGGGAGTTGAATACAAACATCACCAAAAGGTTCCTGAGAATGCATCTGTCTAGTTTTTCTATGAAGCTATTCCCTTTACTACCATAGGCCTCAAAGCGCTCCAAATCTCCACTTGCACATTCCACAACAAGAGTGTTTCCAAACTGCTCTATCAATAGGAATGTTCAACTCTGTGAGGTGAATGCAATCATCACAAAGCAGTTTCTGAGAATGCTTCCGTTTAGTTAGGTGCAGTTATCCCGTTTCCAACGAAATCCTCAGAGAGGTCCAAATATCCACTTGTAGATTCTACAAAAAGTGTGTCTCAAACCTGCTCCATCCAAAGGAATGGTCAGCTCTGTGATTTAAACTCAATCATCACAAAGTATTTTCTGAGAATGCTTCTGTCTAGATTTTATGCGAAGATATACCCATTTCGAACGAAGGCCACAGAGTGGTCCAAATATCCACTTGCAGATCCTACAAAAAGAGTGTTTCAAACCTGAACTATCAAAGGAAGGTTCAACTCTGGGATTTGAATGCAAACATCACCAAGAAGTTTCTGAGAATGCTTCTGTTTAGTTTTTATGTGAAGATATTCCCGTTTCCAAAGACATCTTCGGAGAGGTCCACATATCCACTTGCAGATTCCACAAAAAGAGAGTTTCAACACTGCTCTATCCATAGGAGGGTTCAACTCTGTGAGTTGAATGCAATCATCACAGAGAAGTTTCTGAGAAGGCTTCTCTCCAGTTTTTATGTGACCATAATTCGTTTTCCACCACAGGCCTGAAAGCGCTCCAAATGTCCACTTGTAGACACTACGAAAAGCATGTTTCAGAACTACTCTATGAAAAGCAATGTGAAACTCTGGGAGTTGAACACAAACATCACAGAGAAGTTTCTGAGAATGCTTCTGTTTAGCTTTCCTGTGAAGATTCTCCCGTTTCCAACGAAATCTTCAAAATAGGTCCAAATATCCACTTGCAGATTCCACAGAAAGAGTGATTGGAAACTGCTCTTTGAAAAGGAACCTTCAACTCTGTGAGTTGAATGCAATCATCACAAAGAAGTTTCTGACAATGCTTCTATCTAGCTTTTACGGGAAGATAATTCCTTTTCCACCACAGGCCTCAAAGCCCTCCAAATGTCCACTTGCAGATTCTGGAAAAAGAGTGTTTCAAAGCTTCTCTCTCGAAAGGAAAGTTCAACTCTGTGAGTTGAATGCAAGCATCACAAAGAAGTTTCTGAGAATGCTACTGTCTAGCTTTTATATGAAGCTATTTCCTTTACTACCATAGGCCTCAAAGCGGTCCATATCTCCACTTGCAGATTCTACACAAAGAGAGTTTCCAAACTGCTCTGTCAAAGGGAATGTTCAACTCTGTGACTTGAATGCAATCATCACAAAGTAGTTTCTGAGAATGCTTCTGTTTAGTTCTGTGCGGTTTATCCCGTTTCCAACGAAATCCTCAGAGAGGCCTAAATATCCACTTGCACATTCTACAAATAGTGTGTTTCGAAACTGCTCCATCCAAAGGAATGTTCAGCTCTGTGAGTTAAACTCAGTCGTCACCAAGAGTTTTCTGTGAATGCTTCTGTTTTAGTTCTGTGCGGGTTATCCCGTTTCCAACGAAATCCTCAGAGAGGTCCAAATATCTACTTGCAGTTTCTACAGAAAGACCGTTTCAAACCTGAACTATCAAAGAAAGGTTCAACACTGTGAGTTGAATGCAAACATCACGAAGAAGGTTCTGAGAATGCTTCTGTTTAGTTCTGTGCAGTTTATCCCGTTTCCAACGAAATGCTCAGAGAGGACCAAATATCCACTTGCAGTTTCTACAAAAAGAGTGTTTCAAAGCTGAACTATCAAAGAAAGGTTCAGCACTGTGAGTTGAATGCAAACATCACGAAGAGGGTTCTGAGAATGCTTCTGTCTTCTTTTTATAGGAAGTTATTTCCTTTACTATGGTACTCCTCAAAGAGTGCAATTATCCCCTTGCAGTTTCTACAAAAAGAGTGTTTCAAACCTGAACTATCAAAGAAAGGTTCCACACTGTGAGTTGAATGCAGACATCACGAAGAAGGTTCTGAGAATGCTTCTGTTTAGTCAGCTGAAATTATCCCGTTTCCAACGAATTCCTCACAGAGGTCCAAATATGCACTTGCAGATTCTGCAGAAAGTGTGTTTCTAAACTGCTACATCGCAAGGAATGCTCAGCTCTGTGAGTTCAACTCAATCATCCCAAAGAATTTTCTGAGAAAGCTTCTGTCTAGATGTCATGTGAAGATATACCCGTTTCGAACGAAGGACACAGAGTGGTCCAAATATCCACTTGTAGATCCTGCAAAAAGAGTGTTTCAAACGTGAACTTTGAAAGGAAAGTTCAACTCGGGGATTTGAATGCAAACATCACAAAGAAGATTCTGAGACTGCTTCTGTATAGTTTTTATGTGAAGATGATTCCGTTTCCAACGAAATCTTCAAAGAGGTCTACATGTCCCCTTGCAGATGCCACAGAAAGAGAGTTTCAAAACTGCGCTCTCAAAAGGAGTGTTCAACTCTGTGAGTTGAATGCAGTCATCACAGAGAAGCTTCTGAGGATGCTTCTATCTAGTATTTAGGTGAAGATATTTCCTTTTCCACCACAAACCACAAAGCCCTCCAAACGTCCACTTGCAGATTCTAGAAAAAGAGTGTTTCATAGCTGCTCTTTCCAAAGGAAAGTTCAACTCTGGGAGTTGAATACAAACATCACCAAAAAGTTCCTGAGAATGCATCTGCCTTGTTTTTCTATGAAGCTATTCCCTTTACTTCCATAGGCCTCAAAGCGCTCCAAATCTCCACTTGCACATTCCACAACAAGAGTGTTTCCAAACTGCTCTATCAATAGGAATGTTCAACTCTGTGAGGTGAATGCAATCATCACAAAGCAGTTTCTGAGAATGCTTCCGTTTAGTTAGGTGCAGTTATCGCGTTTCCAACGAAATCCTCAGAGAGGTCCAAATATCCACTTGTAGATTCTACAAAAAGTGTGACTCAAACCTGCTCCATCCAAAGGAATGTTCAGCTCTGTGAGTTAAACTCAATCATCACAAAGTATTTTCTGAGAATGCTTCTGTCTAGATTTTATGCGAAGATATACCCGTTTCGAACGAAGGCCACAGAGTGGTCCAAATATCCACTTGCAGATCCTACAAAAAGAGTGTTTCAAACCTGAACTATCAAAGGAAGGTTCAACTCTGGGATTTGAATGCAAACATCACCAAGAAGTTTCTGAGAATGCTTCTGTTTAGTTTTTATGTGAAGATATTCCCGTTTCCAAAGACATCTTCGGAGAGGTCCACATATCCACTTGCAGATTCCACAAAAAGAGAGTTTCAACACTGCTCTATCCATAGGAGGGTTCAACTCTGTGAGTTGAATGCAATCATCACAGAGAAGTTTCTGAGAAGGCTTCTCTCCAGTTTTTATGTGACCATAATTCGTTTTCCACCACAGGCCTGAAAGCGCTCCAAATGTCCACTTGTAGACACTACGAAAAGCATGTTTCAGAACTACTCTATGAAAAGCAATGTGAAACTCTGGGAGTTGAACACAAACATCACAGAGAAGTTTCTGAGAATGCTTCTGTTTAGCTTTCCTGTGAAGATTCTCCCATTTCCAACGAAATCTTCAAAATAGGTCCAAATATCCACTTGCAGATTCCACAGAAAGAGTGATTGGAAACTGCTCTTTGAAAAGGAACCTTCAACTCTGTGAGTTGAATGCAATCATCACAAAGAAGTTTCTGACAATGCTTCTATCTAGCTTTTACGGGAAGATAATTCCTTTTCCACCACAGGCCTCAAAGCCCTCCAAATGTCCACTTGCAGATTCTGGAAAAAGAGTGTTTCAAAGCTTCTCTCTCGAAAGGAAAGTTCAACTCTGTGAGTTGAATGCAAGCATCACAAAGAAGTTTCTGAGAATGCTACTGTCTAGCTTTTATATGAATCTATTTCCTTTACTACCATAGGCCTCAAAGCGGTCCATATCTCCACTTGCAGATTCTACACAAAGAGAGTTTCCAAACTGCTCTGTCAAAGGGAATGTTCAACTCTGTGACTTGAATGCAATCATCACAAAGTAGTTTCTGAGAATGCTTCTGTTTAGTTCTGTGCGGTTTATCCCGTTTCCAACGAAATCCTCAGAGAGGCCCAAATATCCACTTGCACATTCTACAAATAGTGTGTTTCGAAACTGCTCCATTCAAAGGAATGTTCAGCTCTGTGAGTTAAACTCGGTCGTCACCAAGAGTTTTCTGTGAATGCTTCTGTTTAGTTCTGTGCGGTTTATCCCGTTTCCAACGAAATCCTCAGAGAGGTCCAAATATCTACTTGCAGTTTCTACAGAAAGACCGTTTCAAACCTGAACTATCAAAGAAAGGTTCAACACTGTGAGTTGAATGCAAACATCACGAAGAAGGTTCTGAGAATGCTTCTGTTTTAGTTCTGTGGGATTTATCCCGTTTCCAACGAAATCCTCAGAGAGGACCAAATATCCACTTGCAGTTTCTACAAAAAGAGTGTTTCAAAGCTGCACTATCAAAGAAAGGTTCAGCACTGTGAGTTGAATGCAAACATCACGAAGAGGGTTCTGAGAATGCTTCTGTTTAGTTCTGTGCGGATTATCCCGTTTCCAACGAAATCCTCAGAGAGGACCAAATATCCACTTACAGTTTCTACAAGAACAGTGTTTCAAAGCTGAACTATCAAAGAAAGGTTCAGCACTGTGAGTTGAATGCAAACATCACGAAGAGGGTTCTGAGAATGCTTCTGTCTTCTTTCTATAGGAAGTTATTTCCTTTACTACGGTAGGCCTCAAAGAAGTGCAATTATCCCCTTGCAGTTTCTACAAAAAGAGTGTTTCAAACCTGAACTATCAAAGAAAGGTTCCACACTGTGAGTTGAATGCAGACATCACGAAGAAGGTTCTGAGAATGCTTCTGTTTAGTCAGCTGAAATTATCCCGTTTCCAATGAATTCCTCAGAGAGGTCCACATATGCACTTGCAGATCCTGCAGAAAGTGTGTTTCTAAACTGCTACATCGCAAGGAGTGTTCAGCTCTGTTTGCTCAACTCAATCATCGGAAAGAATTTTCTGAGAAAGCTTCTGTCTAGATGTCATGTGAAGATATACCCGTTTCGAACGAAGGACACAGAGTGGTCCAAATATCCACTTGTAGATCCTGCAAAAAGAGTGTTTCAAACGTGAACTTTGAAAGGAAAGTTCAACTCTGGGATTTGAATGCAAACATCACAAAGAAGATTCTGAGACTGTTTCTGTATAGTTTTTTTGTGAAGATGATTCCATTTCCAACGAAATCTTCAAAGAGGTCTACATGTCCTCTTGCAGATGCCACAGAAAGAGAGTTTCAAAACTGCGCTCTCAAAAGGAGTGTTCAACTCCGTGAGTTGAATGCAGTCATCACAGAGAAGCTTCTGAGAATGCTTCTATCTAGTATTTAGGTGAAGATATTTCCTTTTCCACCACAAACCACAAAGCCCTCCAAACGTCCACTTGCAGATTCTAGAAAAAGAGTGTTTCATAGCTGCTCTTTCCAAAGGAAAGTTCAACTCTGGGAGTTGAATACAAACATCACCAAAAAGTTCCTGAGAATGCATCTGTCTAGTTTTTCTATGAAGCTATTCCCTTTACTACCATAGGCCTCAAAGCGCTCCAAATCTCCACTTGCACATTCCACAACAAGAGTGTTTCCAAACTGCTCTATCAATAGGAATGTTCAACTCTGTGAGGTGAATGCAATCATCACAAAGCAGTTTCTGAGAATGCTTCCGTTTAGTTAGGTGCAGTTATCCCGTTTCCAACGAAATCCTCAGAGAGGTCCAAATATCCACTTGTAGATTCTACAAAAAGTGTGTCTCAAACCTGCTCCATCCAAAGGAATGTTCAGCTCTGTGAGTTCAACTCAATCATCACAAAGTATTTTCTGAGAATGCTTCTGTCTAGATTTTATGCGAAGATGTACCCGTTTCGAACGAAGGCCACAGAGTGGTCCAAATATCCACTTGCAGATCCTACAAAAAGAGTGTTTCAAACCTGAACTATCAAAGGAAGGTTCAACTCTGGGATTTGAATGCAAACATCACCAAGAAGTTTCTGAGAATGCTTCTGTTAAGTTTTTATGTGAAGATATTCCCGTTTCCAAAGACATCTTCGGAGAGGTCCACATATCCACTTGCAGATTCCACAAAAAGAGAGTTTCAACACTGCTCTATCCATAGGAGGGTTCAACTCTGTGAGTTGAATGCAATCATCACAGAGAAGTTTCTGAGAAGGCTTCTCTCCAGTTTTTATGTGACCATAATTCGTTTTCCACCACAGGCCTGAAAGCGCTCCAAATGTCCACTTGTAGACACTACGAAAAGCATGTTTCAGAACTACTCTATGAAAAGCAATGTGAAACTCTGGGAGTTGAACACAAACATCACAGAGAAGTTTCTGAGAATGCTTCTGTTTAGCTTTCCTGTGAAGATTCTCCCGTTTCCAACGAAATCTTCAAAATAGGTCCAAATATCCACTTGCAGATTCCACACAAAGAGTGATTGGAAACTGCTCTTTGAAAAGGAACCTTCAACTCTGTGAGTTGAATGCAATCATCACAAAGAAGTTTCTGACAATGCTTCTATCCAGCTTTTACAGGAAGATAATTCCTTTTCCACCACAGGCCTCAAAGCCCTCCAAATGTCCACTTGCAGATTCTGGAAAAAGAGTGTTTCAAAGCTTCTCTCTCGAAAGGAAAGTTCAAATCTGTGAGTTGAATGCAAGCATCACAAAGAAGTTTCTGAGAATGCTACTGTCTAGCTTTTATATGAAGCTATTTCCTTTACTACCATAGTCCTCAAAGCATTCCATATCTCCACTTGCAGATTCTACACAAAGAGAGTTTCCAAACTACTCTGTCAAAGAGAATGTTCAGCTCTGTGACTTGAATGCAATCATCACAAAGTAGTTTCTCAGAATGCTCTGTTTTAGTTCTGTGCGGTTTATCCCGTTTCCAACGAAATCCTCAGAGAGGCCCACATATCCACTTGCAGATTCTACAAATAGTGTGTTTTGAAACTGCTCCATCCAAAGGAATGTTCAGCTCTGTGAGTTAAACTCAGTCGTCACCAAGAGTTTCTGTGAATGCTATCTGTTTAGTTCTGTGCGTTTTATCCCTTTTCCAACGAAATCCTCAGAGAGGACCAAATATCCATTTGCAGTTTCTACAAAAAGAGTGTTTCAAAGCTGAACTATCAAAGAAAGGTTCAGCACTGTGAGTTGAATGCAAACATCACGAAGAGGGTTCTGACAATGCTTCTGTCTTCTTTTTATAGGAAGTTATTTCCTTTACTACGGTACTCCTCAAAGAGTGCAATTATCCCCTTGCAGTTCCTACAAAAAGAGTGTTTCAAACCTGAACTATCAAAGAAAGGTTCCACACTGTGAGTTGAATGCAGACATCACGAAGAAGGTTCTGAGAATACTTCTGTTTAGTCAGCTGAAATTATCCCGTTTCCAACGAATTCCTCAGAGAGGTCCAAATATGCACTTGCAGATTCTGCAGAAAGTGTGTTTCTAAACTGCTACATCGCAAGGAATGCTCAGCTCTGTGAGTTCAAATCAATCATCCCAAACAATTTTCTGAGAAAGCTTCTGTCTAGATGTCATGTGAAGATATACCCGTTTCGAACGAAGGACACAGAGTGGTCCAAATATCCACTTGTAGATCCTGCAAAAAGAGTGTTTCAAACGTGAACTTTGAAAGGAAAGTTCAACTCTGGGATTTGAATGCAAACATCACAAAGAAGATTCTGAGACTGCTTCTGTATAGTTTTGATGTGAAGATGATTCCGTTTCCAACGAAATCTTCAAAGAGGTCTACATGTCCCCTTGCAGATGCCACAGAAAGAGAGTTTCAAAACTGCGCTCCCAAAAGGAGTGTTCAACCCCGTGAGTTGAATGCAGTCATCACAGAGAAGCTTCTGAGAATGCTTCTCTCTAGTATTTAGGTGAAGATATTTCCTTTTCCACCACAAACCACAAAGCCCTCCAAACGTCCACTTGCAGATTCTAGAAAAAGAGTGTTTCATAGCTGCTCTTTCCAAAGGAAAGTTCAACTCTGGGAGTTGAATACAAACATCACCAAAAAGTTCCTGAGAATGCATCTGTCTAGTTTTTCTATGAAGCTATTCCCTTTACTACCATAGGCCTCAAAGCGCTCCAAATCTCCACTTGCACATTCCACAACAAGAGTGTTTCCAAACTGCTCTATCAATAGGAATGTTCAACTCTGTGAGGTGAATGCAATCATCACAAAGCAGTTTCTGAGAATGCTTCCGTTTAGTTAGGTGCAGTTATCCCGTTTCCAACGAAATCCTCAGAGAGGTCCAAATATCCACTTGTAGATTCTACAAAAAGTGTGTCTCAAACCTGCTCCATCCAAAGGAATGTTCAGCTCTGTGAGTTCAACTCAATCATCACAAAGTATTTTCTGAGAATGCTTCTGTCTAGATTTTATGCGAAGATGTACCCGTTTCGAACGAAGGCCACAGAGTGGTCCAAATATCCACTTGCAGATCCTACAAAAAGAGTGTTTCAAACCTGAACTGTCAAAGGAAGGTTCAACTCTGGGATTTGAATGCAAACATCACCAAGAAGTTTCTGAGAATGCTTCCGTTTAGTTATTATGTGAAGATATTCCCGTTTCCAAAGACATCTTCGGAGAGGTCCACATATCCACTTGCAGATTCCACAAAAAGAGAGTTTCAACACTGCTCTATCCATAGGAGGGTTCAACTCTGTGAGTTGAATGCAATCATCACAGAGAAGTTTCTGAGAAAGCTCTCTCCAGTTTTTATGTGACCATAATTCGTTTTCCACCACAGGCCTGAAAGCGCTCCAAATGTCCACTTGCAGACACTACGAAAAGCATGTTTCAGAACTACTCTATGAAAAGCAACGTGAAACTCTGGGAGTTGAACACAAACATCACAGAGAAGTTTCTGAGAATGCTCTCTGTTTTAGTTCTGTGCGTTTTATCCCGTTTCCAACGAAATCCTCAGAGAGGCCCAAATATCCACTTGCAGATTCCACAGAAAGAGTGATTGGAAACTGCTGTTTGAAAAGGAACCTTCAACTCTGTGAGTTGAATGCAATCATCACAAAGAAGTTTCTGACAATGCTTCTGTTTTAGTTCTGTGCGGTTTATCCCGTTTCCAACGAAATCCTCAGAGAGGACCAAACATCCACTTGCAGTTTCTACAAAAAGAGTGTTTCAAAGCTGCACTATCAAAGAAAGGTTCAGCACTGTGAGTTGAATGCAAACATCACGAAGAGGGCTCTGAGAATTCTTCTGTTTAGTTCTGTGCGGTTTATCCCGTTTCCAACGAAATCCTCAGAGAGGACCAAATATCCACTTGCAGTTTCTACAAGAAGAGTGTTTCAAAGCTGAACTATCAAAGAAAGGTTCAGCACTGTGAGTTGAATGCAAACATCACGAAGAGGGTTCTGAGAATGCTTCTGTCTTCTTTCTATAGGAAGTTATTTCCTTTACTACGGTAGGCCTCAAAGAAGTGCAATTATCCCCTTGCAGTTTCTACAAAAAGAGTGTTTCAAACCTGAACTATCAAAGAAAGGTTCCACACTGTGAGTTGAATGCAGACATCACGAAGAAGGTTCTGAGAATGCTTCTGTTTAGTCAGCTGAAATTATCCCGTTTCCAACGAATTCCTCAGAGAGGTCCACATATGCACTTGCAGATTCTGCAGAAAGTGTGTTTCTAAACTGCTACATCGCAAGGAATGTTCAGCTCTGTGAGTTCCACTCAATCATCCCAAAGGATTTTCTGAGAAAGCTTCTGTCTAGATGTCATGTGAAGATATACCCGTTTCGAACGAAGGACACAGAGTGGTCCAAATATCCACTTGTAGATCCTGCAAAAAGAGTGTTTCAAACGTGAACTTTGAAAGGGAAGTTCAACTCTGGGATTTGAATGCAAACATCACAAAGAAGATTCTGAGACTGCTTCTGTATAGTTTTTATGTGAAGATGATTCCGTTTCCAACGAAATCTTCAAAGAGGTCTACATGTCCCCTTGCAGATGCCACAGAAAGAGAGTTTCAAAACTGCGCTCTCAAAAGGAGTGTTCAACTCCGTGAGTTGAATGCAGTCATCACAGAGAAGCTTCTGAGAATGCTTCTATCTAGTATTTAGGTGAAGATATTTCCTTTTCCACCACAAACCACAAAGCCCTCCAAACGTCCACTTGCAGATTCTAGAAAAAGAGTGTTTCATAGCTGCTCTTTCCAAAGGAAAGTTCAACTCTGGGAGTTGAATACAAACATCACCAAAAAGTTCCTGAGAATGCATCTGTCTAGTTTTTCTATGAAGCTATTCCCTTTACTACCATAGGCCTCAAAGCGCTCCAAATCTCCACTTGCACATTCCACAACAAGAGTGTTTCCAAACTGCTCTATCAATAGGAATGTTCAACTCTGTGAGGTGAATGCAATCATCACAAAGCAGTTTCTGAGAATGCTTCCGTTTAGTTAGGTGCAGTTATCCCGTTTCCAACGAAATCCTCAGAGAGGTCCAAATATCCACTTGTAGATTCTACAAAAAGTGTGTCTCAAACCTGCTCCATCCAAAGGAATGGTCAGCTCTGTGATTTAAACTCAATCATCACAAAGTATTTTCTGAGAATGCTTCTGTCTAGATTTTATGCGAAGATATACCCGTTTCGAACGAAGGCCACAGAGTGGTCCAAATAGCCACTTGCAGATCCTACAGAAAGAGTGTTTCAAACCTGAACTATCAAAGGAAGGTTCAACTCTGGGATTTGAATGCAAACATCACCAAGAAGTTTCTGAGAATGCTTCTGTTTAGTTTTTATGTGAAGATATTCCCGTTTCCAAAGACATCTTCGGAGAGGTCCACATATCCACTTGCAGATTCCACAAAAAGAGAGTTTCAACACTGCTCTATCCATAGGAGGGTTCAACTCTGTGAGTTGAATGCAATCATCACAGAGAAGTTTCTGAGAAGGCTTCTCTCCAGTTTTTATGTGACCATAATTCGTTTTCCACCACAGGCCTGAAAGCGCTCCAAATGTCCACTTGCAGACACTACGAAAAGCATGTTTCAGAAGTACTCTATGAAAAGCAACGTGAAACTCTGGGAGTTGAACACAAACATCACAGAGAAGTTTCTGAGAATGCTTCTGTTTTAGTTCTGTGCGTTTTATCCCGTTTCCAACGAAATCCTCAGAGAGGCCCAAATATCCACTTGCAGATTCCACAGAAAGAGTGATTGGAAACTGCTGTTTGAAAAGGAACCTTCAACTCTGTGAGTTGAATGCAATCATCACAAAGAAGTTTCTGACAATGCTTCTGTTTTAGTTCTGTGCGGTTTATCCCGTTTCCAACGAAATCCTCAGAGAGGACCAAACATCCACTTGCAGTTTCTACAAAAAGAGTGTTTCAAAGCTGCACTATCAAAGAAAGGTTCAGCACTGTGAGTTGAATGCAAACATCACGAAGAGGGCTCTGAGAATTCTTCTGTTTAGTTCTGTGCGGTTTATCCCGTTTCCAACGAAATCCTCAGCAGAGGACCAAATATCCACTTGCAGTTTCTACAAGAAGAGTGTTTCAAAGCTGAACTATCAAAGAAAGGTTCAGCACTGTGAGTTGAATGCAAACATCACGAAGAGGGTTCTGAGAATGCTTCTGTCTTCTTTTTATAGGAAGTTATTTCCTTTACTACGGTACTCCTCAAAGAGTGCAATTATCCCCTTGCAGTTTCTACAGAAAGAGTGTTTCAAACCTGAACTATCAAAGAAAGGTTCCACACTGTGAGTTGAATGCAGACATCACGAAGAAGTTCTGAGAATGCTTCTGTTTAGTCAGCTGAAATTATCCCGTTTCCAACGAATTCCTCACAGAGGTCCAAATATGCACTTGCAGATTCTGCAGAAAGTGTGTTTCTAAACTGCTACATCGCAAGGAATGCTCAGCTCTGTGAGTTCAACTCAATCATCCCAAAGAATTTTCTGAGAAAGCTTCTGTCTAGATGTCATGTGAAGATATACCCGTTTCGAACGAAGGACACAGAGTGGTCCAAATATCCACTTGTAGATCCTGCAAAAAGAGTGTTTCAAACGTGAACTTTGAAAGGAAAGTTCAACTCGGGGATTTGAATGCAAACATCACAAAGAAGATTCTGAGACTGCTTCTGTATAGTTTTTATGTGAAGATGATTCCGTTTCCAACGAAATCTTCAAAGAGGTCTACATGTCCCCTTGCAGATGCCACAGAAAGAGAGTTTCAAAACTGCGCTCTCAAAAGGAGTGTTCAACTCCGTGAGTTGAATGCAGTCATCACAGAGAAGCTTCTGAGGATGCTTCTATCTAGTATTTAGGTGAAGATATTTCCTTTTCCACCACAAACCACAAAGCCCTCCAAACGTCCACTTGCAGATTCTAGAAAAAGAGTGTTTCATAGCTGCTCTTTCCAAAGGAAAGTTCAACTCTGGGAGTTGAATACAAACATCACCAAAAAGTTCCTGAGAATGCATCTGTCTAGTTTTTCTATGAAGCTATTCCCTTTACTACCATAGGCCTCAAAGCGCTCCAAATCTCCACTTGCACATTCCACAACAAGAGTGTTTCCAAACTGCTCTATCAATAGGAATGTTCAACTCTGTGAGGTGAATGCAGTCATCACAAAGCAGTTTGCTGAGAATGCTTCCGTTTAGTTAGGTGCAGTTATCCCGTTTCCAACGAAATCCTCAGAGAGGTCCAAATATCCACTTGTAGATTCTACAAAAGGTGTGTCTCAAACCTGCTCCATCCAAAGGAATGTTCAGCTCTGTGAGTTAAACTCAATCATCACAAAGTATTTTCTGAGAATGCTTCTGTCTAGATTTTATGCGAAGATATACCCGTTTCGAACGAAGGCCACAGAGTGGTCCAAATATCCACTTGCAGATCCTACAAAAAGAGTGTTTCAAACCTGAACTATCAAAGGAAGGTTCAACTCTGGGATTTGAATGCAAACATCACCAAGAAGTTTCTGAGAATGCTTCTGTTTAGTTTTTATGTGAAGATATTCCCGTTTCCAAAGACATCTTCGGAGAGGTCCACATATCCACTTGCAGATTCCACAAAAAGAGAGTTTCAACACTGCTCTATCCATAGGAGGGTTCAACTCTGTGAGTTGAATGCAATCATCACAGAGAAGTTTCTGAGAAGGCTTCTCTCCAGTTTTTATGTGACCATAATTCGTTTTCCACCACAGGCCTGAAAGCGCTCCAAATGTCCACTTGTAGACACTACGAAAAGCATGTTTCAGAACTACTCTATGAAAAGCAATGTGAAACTCTGGGAGTTGAACACAAACATCACAGAGAAGTTTCTGAGAATGCTTCTGTTTAGCTTTCCTGTGAAGATTCTCCCGTTTCCAACGAAATCTTCAAAATAGGTCCAAATATCCACTTGCAGATTCCACAGAAAGAGTGATTGGAAACTGCTCTTTGAAAAGGAACCTTCAACTCTGTGAGTTGAATGCAATCATCACAAAGAAGTTTCTGACAATGCTTCTATCTAGCTTTTACGGGAAGATAATTCCTTTTCCACCACAGGCCTCAAAGCCCTCCAAATGTCCACTTGCAGATTCTGGAAAAAGAGTGTTTCAAAGCTTCTCTCTCGAAAGGAAAGTTCAACTCTGTGAGTTGAATGCAAGCATCACAAAGAGGTTTCTGAGAATGCTACTGTCTAGCTTTTATATGAAGCTATTTCCTTTACTACCATAGGCCTCAAAGCGGTCCATATCTCCACTTGCAGATTCTACACAAAGAGAGTTTCCAAACTGCTCTGTCAAAGGGAATGTTCAACTCTGTGACTTGAATGCAATCATCACAAAGTAGTTTCTGAGAATGCTTCTGTTTAGTTCTGTGCGGTTTATCCCGTTTCCAACGAAATCCTCAGAGAGGCCTAAATATCCACTTGCACATTCTACAAATAGTGTGTTTCGAAACTGCTCCATCCAAAGGAATGTTCAGCTCTGTGAGTTAAACTCAGTCGTCACCAAGAGTTTTCTGTGAATGCTTCTGTTTTAGTTCTGTGCGGGTTATCCCGTTTCCAACGAAATCCTCAGAGAGGTCCAAATATCTACTTGCAGTTTCTACAGAAAGACCGTTTCAAACCTGAACTATCAAAGAAAGGTTCAACACTGTGAGTTGAATGCAAACATCACGAAGAAGGTTCTGAGAATGCTTCTGTTTAGTTCTGTGCAGTTTATCCCGTTTGCAACGAAATCCTCAGAGAGGACCAAATATCCACTTGCAGTTTCTACAAAAAGAGTGTTTCAAAGCTGAACTATCAAAGAAAGGTTCAGCACTGTGAGTTGAATGCAAACATCACGAAGAGGGTTCTGAGAATGCTTCTGTCTTCTTTTTAGAGGAAGTTATTTCCTTTACTACGGTACTCCTCAAAGAGTGCAATTATCCCCTTGCAGTTTCTACAAAAAGAGTGTTTCAAACCTGAACTATCAAAGAAAGGTTCCACACTGTGAGTTGAATGCAGACATCACGAAGAAGGTTCTGAGAATGCTTCTGTTTAGTCAGCTGAAATTATCCCGTTTCCAACGAATTCCTCACAGAGGTCCAAATATGCACTTGCAGATTCTGCAGAAAGTGTGTTTCTAAACTGCTACATCGCAAGGAATGCTCAGCTCTGTGAGTTCAACTCAATCATCCCAAAGAATTTTCTGAGAAAGCTTCTGTCTAGATGTCATGTGAAGATATACCCGTTTCGAACGAAGGACACAGAGTGGTCCAAATATCCACTTGTAGATCCTGCAAAAAGAGTGTTTCAAACGTGAACTTTGAAAGGAAAGTTCAACTCGGGGATTTGAATGCAAACATCACAAAGAAGATTCTGAGACTGCTTCTGTATAGTTTTTCTGTGAAGATGATTCCGTTTCCAACGAAATCTTCAAAGAGGTCTACATGTCCCCTTGCAGATGCCACAGAAAGAGAGTTTCAAAACTGCGCTCTCAAAAGGAGTGTTCAACTCCGTGAGTTGAATGCAGTCATCACAGAGAAGCTTCTGAGGATGCTTCTATCTAGTATTTAGGTGAAGATATTTCCTTTTCCACCACAAACCACAAAGCCCTCCAAACGTCCACTTGCAGATTCTAGAGAAACAGTGTTTCATAGCTGCTCTTTCCAAAGGAAAGTTCAACTCTGGGAGTTGAATACAAACATCACCAAAAAGTTCCTGAGAATGCATCTGTCTAGTTTTTCTATGAAGCTATTCCCTTTACTACCATAGGCCTCAAAGCGCTCCAAATCTCCACTTGCACATTCCACAACAAGAGTGTTTCCAAACTGCTCTATCAATAGGAATGTTCAACTCTGTGAGGTGAATGCAATCATCACAAAGCAGTTTCTGAGAATGCTTCCGTTTAGTTAGGTGCAGTTCTCCCGTTTCCAACGAAATCCTCAGAGAGGTCCAAATATCCACTTGTAGATTCTACAAAAAGTGTGTCTCAAACCTGCTCCATCCAAAGGAATGGTCAGCTCTGTGATTTAAACTCAATCATCACAAAGTATTTTCTGAGAATGCTTCTGTCTAGATTTTATGCGAAGATATACCCGTTTCGAACGAAGGCCACAGAGTGGTCCAAATATCCACTTGCAGATCCTACAAAAAGAGTGTTTCAAACCTGAACTATCAAAGGAAGGTTCAACTCTGGGATTTGAATGCAAACATCACCAAGAAGTTTCTGAGAATGCTTCTGTTTAGTTTTTATGTGAAGATATTCCCGTTTCCAAAGACATCTTCGGAGAGGTCCACGTATCCACTTGCAGATTCCACAAAAAGAGAGTTTCAACACTGCTCTATCCATAGGAGGGTTCAACTCTGTGAGTTGAATGCAATCATCACAGAGAAGTTTCTGAGAAGGCTTCTCTCCAGTTTTTATGTGACCATAATTCGTTTTCCACCACAGGCCTGAAAGCGCTCCAAATGTCCACTTGTAGACACTACGAAAAGCATGTTTCAGAACTACTCTATGAAAAGCAATGTGAAACTCTGGGAGTTGAACACAAACATCACAGAGAAGTTTCTGAGAATGCTTCTGTTTAGCTTTCCTGTGAAGATTCTCCCGTTTCCAACGAAATCTTCAAAATAGGTCCAAATATCCACTTGCAGATTCCACACAAAGAGTGATTGGAAACTGCTCTTTGAAAAGGAACCTTCAACTCTGTGAGTTGAATGCAATCATCACAAAGAAGTTTCTGACAATGCTTCTATCTAGCTTTTACGGGAAGATAATTCCTTTTCCACCACAGGCCTCAAAGCCCTCCAAATGTCCACTTGCAGATTCTGGAAAAAGAGTGTTTCAAAGCTTCTCTCTCGAAAGGAAAGTTCAACTCTGTGAGTTGAATGCAAGCATCACAAAGAAGTTTCTGAGAATGCTACTGTCTAGCTTTTATATGAAGCTATTTCCTTTACTACCATAGGCCTCAAAGCGGTCCATATCTCCACTTGCAGATTCTACACAAAGAGAGTTTCCAAACTGCTCTGTCAAAGGGAATGTTCAACTCTGTGACTTGAATGCAATCATCACAAAGTAGTTTCTGAGAATGCTTCTGTTTAGTTCTGTGCGGTTTATCCCGTTTCCAACGAAATCCTCAGAGAGGCCCACATATCCACTTGCACATTCTACAGATAGTGTGTTTCGAAACTGCTCCATCCAAAGGAATGTTCAGCTCTGTGAGTTAAACTCAGTCGTCACCAAGAGTTTTCTGTGAATGCTTCTGTTTTAGTTGTGTGCGGTTTATCCCGTTTCCAACGAAATCCTCAGAGAGGTCCAAATATCTACTTGCAGTTTCTACAGAAAGACCGTTTCAAACCTGAACTATCAAAGAAAGGTTCAACACTGTGAGTTGAATGCAAACATCACGAAGAAGGTTCTGAGAATGCTTCTGTTTAGTTCTGTGCGGTTTATCCCGTTACCAACGAAATCCTCAGAGAGGACAAAATATCCACTTGCAGTTTCTACAAAAAGAGTGTTTCAAAGCTGAACTATCAAAGAAAGATTCAGCACCGTGAGTTGAATGCAAACATCACGAAGAGGGTTCTGAGAATGCTTCTGTCTTCTTTTTATAGGAAGTTATCTCCTTTACTACGGTAGGCCTCAAAGAAGTGCAATGATCCCCTTGCAGTTTCTACAAAAAGAGTGTTTCAAACCTGAACTGTCAAAGAAAGGTTCCACACTGTGAGTTGAATGCAGACATCACGAAGAAGGTTCTGAGAATGCTTCTGTTTAGTCAGCTGAAATTATCCCGTTTCCAACGATTTCCTCAGAGAGGTCCACATATGCACTTGCAGATTCTGCAGAAAGTGTGTTTCTAAACTGCTACATCGCAAGGAGTGTTCAGCTCTGTTTGCTCAACTCAATCATCCCAAAGAATTTTCTGAGAAAGCTTCTGTCTAGATGTCATGTGAAGATATACCCGTTTCGAACGAAGGACACAGAGTGGTCCAAATATCCACTTGCAGATCCTGCAAAAAGAGTGTTTCAAACGTGAACTTGGAAAGGAAAGTTCAACTCTGGGATTTGAATGCAAACATCACAAAGAAGATTCTGAGACTGCTTCTGTATAGTTTTGATGTGAAGATGATTCCGTTTCCA
The DNA here is from genome assembly GCF_000001405.40 of Homo sapiens. NCBI lineage: Eukaryota > Metazoa > Chordata > Mammalia > Primates > Hominidae > Homo > Homo sapiens. The sequence continues at coordinate 23,971,344 of NC_000017.11, read as the reverse complement.
ACGAAATCTTCAAAGAGGTCTACATGTCCCCTTGCAGATGCCACAGAAAGAGAGTTTCAAAACTGCGCTCTCAAAAGGAGTGTTCAACTCCGTGAGTTGAATGCAGTCATCACAGAGAAGCTTCTGAGAATGCTTCTATCTAGTATTTAGGTGAAGATATTTCCTTTTCCACCACAAACCACAAAGCCCTCCAAACGTCCACTTGCAGATTCTAGAAAAAGATTGTTTCATAGCTGCTCTTTCCAAAGGAAAGTTCAACTCTGGGAGTTGAATACAAACATCACCAAAAAGTTCCTGAGAATGCATCTGTCTAGTTTTTCTTTGAAGCTATTCCCTTTACTACCATAGGCCTCAAAGCGCTCCAAATCTCCACTTGCACATTCCACAACAAGAGTGTTTCCAAACTGCTCTATCAATAGGAATGTTCAACTCTGTGAGGTGAATGCAATCATCACAAAGCAGTTTCTGAGAATGCTTCCGTTTAGTTAGGTGCAGTTATCCCGTTTCCAACGAAATCCTCAGAGCGGTCCAAATATCCACTTGTAGATTCTACAAAAAGTGTGTCTCAAACCTGCTCCATCCAAAGGAATGTTCAGCTCTGTGAGTTCAACTCAATCATCACAAAGTATTTTCTGAGAATGCTTCTGTCTAGATTTTATGCGAAGATGTACCCGTTTCGAACGAAGACCACAGAGTGGTCCAAATATCCACTTGCAGATCCTACAAAAAGAGTGTTTCAAACCTGAACTATCAAAGGAAGGTTCAACTCTGGGATTTGAATGCAAACATCACCAAGAAGTTTCTGAGAATGCTTCTGTTTAGTTTTTATGTGAAGATATTCCCATTTCCAAAGACATCTTCGGAGAGGTCCACATATCCACTTGCAGATTCCACAAAAAGAGAGTTTCAACACTGCTCTATCCATAGGAGGGTTCAACTCTGTGAGTTGAATGCAATCATCACAGAGAAGTTTCTGAGAAGGCTTCTCTCCAGTTTTTATGTGACCATAATTCGTTTTCCACCACAGGCCTGAAAGCGCTCCAAATGTCCACTTGTAGACAGTACGAAAAGCATGTTTCAGAACTACTCTATGAAAAGCAATGTGAAATTCTGGGAGTTGAACTCAAACATCACAGAGAAGTTTCTGAGAATGCTTCTGTTTAGCTTTTCTGTGAAGATTCTCCCGTTTCCAACGAAATCTTCAAAGAGGTCCAAATATCCACTTGCAGATTCCACGGAAAGAGTGATTTGAAACTGCTCTTTGAAAAGGAACCTTCAACTCTGTGAGTTGAATGCAATCATCACAAAGAAGTTTCTGACAATGCTTCTATCTAGCTTTTACAGGAAGATAATTCCTTTTCCACCACAGGCCTCAAAGCCCTCCAAATTTCCACTTGCAGATTCTGGAAAAAGAGTGTTTCAAAGCTTCTCTCTCGAAAGGAAAGTTCAACTCTATGAGTTGAATGCAAGCATCACAAAGAAGTTTCTGAGAATGCTACTCTCTAGCTTTTATATGAAGGTATTTCCTTTACTACCATAGGCCTCAAAGCGGTCCATATCTCCACTTGCAGATTCTACACAAAGAGAGTTTCCAAACTGCTCTGTCAAAGGGAATGTTCAACTCTGTGACTTGAATGCAATCATCACAAAGTAGTTTCTGAGAATGCTTCTGTTTAGTTCTGTGCGGTTTATCCCGTTTCCAACGAAATCCTCAGAGAGGCCCAAATATCCACTTGCACATTCTACAAATAGTGTGTTTCGAAACTGCTCCATCCAAAGGAATGTTCAGCTCTGTGAGTTAAACTCAGTCGTCACCAAGAGTTTTCTGTGAATGCTTCTGTTTTAGTTCTGTGCGGTTTATCCCGTTTCCAACGAAATCCTCAGAGAGGTCCAAATATCTACTTGCAGTTTCTACAGAAAGACCGTTTCCAACCTGAACTATCAAAGAAAGGTTCAACACTGTGAGTTGAATGCAAACATCACGAAGAAGGTTCTGAGAATGCTTCTGTTTAGTTCTGTGCGGTTTATCCCGTTTCCAACGAAATCCTCAGAGAGGACCAAATATCCACTTGCAGTTTCTACAAGAAGAGTGTTTCAAAGCTGAACTATCAAAGAAAGGTTCAGCACTGTGAGTTGAATGCAAACATCACGAAGAGGGTTCTGAGAATGCTTCTGTCTTCTTTCTATAGGAAGTTATTTCCTTTACTACGGTAGGCCTCAAAGAAGTGCAATTATCCCCTTGCAGTTTCTACAAAAAGAGTGTTTCAAACCTGAACTATCAAAGAAAGGTTCCACACTGTGAGTTGAATGCAGACATCACGAAGAAGGTTCTGAGAATGCTTCTGTTTAGTCAGCTGAAATTATCCCGTTTCCAACGAATTCCTCAGAGAGGTCCAAATATGCACTTGCAGATTCTGCAGAAAGTGTGTTTCTAAACTGCTACATCGCAAGGAATGTTCAGCTCTGTGAGTTCCACTCAATCATCCCAAAGAATTTTCTGAGAAAGCTTCTGTCTAGATGTCGTGTGAAGATATACCCGTTTCGAACGAAGGACACAGAGTGGTCCAAATATCCACTTGTAGATCCTGCAAAAAGAGTGTTTCAAACGTGAACTTTGAAAGGAAAGTTCAACTCTGGGATTTGAATGCAAACATCACAAAGAAGATTCTGAGACTGCTTCTGTATAGTTTTTATGTGAAGATGATTCCGTTTCCAACGAAATCTTCAAAGAGGTCTACATGTCCCCTTGCAGATGCCACAGAAAGAGAGTTTCAAAACTGCGCTCTCAAAAGGAGTGTTCAACTCCGTGAGTTGAATGCAGTCATCACAGAGAAGCTTCTGAGAATGCTTCTGTCTAGTATTTAGGTGAAGATATTTCCTTTTCCACCACAAACCACAAAGCCCTCCAAACGTCCACTTGCAGATTCTAGAAAAAGAGTGTTTCATAGCTGCTCTTTCCAAAGGAAAGTTCAACTCTGGGAGTTGAATACAAACATCACCAAAAAGTTCCTGAGAATGCATCTGTCTAGTTTTTCTATGAAGCTATTCCCTTTACTACCATAGGCCTCAAAGCGCTCCAAATCTCCACTTGCACATTCCACAACAAGAGTGTTTCCAAACTGCTCTATCAATAGGAATGTTCAACTCTGTGAGGTGAATACAATCATCACAAAGCAGTTTCTGAGAATGCTTCCGTTTAGTTAGGTGCAGTTATCCCGTTTCCAACGAAATCCTCAGAGAGGTCCAAATATCCACTTGTAGATTCTACAAAAAGTGTGTCTCAAACCTGCTCCATCCAAAGGAATGGTCAGCTCTGTGATTTAAACTCAATCATCACAAAGTATTTTCTGAGAATGCTTCTGTCTAGATTTTATGCGAAGATATACCCGTTTCGAACGAAGGCCACAGAGTGGTCCAAATAGCCACTTGCAGATCCTACAGAAAGAGTGTTTCAAACCTGAACTATCAAAGGAAGGTTCAACTCTGGGATTTGAATGCAAACATCACCAAGAAGTTTCTGAGAATGCTTCTGTTTAGTTTTTATGTGAAGATATTCCCGTTTCCAAAGACATCTTCGGAGAGGTCCACATATCCACTTGCAGATTCCACAAAAAGAGAGTTTCAACACTGCTCTATCCATAGGAGGGTTCAACTCTGTGAGTTGAATGCAATCATCACAGAGAAGTTTCTGAGAAGGCTTCTCTCCAGTTTTTATGTGACCATAATTCGTTTTCCACCACAGGCCTGAAAGCGCTCCAAATGTCCACTTGCAGACACTACGAAAAGCATGTTTCAGAACTACTCTATGAAAAGCAACGTGAAACTCTGGGAGTTGAACACAAACATCACAGAGAAGTTTCTGAGAATGCTTCTGTTTTAGTTCTGTGCGTTTTATCCCGTTTCCAACGAAATCCTCAGAGAGGCCCAAATATCCACTTGCAGATTCCACAGAAAGAGTGATTGGAAACTGCTGTTTGAAAAGGAACCTTCAACTCTGTGAGTTGAATGCAATCATCACAAAGAAGTTTCTGACAATGCTTCTGTTTTAGTTCTGTGCGGTTTATCCCGTTTCCAACGAAATCCTCAGAGAGGACCAAACATCCACTTGCAGTTTCTACAAAAAGAGTGTTTCAAAGCTGCACTATCAAAGAAAGGTTCAGCACTGTGAGTTGAATGCAAACATCACGAAGAGGGCTCTGAGAATGCTTCTGTTTAGTTCTGTGCGGTTTATCCCGTTTCCAACGAAATCCTCAGAGAGGACCAAATATCCACTTGCAGTTTCTACAAGAAGAGTGTTTCAAAGCTGAACTATCAAAGAAAGGTTCAGCACTGTGAGTTGAATGCAAACATCACGAAGAGGGTTCTGAGAATGCTTCTGTCTTCTTTCTATAGGAAGTTATTTCCTTTACTACGGTAGGCCTCAAAGAAGTGCAATTATCCCCTTGCAGTTTCTACAAAAAGAGTGTTTCAAACCTGAACTATCAAAGAAAGGTTCCACACTGTGAGTTGAATGGAGACATCACGAAGAAGGTTCTGAGAATGCTTCTGTTTAGTCAGCTGAAATTATCCCGTTTCCAACGTATTCCTCAGAGAGGTCCAAATATGCACTTGCAGATTCTGCAGAAAGTGTGTTTCTAAACTGCTACATCGCAAGGAATGTTCAGCTCTGTGAGTTCCACTCAATCATCCCAAAGAATTTTCTGAGAAAGCTTCTGTCTAGATGTCATGTGAAGATATACCCGTTTCGAACGAAGGACACAGAGTGGTCCAAATATCCACTTGTAGATCCTGCAAAAAGAGTGTTTCAAACGTGAACTTTGAAAGGAAAGTTCAACTCTGGGATTTGAATGCAAACACCACAAAGAAGATTCTGAGACTGCTTCTGTATAGTTTTTATGTGAAGATGATTCCGTTTCCAACGAAATCTTCAAAGAGGTCTACATGTCCCCTTGCAGATGCCACAGAAAGGGAGTTTCAAAACTGCGCTCTCAAAAGGAGTGTTCAACTCCGTGAGTTGAATGCAGTCATCACAGAGAAGCTTCTGAGAATGCTTCTATCTAGTATTTAGGTGAAGATATTTCCTTTTCCACCACAAACCACAAAGCCCTCCAAACGTCCACTTGCAGATTCTAGAAAAAGAGGGTTTCATAGCTGCTCTTTCCAAAGGAAAGTTCAACTCTGGGAGTTGAATACAAACATCACCAAAAAGTTCCTGAGAATGCATCTGTCTAGTTTTTCTATGAAGCTATTCCCTTTACTACCATAGGCCTCAAAGCGCTCCAAATCTCCACTTGCACATTCCACAACAAGAGTGTTTCCAAACTGCTCTATCAATAGGAATGTTCAACTCTGTGAGGTGAATGCAATCATCACAAAGCAGTTTCTGAGAATGCTTCCGTTTAGTTAGGTGCAGTTATCCCGTTTCCAACGAAATCCTCAGAGAGGTCCAAATATCCACTTGTAGATTCTACAAAAAGTGTGTCTCAAACCTGCTCCATCCAAAGGAATGGTCAGCTCTGTGATTTAAACTCAATCATCACAAAGTATTTTCTGAGAATGCTTCTGTCTAGATTTTATGCGAAGATATACCCGTTTCGAACGAAGGCCACAGAGTGGTCCAAATAGCCACTTGCAGATCCTACAGAAAGAGTGTTTCAAACCTGAACTATCAAAGGAAGGTTCAACTCTGGGATTTGAATGCAAACATCACCAAGAAGTTTCTGAGAATGCTTCTGTTTAGTTTTTATGTGAAGATATTCCCGTTTCCAAAGACATCTTCGGAGAGGTCCACATATCCACTTGCAGATTCCACAAAAAGAGAGTTTCAACACTGCTCTATCCATAGGAGGGTTCAACTCTGTGAGTTGAATGCAATCATCACAGAGAAGTTTCTGAGAAGGCTTCTCTCCAGTTTTTATGTGACCATAATTCGTTTTCCACCACAGGCCTGAAAGCGCTCCAAATGTCCACTTGCAGACACTACGAAAAGCATGTTTCAGAACTACTCTATGAAAAGCAACGTGAAACTCTGGGAGTTGAACACAAACATCACAGAGAAGTTTCTGAGAATGCTTCTGTTTTAGTTCTGTGCGTTTTATCCCGTTTCCAACGAAATCCTCAGAGAGGCCCAAATATCCACTTGCAGATTCCACAGAAAGAGTGATTGGAAACTGCTGTTTGAAAAGGAACCTTCAACTCTGTGAGTTGAATGCAATCATCACAAAGAAGTTTCTGACAATGCTTCTGTTTTAGTTCTGTGCGGTTTATCCCGTTTCCAGCGAAATCCTCAGAGAGGACCAAATATCCACTTGCAGTTTCTACAAAAAGAGTGTTTCAAAGCTGCACTATCAAAGAAAGGTTCAGCACTGTGAGTTGAATGCAAACATCACGAAGAGGGCTCTGAGAATTCTTCTGTTTAGTTCTGTGCGGTTTATCCCGTTTCCAACGAAATCCTCAGAGAGGACCAAATATCCACTTGCAGTTTCTACAAGAAGAGTGTTTCAAAGCTGAACTATCAAAGAAAGGTTCAGCACTGTGAGTTGAATGCAAACATCACGAAGAGGGTTCTGAGAATGCTTCTGTCTTCTTTTTATAGGAAGTTATTTCCTTTACTACGGTAGGCCTCAAAGAAGTGCAATGATCCCCTTGCAGTTTCTACAAAAAGAGTGTTTCAAACCTGAACTATCAAAGAAAAGTTCCACACTGTGAGTTGAATGCAGACATCACGAAGAAGGTTCTGAGAATGCTTCTGTTTAATCAGCTGAAATTATCCCGTTTCCAACGAATTCCTCAGAGAGGTCCACATATGCACTTGCAGATTCTGCAGAAAGTGTGTTTCTAAACTGCTACATCACAAGGAATGTTCAGATCTGTGAGTTCCACTCAATCATCCCAAAGAATTTTCTGAGAAAGCTTCTGTCTAGATGTCATGTGAAGATACACCCGTTTCGAACGAAGGACACAGAGTGGTCCAAATATCCACTTGTAGATCCTGCAAAAAGAGTGTTTCAAACGTGAACTTTGAAAGGAAAGTTCAACTCTGGGATTTGAATGCAAACATCACAAAGAAGATTCTGAGACTGCTTCTGTATAGTTTTTATGTGAAGATGATTCCGTTTCCAACGAAATCTTCAAAGAGGTCTACATGTCCCCTTGCAGATGCCACAGAAAGAGAGTTTCAAAACTGCGCTCTCAAAAGGAGTGTTCAACTCCGTGAGTTGAATGCAGTCATCACAGAGAAGCTTCTGAGAATGCTTCTATCTAGTATTTAGGTGAAGATATTTCCTTTTCCACCACAAACCACAAAGCCCTCCAAACGTCCACTTGCAGATTCTAGAAAAAGAGTGTTTCATAGCTGCTCTTTGCAAAGGAAAGTTCAACTCTGGGAGTTGAATAAAAACATCACCAAAAAGTTCCTGAGAATGCATCTGTCTAGTTTTTCTATGAAGCTATTCCCTTTACTACCATAGGCCTCAAAGCGCTCCAAATCTCCACTTGCACATTCCACAACAAGAGTGTTTCCAAACTGCTCTATCAATAGGAATGTTCAACTCTGTGAGGTGAATGCAATCATCACAAAGCAGTTTCTGAGAATGCTTCCGTTTAGTTAGGTGCAGTTATCCCGTTTCCAACGAAATCCTCAGAGAGGTCCAAATATCCACTTGTAGATTCTACAAAAAGTGTGTCTCAAACCTGCTCCATCCAAAGGAATGTTCAGCTCTGTGAGTTAAACTCAATCATCACAAAGTATTTTCTGAGAATGCTTCTGTCTAGATTTTATGCGAAGATATACCCGTTTCGAACGAAGGCCACAGAGTGGTCCAAATATCCACTTGCAGATCCTACAAAAAGAGTGTTTCAAACCTGAACTATCAAAGGAAGGTTCGACTCTGGGATTTGAATGCAAACATCACCAAGAAGTTTCTGAGAATGCTTCTGTTTAGTTTTTATGTGAAGATATTCCCGTTTCCAAAGACATCTTCGGAGAGGTCCACATATCCACTTGCAGATTCCACAAAAAGAGAGTTTCAACACTGCTCTATCCATAGGAGGGTTCAACTCTGTGAGTTGAATGCAATCATCACAGAGAAGTTTCTGAGAAGGCTTCTCTCCAGTTTTTATGTGACCATAATTCGTTTTCCACCACAGGCCTGAAAGCGCTCCAAATGTCCACTTGTAGACACTACGAAAAGCATGTTTCAGAACTACTCTATGAAAAGCAATGTGAAACTCTGGGAGTTGAACACAAACATCACAGAGAAGTTTCTGAGAATGCTTCTCTTTAGCTTTTCTGTGAAGATTCTCCCGTTTCCAACGAAATCTTCAAAGAGGTCCAAATATCCACTTGCAGATTCCACAGAAAGAGTGATTGGAAACTGCTCTTTGAAAAGGAACCTTCAACTCTGTGAGTTGAATGCAATCATCACAAAGAAGTTTCTGACAATGCTTCTATCTAGCTTTTACGGGAAGATAATTCCTTTTCCACCACAGGCCTCAAAGCCCTCCAAATGTCCACTTGCAGATTCTGGAAAAAGAGTGTTTCAAAGCTTCTCTCTCGAAAGGAAAGTTCAACTCTGTGAGTTGAATGCAAGCATCACAAAGAAGTTTCTGAGAATGCTACTGTCTAGCTTTTATATGAAGCTATTTCCTTTACTACCATAGGCCTCAAAGCGGTCCATATCTCCACTTGCAGATTCTACACAAAGAGAGTTTCCAAACTGCTCTGTCAAAGGGAATGTTCAACTCTGTGACTTGAATGCAATCATCACAAAGTAGTTTCTGAGAATGTTTCTGTTTTAGTTCTGTGCGGTTTATCCCGTTTCCATCGAAATCCTCAGAGAGGCCCAAATATCCACTTGCAGATTCTACAAATAGTGTGTTTCGAAACTGCTCCATCCAAAGGAATGTTCAGCTCTGTGAGTTAAACTCAGTCGTCACCAAGGGTTTTCTGTGAATGCTTCTGTTTTAGTTCTGTGCGGGTTATCCCGTTTCCAACGAAATCCTCAGAGAGGTCCAAATATCTACTTGCAGTTTCTACAGAAAGAACGTTTCAAACCTGAACTATCAAAGAAAGGTTCAACACTGTGAGTTGAATGCAAACATCACGAAGAAGGTTCTGAGAATGCTTCTGTTTAGTTCTGTGCAGTTTATCCCGTTTCCAACGAAATGCTCAGAGAGGACCAAATATCCACTTGCAGTTTCTACAAAAAGAGTGTTTCAAAGCTGAACTATCAAAGAAAGGTTCAGCACTGTGAGTTGAATGCAAACATCACGAAGAGGGTTCTGAGAATGCTTCTGTCTTCTTTTTATAGGAAGTTATTTCCTTTACTACGGTACTCCTCAAAGAGTGCAATTATCCCCTTGCAGTTTCTACAGAAAGAGTGTTTCAAACCTGAACTATCAAAGAAAGGTTCCACACTGTGAGTTGAATGCAGACATCACGAAGAAGGTTCTGAGAATGCTTCTGTTTAGTCAGCTGAAATTATCCCGTTTCCAACGAATTCCTCAGAGAGGTCCAAATATGCACTTGCAGATTCTGCAGAAAGTGTGTTTCTAAACTGCTACATCGCAAGGAATGCTCAGCTCTGTGAGTTCAACTCAATCATCCCAAAGAATTTTCTGAGAAAGCTTCTGTCTAGATGTCATGTGAAGATATACCCGTTTCGAACGAAGGACACAGAGTGGTCCAAATATCCACTTGTAGATCCTGCAAAAAGAGTGTTTCAAACGTGAACTTTGAAAGGAAAGTTCAACTCTGGGATTTGAATGCAAACATCACAAAGAAGATTCTGAGACTGCTTCTGTGTAGTTTTTATGTGAAGATGATTCCGTTTCCAACGAAATCTTCAAAGAGGTCTACATGTCCCCTTGCAGATGCCACAGAAAGAGAGTTTCAAAACTGCGCTCTCAAAAGGAGTGTTCAACTCCATGAGTTGAATGCAGTCATCACAGAGAAGCTTCTGAGGATGCTTCTATCTAGTATTTAGGTGAAGATATTTCCTTTTCCACCACAAACCACAAAGCCCTCCAAACGTCCACTTGCAGATTCTAGAAAAAGAGTGTTTCATAGCTGCTCTTTCCAAAGGAAAGTTCAACTCTGGGAGTTGAATACAAACATCACCAAAAAGTTCCTGAGAATGCATCTGTCTAGTTTTTCTATGAAGCTATTCCCTTTACTACCATAGGCCTCAAAGCGCTCCAAATCTCCACTTGCACATTCCACAAGAAGAGTGTTTCCAAACTGCTCTATCAATAGGAATATTCAACTCTGTGAGGTGAATGCAATCATCACAAAGCAGTTTCTGAGAATGCTTCCGTTTAGTTAGGTGCAGTTATCGCGTTTCCAACGAAATCCTCAGAGAGGTCCAAATATCCACTTGTAGATTCTACAAAAAGTGTGACTCAAACCTGCTCCATCCAAAGGAATGTTCAGCTCTGTGAGTTAAACTCAATCATCACAAAGTATTTTCTGAGAATGCTTTCTGTCTAGATTTTATGCGAAGATATACCCGTTTCGAACGAAGGCCACAGAGTGGTCCAAATATCCACTTGCAGATCCTACAAAAAGAGTGTTTCAAACCTGAACTATCAAAGGAAGGTTCAACTCTGGGATTTGAATGCAAACATCACCAAGAAGTTTCTGAGAATGCTTCTGTTTAGTTTTTATGTGAAGATATTCCCGTTTCCAAAGACATCTTCGGAGAGGTCCACATATCCACTTGCAGATTCCACAAAAAGAGAGTTTCAACACTGCTCTATCCATAGGAGGGTTCAACTCTGTGAGTTGAATGCAATCATCACAGAGAAGTTTCTGAGAAGGCTTCTCTCCAGTTTTTATGTGACCATAATTCGTTTTCCACCACAGGCCTGAAAGCGCTCCAAATGTCCACTTGTAGACACTACGAAAAGCATGTTTCAGAACTACTCTATGAAAAGCAATGTGAAACTCTGGGAGTTGAACACAAACATCACAGAGAAGTTTCTGAGAATGCTTCTGTTTAGCTTTCCTGTGAAGATTCTCCCGTTTCCAACGAAATCTTCAAAATAGGTCCAAATATCCACTTGCAGATTCCACAGAAAGAGTGATTGGAAACTGCTCTTTGAAAAGGAACCTTCAACTCTGTGAGTTGAATGCAATCATCACAAAGAAGTTTCTGACAATGCTTCTATCTAGCTTTTACGGGAAGATAATTCCTTTTCCACCACAGGCCTCAAAGCCCTCCAAATGTCCACTTGCAGATTCTGGAAAAAGAGTGTTTCAAAGCTTCTCTCTCGAAAGGAAAGTTCAACTCTGTGAGTTGAATGCAAGCATCACAAAGAAGTTTCTGAGAATGCTACTGTCTAGCTTTTATATGAAGCTATTTCCTTTACTACCATAGGCCTCAAAGCGGTCCATATCTCCACTTGCAGATTCTACACAAAGAGAGTTTCCAAACTGCTCTGTCAAAGGGAATGTTCAACTCTGTGACTTGAATGCAATCATCACAAAGTAGTTTCTGAGAATGCTTCTGTTTAGTTCTGTGCGGTTTATCCCGTTTCCAACGAAATCCTCAGAGAGGCCTAAATATCCACTTGCACATTCTACAAATAGTGTGTTTCGAAACTGCTCCATCCAAAGGAATGTTCAGCTCTGTGAGTTAAACTCAGTCGTCACCAAGAGTTTTCTGTGAATGCTTCTGTTTTAGTTCTGTGCGGGTTATCCCGTTTCCAACGAAATCCTCAGAGAGGTCCAAATATCTACTTGCAGTTTCTACAGAAAGACCGTTTCAAACCTGAACTATCAAAGAAAGGTTCAACACTGTGAGTTGAATGCAAACATCACGAAGAAGGTTCTGAGAATGCTTCTGTTTAGTTCTGTGCAGTTTATCCCGTTTCCAACGAAATGCTCAGAGAGGACCAAATATCCACTTGCAGTTTCTACAAAAAGAGTGTTTCAAAGCTGAACTATCAAAGAAAGGTTCAGCACTGTGAGTTGAATGCAAACATCACGAAGAGGGTTCTGAGAATGCTTCTGTCTTCTTTTTATAGGAAGTTATTTCCTTTACTACGGTACTCCTCAAAGAGTGCAATTATCCCCTTGCAGTTTCTACAAAAAGAGTGTTTCAAACCTGAACTATCAAAGAAAGGTTCCACACTGTGAGTTGAATGCAGACATCACGAAGAAGGTTCTGAGAATGCTTCTGTTTAGTCAGCTGAAATTATCCCGTTTCCAACGAATTCCTCACAGAGGTCCAAATATGCACTTGCAGATTCTGCAGAAAGTGTGTTTCTAAACTGCTACATCGCAAGGAATGCTCAGCTCTGTGAGTTCAACTCAATCATCCCAAAGAATTTTCTGAGAAAGCTTCTGTCTAGATGTCATGTGAAGATATACCCGTTTCGAACGAAGGACACAGAGTGGTCCAAATATCCACTTGTAGATCCTGCAAAAAGAGTGTTTCAAACGTGAACTTTGAAAGGAAAGTTCAACTCGGGGATTTGAATGCAAACATCACAAAGAAGATTCTGAGACTGCTTCTGTGTAGTTTTTATGTGAAGATGATTCCGTTTCCAACGAAATCTTCAAAGAGGTCTACATGTCCCCTTGCAGATGCCACAGAAAGAGAGTTTCAAAACTGCGCTCTCAAAAGGAGTGTTCAACTCCGTGAGTTGAATGCAGTCATCACAGAGAAGCTTCTGAGGATGCTTCTATCTAGTATTTAGGTGAAGATATTTCCTTTTCCACCACAAACCACAAAGCCCTCCAAACGTCCACTTGCAGATTCTAGAAAAAGAGTGTTTCATAGCTGCTCTTTCCAAAGGAAAGTTCAACTCTGGGAGTTGAATACAAACATCACCAAAAAGTTCCTGAGAATGCATCTGTCTAGTTTTTCTATGAAGCTATTCCCTTTACTACCATAGGCCTCAAAGCGCTCCAAATCTCCACTTGCACATTCCACAACAAGAGTGTTTCCAAACTGCTCTATCAATAGGAATGTTCAACTCTGTGAGGTGAATGCAATCATCACAAAGCAGTTTCTGAGAATGCTTCCGTTTAGTTAGGTGCAGTTATCCCGTTTCCAACGAAATCCTCAGAGAGGTCCAAATATCCACTTGTAGATTCTACAAAAAGTGTGTCTCAAACCTGCTCCATCCAAAGGAATGGTCAGCTCTGTGATTTAAACTCAATCATCACAAAGTATTTTCTGAGAATGCTTCTGTCTAGATTTTATGCGAAGATATACCCGTTTCGAACGAAGGCCACAGAGTGGTCCAAATAGCCACTTGCAGATCCTACAGAAAGAGTGTTTCAAACCTGAACTATCAAAGGAAGGTTCAACTCTGGGATTTGAATGCAAACATCACCAAGAAGTTTCTGAGAATGCTTCTGTTTAGTTTTTATGTGAAGATATTCCCGTTTCCAAAGACATCTTCGGAGAGGTCCACATATCCACTTGCAGATTCCACAAAAAGAGAGTTTCAACACTGCTCTATCCATAGGAGGGTTCAACTCTGTGAGTTGAATGCAATCATCACAGAGAAGTTTCTGAGAAGGCTTCTCTCCAGTTTTTATGTGACCATAATTCGTTTTCCACCACAGGCCTGAAAGCGCTCCAAATGTCCACTTGCAGACACTACGAAAAGCATGTTTCAGAACTACTCTATGAAAAGCAACGTGAAACTCTGGGAGTTGAACACAAACATCACAGAGAAGTTTCTGAGAATGCTTCTGTTTAGCTTTTCTGTGAAGATTCTCCCGTTTCCAACGAAATCTTCAAAGAGGTCCAAATATCCACTTGCAGATTCCACAGAAAGAGTGATTGGAAACTGCTCTTTGAAAAGGAACCTTCAACTCTGTGACTTGAATGCAATCATCACAAAGAAGTTTCTGACAATGCTTCTATCTAGCTTTTACGGGAAGATAATTCCTTTTCCACCACAGGCCTCAAAGCCCTCCAAATGTCCACTTGCAGATTCTGGAAAAAGAGTGTTTCAAAGCTTCTCTCTCGAAAGGAAAGTTCAACTCTGTGAGTTGAATGCAAGCATCACAAAGAAGTTTCTGAGAATGCTACTGTCTAGCTTTTATATGAAGCTATTTCCTTTACTACCATAGGCCTCAAAGCGGTCCATATCTCCACTTGCAGATTCTACACAAAGAGAGTTTCCAAACTGCTCTGTCAAAGGGAATGTTCAACTCTGTGACTTGAATGCAATCATCACAAAGTAGTTTCTGAGAATGCTTCTGTTTAGTTCTGTGCGGTTTATCCCGTTTCCAACGAAATCCTCAGAGAGGCCTAAATATCCACTTGCACATTCTACAAATAGTGTGTTTCGAAACTGCTCCATCCAAAGGAATGTTCAGCTCTGTGAGTTAAACTCAGTCGTCACCAAGAGTTTTCTGTGAATGCTTCTGTTTTAGTTCTGTGCGGGTTATCCCGTTTCCAACGAAATCCTCAGAGAGGTCCAAATATCTACTTGCAGTTTCTACAGAAAGACCGTTTCAAACCTGAACTATCAAAGAAAGGTTCAACACTGTGAGTTGAATGCAAACATCACGAAGAAGGTTCTGAGAATGCTTCTGTTTAGTTCTGTGCGGTTTATCCCGTTTCCAACGAAATCCTCAGAGAGGACCAAATATCCACTTGCAGTTTCTACAAGAAGAGTGTTTCAAAGCTGAAGTATCAAAGAAAGGTTCAGCACTGTGTGTTGAATGCAAACATCACGAAGAGGGTTCTGAGAATGCTTCTGTCTTCTTTCTATAGGAAGTTATTTCCTTTACTACGGTAGGCCTCAAAGAAGTGCAATTATCCCCTTGCAGTTTCTACAAAAAGAGTGTTTCAAACCTGAACTATCAAAGAAAGGTTCCACACTGTGAGTTGAATGCAGACATCACGAAGAAGGTTCTGAGAATGCTTCTGTTTAGTCAGCTGAAATTATCCCGTTTCCAACGAATTCCTCGGAGAGGTCCAAATATGCACTTGCAGATTCTGCAGAAAGTGTGTTTCTAAACTGCTACATCGCAAGGAATGTTCAGCTCTGTGAGTTCCACTCAATCATCCCAAAGAATTTTCTGAGAAAGCTTCTGTCTAGATGTCATGTGAAGATATACCCGTTTCGAACGAAGGACACAGAGTGGTCCAAATATCCACTTGTAGATCCTGCAAAAAGAGTGTTTCAAACGTGAACTTTGAAAGGAAAGTTCAACTCTGGGATTTGAATGCAAACATCACAAAGAAGATTCTGAGACTGCTTCTGTATAGTTTTTATGTGAAGATGATTCCCTTTCCAAAGAAATCTTCAAACAGGTCTACATGTCCCCTTGCGGATGCCACAGAAAGAGAGTTTCAAAACTGCGCTCTCAAAAGGAGTGTTCAACTCCGTGAGTTGAATGCAGTCATCACAGAGAAGCTTCTGAGAATGCTTCTATCTAGTATTTAGGTGAAGATATTTCCTTTTCCACCACAAACCACAAAGCCCTCCAAACGTCCACTTGCAGATTCTAGAAAAAGAGTGTTTCATAGCTGCTCTTTCCAAAGGAAAGTTCAACTCTTGGGAGTTGAATACAAACATCACCAAAAAGTTCCTGAGAATGCATCTGTCTAGTTTTTCTATGAAGCTATTCCCTTTACTACCATAGGCCTCAAAGCGCTCCAAATCTCCACTTGCACATTCCACAACAAGAGTGTTTCCAAACTGCTCTATCAATAGGAATGTTCAACTCTGTGAGGTGAATGCAATCATCACAAAGCAGTTTCTGAGAATGCTTCCGTTTAGTTAGGTGCAGTTATCCCGTTTCCAACGAAATCCTCAGAGAGGTCCAAATATCCACTTGTAGATTCTACAAAAAGTGTGTCTCAAACCTGCTCCATCCAAAGGAATGGTCAGCTCTGTGATTTAAACTCAATCATCACAAAGTATTTTCTGAGAATGCTTCTGTCTAGATTTTATGCGAAGATATACCCGTTTCGAACGAAGGCCACAGAGTGGTCCAAATAGCCACTTGCAGATCCTACAGAAAGAGTGTTTCAAACCTGAACTATCAAAGGAAGGTTCAACTCTGGGATTTGAATGCAAACATCACCAAGAAGTTTCTGAGAATGCTTCTGTTTAGTTTTTATGTGAAGATATTCCCGTTTCCAAAGACATCTTCGGAGAGGTCCACATATCCACTTGCAGATTCCACAAAAAGAGAGTTTCAACACTGCTCTATCCATAGGAGGGTTCAACTCTGTGAGTTGAATGCAATCATCACAGAGAAGTTTCTGAGAAGGCTTCTCTCCAGTTTTTATGTGACCATAATTCGTTTTCCACCACAGGCCTGAAAGCGCTCCAAATGTCCACTTGCAGACACTACAAAAAGCATGTTTCAGAACTACTCTATGAAAAGCAACGTGAAACTCTGGGAGTTGAACACAAACATCACAGAGAAGTTTCTGAGAATGCTTCTGTTTAGCTTTTCTGTGAAGATTCTCCCGTTTCCAACGAAATCTTCAAAGAGGTCCAAACATCCACTTGCAGATTCCACAGAAAGAGTGATTGGAAACTGCTCTTTGAAAAGGAACCTTCAACTCTGTGAGTTGAATGCAATCATCACAAAGAAGTTTCTGACAATGCTTCTGTCTAGCTTTTACGGGAAGATAATTCCTTTTCCACCACAGGCCTCAAAGCCCTCCAAATGTCCACTTGCAGATTCTGGAAAAAGAGTGTTTCAAAGCTTCTCTCTCGAAAGGAAAGTTCAACTCTGTGAGTTGAATGCAAGCATCACAAAGAAGTTTCTGAGAATGCTACTGTCTAGCTTTTATATGAAGCTATTTCCTTTACTACCATAGGCCTCAAAGCGGTCCATATCTCTACTTGCAGATTCTACACAAAGAGAGTTTCCAAACTGCTCTGTCAAAGGGAATGTTCAACTCTGTGACTTGAATGCAATCATCACAAAGTAGTTTCTGAGAATGCTTCTGTTTAGTTCTGTGCGGTTTATCCCGTTTCCAACGAAATCCTCAGAGAGGCCCAAATATCCACTTGCACATTCTACAAATAGTGTGTTTCGAAACTGCTCCATCCAAAGGAATGTTCAGCTCTGTGAGTTAAACTCAGTCGTCACCAAGAGTTTTTTCTGAATGCTTCTGTTTTAGTTCTGTGCGGGTTATCCCGTTTCCAACGAAATCCTCAGAGCGGTCCAAATATCTACTTGCAGTTTCTACAGAAAGACCGTTTCAAACCTGAACTATCAAAGAAAGGTTCAACACTGTTGAGTTGAATGCAAACATCACGAAGAAGGTTCTGAGATTGCTTCTGTTTAGTTCTGTGCGGTTTATCCCGTTTCCAACGAAATCCTCAGAGAGGACCAAATATCCACTTGCAGTTTCTACAAAAAGAGTGTTTCAAAGCTGAACTATCAAAGAAAGGTTCAGCACTGTGAGTTGAATGCAAACATCACGAAGAGGGTTCTGAGAATGCTTCTGTCTTCTTTTTATAGGAAGTTATTTCCTTTACTACGGTACTCCTCAAAGAGTGCAATTATCCCCTTGCAGTTTCTACAAAAAGAGTGTTTCAAACCTGAACTATCAAAGAAAGGTTCCACACTGTGAGTTGAATGCAGACATCACGAAGAAGGTTCTGAGAATGCTTCTGTTTAGTCAGCTGAAATTATCCCGTTTCCAACGAATTCCTCACAGAGGTCCAAATATGCACTTGCAGATTCTGCAGAAAGTGTGTTTCTAAACTGCTACATCGCAAGGAATGCTCAGCTCTGTGAGTTCAACTCAATCATCTCAAAGAATTTTCTGAGAAAGCTTCTGTCTAGATGTCATGTGAAGATATACCCGTTTCGAACGAAGGACACAGAGTGGTCCAAATATCCACTTGTAGATCCTGCAAAAAGAGTGTTTCAAACGTGAACTTTGAAAGGAAAGTTCAACTCGGGGATTTGAATGCAAACATCACAAAGAAGATTCTGAGACTGCTTCTGTGTAGTTTTTATGTGAAGATGATTCCGTTTCCAACGAAATCTTCAAAGAGGTCTACATGTCCCCTTGCAGATGCCACAGAAAGAGAGTTTCAAAACTGCGCTCTCAAAAGGAGTGTTCAACTCCGTGAGTTGAATGCAGTCATCACAGAGAAGCTTCTGAGGATGCTTCTATCTAGTATTTAGGTGAAGATATTTCCTTTTCCACCACAAACCACAAAGCCCTCCAAACGTCCACCTGCAGATTCTAGAAAAAGAGTGTTTCATAGCTGCTCTTTCCAAAGGAAAGTTCAACTCTGGGAGTTGAATACAAACATCACCAAAAAGTTCCTGAGAATGCATCTGTCTAGTTTTTCTATGAAGCTATTCCCTTTACTACCATAGGCCTCAAAGCGCTCCAAATCTCCACTTGCACATTCCACAACAAGAGTGTTTCCAAACTGCTCTATCAATAGGAATGTTCAACTCTGTGAGGTGAATGCAATCATCACAAAGCAGTTTCTGAGAATGCTTCCGTTTAGTTAGGTGCAGTTATCCCGTTTCCAACGAAATCCTCAGAGAGGTCCAAATATCCACTTGTAGATTCTACAAAAAGTGTGTCTCAAACCTGCTCCATCCAAAGGAATGTTCAGCTCTGTGAGTTAAACTCAATCATCACAAAGTATTTTCTGAGAATGCTTCTGTCTAGATTTTATGCGAAGATGTACCCGTTTCGAACGAAGGCCACAGAGTGGTCCAAATATCCACTTGCAGATCCTACAAAAAGAGTGTTTCAAACCTGAACTATCAAAGGAAGGTTCAACTCTGGGATTTGAATGCAAACATCACCAAGAAGTTTCTGAGAATGCTTCTGTTTAGTTTTTATGTGAAGATATTCCCGTTTCCAAAGACATCTTCGGAGAGGTCCACATATCCACTTGCAGATTCCACAAAAAGAGAGTTTCAACACTGCTCTATCCACAGGAGGGTTCAACTCTGTGAGTTGAATGCAATCATCACAGAGAAGTTTCTGAGAAGGCTTCTCTCCAGTTTTTATGTGACCATAATTCGTTTTCCACCACAGGCCTGAAAGCGCTCCAAATGTCCACTTGCAGACACTACGAAAAGCATGTTTCAGAACTACTCTATGAAAAGCAATGTGAAACTCTGGGAGTTGAACACAAACATCACAGAGAAGTTTCTGAGAATGCTTCTGTTTAGCTTTCCTGTGAAGATTCTCCCGTTTCCAACGAAATCTTCAAAATAGGTCCAAATATCCACTTGCAGATTCCACAGAAAGAGTGATTGGAAACTGCTCTTTGAAAAGGAACCTTCAACTCTGTGAGTTGAATGCAATCATCACAAAGAAGTTTCTGACAATGCTTTCTATCTAGCTTTTACGGGAAGATAATTCCTTTTCCACCACAGGCCTCAAAGCCCTCCAAATGTCCACTTGCAGATTCTGGAAAAAGAGTGTTTCAAAGCTTCTCTCTCGAAAGGAAAGTTCAACTCTGTGAGTTGAATGCAAGCATCACAAAGAAGTTTCTGAGAATGCTACTGTCTAGCTTTTATATGAAGCTATTTCCTTTACTACCATAGGCCTCAAAGCGGTCCATATCTCCACTTGCAGATTCTACACAAAGAGAGTTTCCAAACTGCTCTGTCAAAGGGAATGTTCAACTCTGTGACTTGAATGCAATCATCACAAAGTAGTTTCTGAGAATGCTTCTGTTTAGTTCTGTGCGGTTTATCCCGTTTCCAACGAAATCCTCAGAGAGGCCCAAATATCCACTTGCACATTCTACAAATAGTGTGTTTCGAAACTGCTCCATCCAAAGAAATGTTCAGCTCTGTGAGTTAAACTCAGTCGTCACCAAGAGTTTTCTGTGAATGCTTCTGTTTTAGTTCTGTGCTGTTTATCCCGTTTCCAACGAAATCCTCAGAGAGGTCCAAATATCTACTTGCAGTTTCTACAGAAAGACCGTTTCAAACCTGAACTATCAAAGAAAGGTTCAACACTGTGAGTTGAATGCAAACATCACGAAGAAGGTTCTGAGAATGCTTCTGTTTCGTTCTGTGCGTTTTATCCCGTTTCCAACGAAATCCTCAGAGAGGACCAAATATCCACTTGCAGTTTCTACAAAAAGAGTGTTTCAAAGCTGAACTATCAAAGAAAGGTTCAGCACTGTGAGTTGAATGCAAACATCACGAAGAGGGTTCTGAGAATGCTTCTGTCTTCTTTTTATAGGAAGTTATTTCCTTTACTACGGTACTCCTCAAAGAGTGCAATTATCCCCTTGCAGTTTCTACAAAAAGAGTTTTTAAAACCTGAACTATCAAAGAAAGGTTCCACACTTTGAGTTGAATGCAGACATCACGAAGAAGGTTCTGAGAATGCTTCTGTTTAGTCAGCTGAAATTATCCCGTTTCCAACGAATTCCTCAGAGAGGTCCACATATGCACTTGCAGATTCTGCAGAAAGTGTGTTTCTAAACTGCTACATCGCAAGGAATGCTCAGCTCTGTGAGTTCAACTCAATCATCCCAAAGAATTTTCTGAGAAAGCTTCTGTCTAGATGTCGTGTGAAGATATAGCCGTTTCGAACGAAGGACACAGAGTGGTCCAAATATCCACTTGTAGATCCTGCAAAAAGAGTGTTTCAAACGTGAACTTTGAAAGGAAAGTTCAACTCTGGGATTTGAATGCAAACATCACAAAGAAGATTCTGAGACTGCTTCTGTATAGTTTTTATGTGAAGATGATTCCGTTTCCAACGAAATCTTCAAAGAGGTCTACATGTCCCCTTGCAGATGCCACAGAAAGGGAGTTTCAAAACTGCGCTCTCAAAAGGAGTGTTCAACTCCGTGAGTTGAATGCAGTCATCACAGAGAAGCTTCTGAGAATGCTTCTATCTAGTATTTAGGTGAAGATATTTCTTTTTCCACCACAAACCACAAAGCCCTCCAAACGTCCACTTGCAGATTCTAGAAAAAGAGTGTTTCATAGCTGCTCTTTCCAAAGGAAAGTTCAACTCTGGGAGTTGAATACAAACATCACCAAAAAGTTCCTGAGAATGCATCTGTCTAGTTTTTCTATGAAGCTATTCCCTTTACTACCATAGGCCTCAAAGCGCTCCAAATCTCCACTTGCACATTCCACAACAAGAGTGTTTCCAAACTGCTCTATCAATAGGAATGTTCAACTCTGTGAGGTGAATGCAATCATCACAAAGCAGTTTCTGAGAATGCTTCCGTTTAGTTAGGTGCAGTTATCCCGTTTCCAACGAAATCCTCAGAGAGGTCCAAATATCCACTTGTAGATTCTACAAAAAGTGTGTCTCAAACCTGCTCCATCCAAAGGAATGTTCAGCTCTGTGATTTAAACTCAATCATCACAAAGTATTTTCTGAGAATGCTTCTGTCTAGATTTTATGCGAAGATATACCCGTTTCGAACGAAGGCCACAGAGTGGTCCAAATAGCCACTTGCAGATCCTACAAAAAGAGTGTTTCAAACCTGAACTATCAAAGGAAGGTTCAACTCTGGGATTTGAATGCAAACATCACCAAGAAGTTTCTGAGAATGCTTCTGTTTAGTTTTTATGTGAAGATATTCCCGTTTCCAAAGACATCTTCGGAGAGGTCCACATATCCACTTGCAGATTCCACAAAAAGAGAGTTTCAACACTGCTCTATCCATAGGAGGGTTCAACTCTGTGAGTTGAATGCAATCATCACAGAGAAGTTTCTGAGAAGGCTTCTCTCCAGTTTTTATGTGACCATAATTCGTTTTCCACCACAGGCCTGAAAGCGCTCCAAATGTCCACTTGCAGACACTACGAAAAGCATGTTTCAGAACTACTCTATGAAAAGCAACGTGAAACTCTGGGAGTTGAACACAAACATCACAGAGAAGTTTCTGAGAATGCTTCTGTTTTAGTTCTGTGCGTTTTATCCCGTTTCCAACGAAATCCTCAGAGAGGCCCAAATATCCACTTGCAGATTCCACAGAAAGAGTGATTGGAAACTGCTGTTTGAAAAGGAACCTTCAACTCTGTGAGTTGAATGCAATCATCACAAAGAAGTTTCTGACAATGCTTCTGTTTTAGTTCTGTGCGGTTTATCCCGTTTCCAACGAAATCCTCAGAGAGGACCAAACATCCACTTGCAGTTTCTACAAAAAGAGTGTTTCAAAGCTGCACTATCAAAGAAAGGTTCAGCACTGTGAGTTGAATGCAAACATCACGAAGAGGGCTCTGAGAATTCTTCTGTTTAGTTCTGTGCGGTTTATCCCGTTTCCAACGAAATCCTCAGAGAGGACCAAATATCCACTTGCAGTTTCTACAAGAAGAGTGTTTCAAAGCTGAACTATCAAAGAAAGGTTCAGCACTGTGAGTTGAATGCAAACATCACGAAGAGGGTTCTGAGAATGCTTCTGTCTTCTTTCTATAGGAAGTTATTTCCTTTACTACGGTAGGCCTCAAAGAAGTGCAATTATCCCCTTGCAGTTTCTACAAAAAGAGTGTTTCAAACCTGAACTATCAAAGAAAGGTTCCACACTGTGAGTTGAATGCAGACATCACCGAAGAAGGTTCTGAGAATGCTTCTGTTTAGTCAGCTGAAATTATCCCGTTTCCAACGAATTCCTCAGAGAGGTCCAAATATGCACTTGCAGATTCTGCAGAAAGTGTGTTTCTAAACTGCTACATCGCAAGGAATGTTCAGCTCTGTGAGTTCCACTCAATCATCCCAAAGAATTTTCTGAGAAAGCTTCTGTCTAGATGTCGTGTGAAGATATACCCGTTTCGAACGAAGGACACAGAGTGGTCCAAATATCCACTTGTAGATCCTGCAAAAAGAGTGTTTCAAACGTGAACTTTGAAAGGAAAGTTCAACTCTGGGATTTGAATGCAAACATCACAAAGAAGATTCTGAGACTGCTTCTGTATAGTTTTTATGTGAAGATGATTCCGTTTCCAACGAAATCTTCAAAGAGGTCTACATGTCCCCTTGCAGATGCCACAGAAAGAGAGTTTCAAAACTGCGCTCTCAAAAGGAGTGTTCAACTCCGTGAGTTGAATGCAGTCATCACAGAGAAGCTTCTGAGAATGCTTCTATCTAGTATTTAGGTGAAGATATTTCCTTTTCCACCACAAACCACAAAGCCCTCCAAACGTCCACTTGCAGATTCTAGAAAAAGAGTGTTTCATAGCTGCTCTTTCCAAAGGAAAGTTCAACTCTGGGAGTTGAATACAAACATCACCAAAAGGTTCCTGAGAATGCATCTGTCTAGTTTTTCTATGAAGCTATTCCCTTTACTACCATAGGCCTCAAAGCGCTCCAAATCTCCACTTGCACATTCCACAACAAGAGTGTTTCCAAACTGCTCTATCAATAGGAATGTTCAACTCTGTGAGGTGAATGCAATCATCACAAAGCAGTTTCTGAGAATGCTTCCGTTTAGTTAGGTGCAGTTATCCCGTTTCCAACGAAATCCTCAGAGAGGTCCAAATATCCACTTGTAGATTCTACAAAAAGTGTGTCTCAAACCTGCTCCATCCAAAGGAATGGTCAGCTCTGTGATTTAAACTCAATCATCACAAAGTATTTTCTGAGAATGCTTCTGTCTAGATTTTATGCGAAGATATACCCGTTTCGAACGAAGGCCACAGAGTGGTCCAAATAGCCACTTGCAGATCCTACAGAAAGAGTGTTTCAAACCTGAACTATCAAAGGAAGGTTCAACTCTGGGATTTGAATGCAAACATCACCAAGAAGTTTCTGAGAATGCTTCTGTTTAGTTTTTATGTGAAGATATTCCCGTTTCCAAAGACATCTTCGGAGAGGTCCACATATCCACTTGCAGATTCCACAAAAAGAGAGTTTCAACACTGCTCTATCCATAGGAGGGTTCAACTCTGTGAGTTGAATGCAATCATCACAGAGAAGTTTCTGAGAAGGCTTCTCTCCAGTTTTTATGTGACCATAATTCGTTTTCCACCACAGGCCTGAAAGCGCTCCAAATGTCCACTTGCAGACACTACGAAAAGCATGTTTCAGAACTACTCTATGAAAAGCAACGTGAAACTCTGGGAGTTGAACACAAACATCACAGAGAAGTTTCTGAGAATGCTTCTGTTTTAGTTCTGTGCGTTTTATCCCGTTTCCAACGAAATCCTCAGAGAGGCCCAAATATCCACTTGCAGATTCCACAGAAAGAGTGATTGGAAACTGCTGTTTGAAAAGGAACCTTCAACTCTGTGAGTTGAATGCAATCATCACAAAGAAGTTTCTGACAATGCTTCTGTTTTAGTTCTGTGCGGTTTATCCCGTTTCCAACGAAATCCTCAGAGAGGACCAAACATCCACTTGCAGTTTCTACAAAAAGAGTGTTTCAAAGCTGCACTATCAAAGAAAGGTTCAGCACTGTGAGTTGAATGCAAACATCACGAAGAGGGCTCTGAGAATTCTTCTGTTTAGTTCTGTGCGGTTTATCCCGTTTCCAACGAAATCCTCAGAGAGGACCAAATATCCACTTGCAGTTTCTACAAGAAGAGTGTTTCAAAGCTGAACTATCAAAGAAAGGTTCAGCACTGTGAGTTGAATGCAAACATCACGAAGAGGGTTCTGAGAATGCTTCTGTCTTCTTTCTATAGGAAGTTATTTCCTTTACTACGGTAGGCCTCAAAGAAGTGCAATTATCCCCTTGCAGTTTCTACAAAAAGAGTGTTTCAAACCTGAACTATCAAAGAAAGGTTCCACACTGTGAGTTGAATGCAGACATCACGAAGAAGGTTCTGAGAATGCTTCTGTTTAGTCAGCTGAAATTATCCCGTTTCCAACGAATTCCTCGGAGAGGTCCAAATATGCACTTGCAGATTCTGCAGAAAGTGTGTTTCTAAACTGCTACATCGCAAGGAATGTTCAGCTCTGTGAGTTCCACTCAATCATCCCAAAGAATTTTCTGAGAAAGCTTCTGTCTAGATGTCATGTGAAGATATACCCGTTTCGAACGAAGGACACAGAGTGGTCCAAATATCCACTTGTAGATCCTGCAAAAAGAGTGTTTCAAACGTGAACTTTGAAAGGAAAGTTCAACTCTGGGATTTGAATGCAAACATCACAAAGAAGATTCTGAGACTGCTTCTGTATAGTTTTGATGTGAAGATGATTCCGTTTCCAACGAAATCTTCAAAGAGGTCTACATGTCCCCTTGCAGATGCCACAGAAAGAGAGTTTCAAAACTGCGCTCTCAAAAGGAGTGTTCAACTCCGTGAGTTGAATGCAGTCATCACAGAGAAGCTTCTGAGAATGCTTCTATCTAGTATTGAGGTGAAGATATTTCCTTTTCCACCACAAACCACAAAGCCCTCCAAACGTCCACTTGCAGATTCTAGAAAAAGAGTGTTTCATAGCTGCTCTTTCCAAAGGAAAGTTCAACTCTGGGAGTTGAATACAAACATCACCAAAAAGTTCCTGAGAATGCATCTGTCTAGTTTTTCTATGAAGCTATTCCCTTTACTACCATAGGCCTCGAAGCGCTCCATATCTCCACTTGCACATTCCACAACAAGAGTGTCTCCAAACTGCTCTATCAATAGGATTGGTCAACTCTGTGAGGTGAATGCAATCATCACAAAGCAGTTTCTGAGAATGCTTCCGTTTAGTTCGGTGCAGTTATCCCGTTTCCAACGAAATCCTCAGAGAGGTCCAAATATCCACTTGTGGATTCTACAAAAAGTGTGTCTCAAGCCTGCTCCATCCAAAGGAATGTTCAGCTCTGTGAGTTAAACTCAATCATCACAAAGTATTTTCTGAGAATGCTTCTGTCTAGATTTTATGCGAAGATATACCCGTTTCGAACGAAGGCCACAGAGTGGTCCAAATAGCCACTTGCAGATCCTACAGAAAGAGTGTTTCAAACCTGAACTATCAAAGGAAGGTTCAACTCTGGGATTTGAATGCAAACATCACCAAGAAGTTTCGGAGAATGCTTCTGTTTAGTTTTTATGTGAAGATATTCCCGTTTCCAAAGACATCTTCGGAGAGGTCCACATATCCACTTGCAGATTCCACAAAAAGAGAGTTTCAACACTGCTCTATCCATAGGAGGGTTCAACTCTGTGAGTTGAATGCAATCATCACAGAGAAGTTTCTGAGAAGGCTTCTCTCCAGTTTTTATGTGACCATAATTCGTTTTCCACCACAGGCCTGAAAGCGCTCCAAATGTCCACTTGCAGACACTACGAAAAGCATGTTTCAGAACTACTCTATGAAAAGCAACGTGAAACTCTGGGAGTTGAACACAAACATCACAGAGAAGTTTCTGAGAATGCTTCTGTTTAGCTTTTCTGTGAAGATTATCCCGTTTCCAATGAAATCTTCAAAATAGGTCGAAATATCCACTTGCAGATTCCACAGAAAGAGTGATTGGAAACTGCTCTTTGAAAAGGAACCTTCAACTCTGTGAGTTGAATGCAATCATCACAAAGAAGTTTCTGACAATGCTTCTATCTAGCTTTTACGGGAAGATAATTCCTTTTCCACCACAGGCCTCAAAGCCCTCCAAATGTCCACTTGCAGATTCTGGAAAAAGAGTGTTTCAAAGCTTCTCTCTCGAAAGGAAAGTTCAACTCTGTGAGTTGAATGCAAGCATCACCAAGAAGTTTCTGAGAATGCTACTGTCTAGCTTTTATATGAAGCTATTTCCTTTACTACCATAGGCCTCAAAGCGGTCCATATCTCCACTTGCAGATTCTACACAAAGAGAGTTTCCAAACTGCTCTGTCAAAGGGAATGTTCAACTCTGTGACTTGAATGCAATCATCACAAAGTAGTTTCTGAGAATGTTTCTGTTTAGTTCTCTGCGGTTTATCCCGTTTCCAACGAAATCCTCAGAGAGGCCCCAATATCCACTTGCACATTCTACAAATAGTGTGTTTCGAAACTCCTCCATCCAAAGGAATGTTCAGCTCTGTGAGTTAAACTCAGTCGTCACCAAGAGTTTTCTGTGAATGCTTCTGTTTAGTTCTGTGCGGTTTATCCCGTTTCCAACGAAATCTTCAGAGAGGACCAAATATCCACTTGCAGTTTCTACAAGAAGAGTGTTTCAAAGCTGAACTATCAAAGAAAGGTTCAGCACTGTGAGTTGAATGCAAACATCACGAAGAAGGTTCTGAGAATGCTTCTGTCTTCTTTCTATAGGAAGTTATTTCCTTTACTACGGTAGGCCTCAAAGAAGTGCAATTATCCCCTTGCAGTTTCTACAAAAAGAGTGTTTCAAACCTGAACTATCAAAGAAAGGTTCCACACTGTGAGTTGAATGCAGACATCACGAAGAAGGTTCTGAGAATGCTTCTGTTTAGTCAGCTGAAATTATCCCGTTTCCAACGAATTCCTCAGAGAGGTCCAAATATGCACTTGCAGATTCTGCAGAAAGTGTGTTTCTAAACTGCTACATCGCAAGGAATGTTCAGCTCTGTGAGTTCCACTCAATCATCCCATAGAATTTTCTGAGAAAGCTTCTGTCTAGATGTCATGTGAAGATATACCCGTTTCGAACGAAGGACACAGAGTGGTCCAAATATCCACTTGTAGATCCTGCAAAAAGAGTGTTTCAAACGTGAACTTTGAAAGGAAAGTTCAACTCTGGGATTTGAATGCAAACACCACAAAGAAGATTCTGAGACTGCTTCTGTATAGTTTTGATGTGAAGATGATTCCGTTTCCAACGAAATCTTCAAAGAGGTCTACATGTCCCCTTGCAGATGCCACAGAAAGAGAGTTTCAAAACTGCGCTCTCAAAAGGAGTGTTCAACTCCGTGAGTTGAATGCAGTCATCACAGAGAAGCTTGCTGAGAATGCTTTCTATCTAGTATTTAGGTGAAGATATTTCCTTTTCCACCACAAACCACAAAGCCCTCCAAACGTCCACTTGCAGATTCTAGAAAAAGAGTGTTTCATAGCTGCTCTTTCCAAAGGAAAGTTCAACTCTGGGAGTTGAATACAAACATCACCAAAAAGTTCCTGAGAATGCATCTGTCTAGTTTTTCTATGAAGCTATTCCCTTTACTACCATAGGCCTCAAAGCGCTCCAAATCTCCACTTGCACATTCCACAACAAGAGTGTTTCCAAACTGCTCTATCAATAGGAATGTTCAACTCTGTGAGGTGAATGCAATCATCACAAAGCAGTTTCTGAGAATGCTTCCGTTTAGTTAGGTGCAGTTATCCCGTTTCCAACGAAATCCTCAGAGAGGTCCAAATATCCACTTGTAGATTCTACAAAAAGTGTGTCTCAAACCTGCTCCATCCAAAGGAATGTTCAGCTCTGTGAGTTAAACTCAATCATCACAAAGTATTTTCTGAGAATGCTTCTGTCTAGATTTTATGCGAAGATATACCCGTTTCGAACGAAGGCCACAGAGTGGTCCAAATATCCACTTGCAGATCCTACAAAAAGAGTGTTTCAAACCTGAACTATCAAAGGAAGGTTCAACTCTGGGATTTGAATGCAAACATCACCAAGAAGTTTCTGAGAATGCTTCTGTTTAGTTTTTATGTGAAGATATTCCCGTTTCCAAAGACATCTTCGGAGAGGTCCACATATCCACTTGCAGATTCCACAAAAAGAGAGTTTCAACACTGCTCTATCCATAGGGGGGTTCAACTCTGTGAGTTGAATGCAATCATCACAGAGAAGTTTCTGTGAAGGCTTCTCTCCAGTTTTTATGTGACCATAATTCGTTTTCCACCACAGGCCTGAAAGCGCTCCAAACGTCCACTTGCAGACACTACGAAAAGCATGTTTCAGAAGTACTCTATGAAAAGCAATGTGAAACTCTGGGAGTTGAATACAAACATCACAGAGAAGTTTCTGAGAAAGCTTCTGTTTAGCTTTTCTGTGAAGATTCTCCCGTTTCCAACGAAATCTTCAAAGAGGTCCAAACATCCACTTGCAGATTCCACAGAAAGAGTGATTGGAAACTGCTGTTTGAAAAGGAACCTTCAACTCTGTGAGTTGAATGCAATCATCACAAAGAAGTTTCTGAAAATGCTTCTATCTAGCTTTTACGGGAAGATAATTCCTTTTCCACCACAGGCCTCAAAGCCCTCCAAATGTCCACTTGCAGATTCTGGAAAAAGAGTGTTTCAAAGCTTCTCTCTCGAAAGGAAAGTTCAACTCTGTGAGTTGAATGCAAGCATCACAAAGAAGTTTCTGAGAATGCTACTGTCTAGCTTTTATATGAAGCTATTTCCTTTACTACCATAGTCCTCAAAGCATTCCATATCTCCACTTGCAGATTCTACACAAAGAGAGTTTCCAAACTGCTCTGTCAAAGGGAATGTTCAGCTCTGTGACTTGAATGCAATCATCACAAAGTAGTTTCTGAGAATGCTTCTGTTTTAGTTCTGTGCGGTTTATCCCGTTTCCATCGAAATCCTCAGAGAGGCCCAAATATCCACTTGCAGATTCTACAAATAGTGTGTTTCGAAACTGCTCAATCCAAAGGAATGTTCACCTCTGTGAGTTAAACTCAGTCGTCACCAAGAGTTTTCTGTGAATGCTTCTGTTTAGTTCTGTGCGGTTTATCCCTTTTCCAACGAAATCCTCAGAGAGGACCAAGTATCCACTTGCAGTTTCTACAAAAAGAGTGTTTCAAAGCTGAACTATCAAAGAAAGTTTCAGCACTGTGAGTTGAATGCAAACATCACGAAGAGGGTTCTGAGAATGCTTCTGTCTTCTTTTTATAGGAAGTTATTTCCTTTACTACGGTAGGCCTCAAAGAAGTGCAATTATCCCCTTGCAGTCTCTACAAAAAGAGTGTTTCAAACCTGAAGTATCAAAGAAATGTTCCACACTGTGAGTTGAATGCAGACATCACGAAGAAGGTTCTGAGAATGCTTCTGTTTAGTCAGCTGAAATTATCCCGTTTCCAACGAATTCCTCAGAGAGGTCCAAATATGCACTTGCAGATTCTGCAGAAAGTGTGTTTCTAAACTGCTCCATCGCAAGGAATGTTCAGCTCTGTGAGT
This sequence comes from Homo sapiens, assembly GCF_000001405.40. Lineage (NCBI taxonomy): Eukaryota > Metazoa > Chordata > Mammalia > Primates > Hominidae > Homo > Homo sapiens. The sequence goes on along the minus strand of NC_000017.11, from coordinate 23,941,384 downwards.
TCAACTCAATCATCCCAAAGAATTTTCTGAGAAAGCTTCTGTCTAGATGTCATGTGAAGATATACCCGTTTCGAACGAAGGACACAGAGTGGTCCAAATATCCACTTGTAGATCCTGCAAAAAGAGTGTTTCAAACGTGAACTTTGAAAGGAAAGTTCAACTCTGGGATTTGAATGCAAACATCACAAAGAAGATTCTGAGACTGCTTCTGTATAGTTTTTATGTGAAGATGATTCCGTTTCCAACGAAATCTTCAAAGAGGTCTACATGTCCCCTTGCAGATGCCACAGAAAGAGAGTTTCAAAACTGCGCTCTCAAAAGGAGTGTTCAACTCCGTGAGTTGAATGCAGTCATCACAGAGAAGCTTCTGAGAATGCTTCTATCTAGTATTTAGGTGAAGATATTTCCTTTTCCACCACAAACCACAAAGCCCTCCAAACGTCCACTTGCAGATTCTAGAAAAAGAGTGTTTCATAGCTGCTCTTTCCAAAGGAAAGTTCAACTCTGGGAGTTGAATACAAACATCACCAAAAAGTTCCTGAGAATGCATCTGTCTAGTTTTTCTATGAAGCTATTCCCTTTACTACCACAGGCCTCAAAGCGCTCCAAATCTCCACTTGCACATTCCACAACAAGAGTGTTTCCAAACTGCTCTATCAATAGGAATGTTCAACTCTGTGAGGTGAATGCAATCATCACAAAGCAGTTTCTGAGAATGCTTCCGTTTAGTTAGGTGCAGTTATCCCGTTTCCAACGAAATCCTCAGAGAGGTCCAAATATCCACTTGTAGATTCTACAAAAAGTGTGTCTCAAACCTGCTCCATCCAAAGGAATGGTCAGCTCTGTGATTTAAACTCAATCATCACAAAGTATTTTCTGAGAATGCTTCTGTCTAGATTTTATGCGAAGATATACCCGTTTCGAACGAAGGCCACAGAGTGGTCCAAATAGCCAATTGCAGATCCTACAAAAAGAGTGTTTCAAACCTGAACTATCAAAGGAAGGTTCAACTCTGGGATTTGAATGCAAACATCACCAAGAAGTTTCTGAGAATGCTTCTGTTTAGTTTTTATGTGAAGATATTCCCGTTTCCAAAGACATCTTCGGAGAGGTCCACATATCCACTTGCAGATTCCACAAAAAGAGAGTTTCAACACTGCTCTATCCATAGGAGGGTTCAACTCTGTGAGTTGAATGCAATCATCACAGAGAAGTTTCTGAGAAGGCTTCTCTCCAGTTTTTATGTGACCATAATTCGTTTTCCACCACAGGCCTGAAAGCGCTCCAAATGTCCACTTGCAGACACTACGAAAAGCATGTTTCAGAACTACTCTATGAAAAGCAACGTGAAACTCTGGGAGTTGAACACAAACATCACAGAGAAGTTTCTGAGAATGCTTCTGTTTTAGTTCTGTGCGTTTTATCCCGTTTCCAACGAAATCCTCAGAGAGGCCCAAATATCCACTTGCAGATTCCACAGAAAGAGTGATTGGAAACTGCTGTTTGAAAAGGAACCTTCAACTCTGTGAGTTGAATGCAATCATCACAAAGAAGTTTCTGACAATGCTTCTGTTTTAGTTCTGTGCGGTTTATCCCGTTTCCAACGAAATCCTCAGAGAGGACCAAACATCCACTTGCAGTTTCTACAAAAAGAGTGTTTCAAAGCTGCACTATCAAAGAAAGGTTCAGCACTGTGAGTTGAATGCAAACATCACGAAGAGGGCTCTGAGAATTCTTCTGTTTAGTTCTGTGCGGTTTATCCCGTTTCCAACGAAATCCTCAGAGAGGACCAAATATCCACTTGCAGTTTCTACAAGAAGAGTGTTTCAAAGCTGAACTATCAAAGAAAGGTTCAGCACTGTGAGTTGAATGCAAACATCACGAAGAGGGTTCTGAGAATGCTTCTGTCTTCTTTCTATAGGAAGTTATTTCCTTTACTACGGTAGGCCTCAAAGAAGTGCAATTATCCCCTTGCAGTTTCTACAAAAAGAGTGTTTCAAACCTGAACTATCAAAGAAAGGTTCCACACTGTGAGTTGAATGCAGACATCACGAAGAAGGTTCTGAGAATGCTTCTGTTTAGTCAGCTGAAATTATCCCGTTTCCAACGAATTCCTCAGAGAGGTCCAAATATGCACTTGCAGATTCTGCAGAAAGTGTGTTTCTAAACTGCTACATCGCAAGGAATGTTCAGCTCTGTGAGTTCCACTCAATCATCCCAAAGAATTTTCTGAGAAAGCTTCTGTCTAGCTGTCATGTGAAGATATACCCGTTTCGAACGAAGGACACAGAGTGGTCCAAATATCCACTTGTAGATCCTGCAAAAAGAGTGTTTCAAACGTGAACTTTGAAAGGAAAGTTCAACTCTGGGATTTGAATGCAAACATCACAAAGAAGATTCTGAGACTGCTTCTGTATAGTTTTTATGTGAAGATGATTCCGTTTCCAACGAAATCTTCAAAGAGGTCCACATGTCCCCTTGCGGATGCCACAGAAAGAGAGTTTCAAAACTGCGCTCTCAAAAGGAGTGTTCAACTCCGTGAGTTGAATGCAGTCATCACAGAGAAGCTTCTGAGAATGCTTCTATCTAGTATTTAGGTGAAGATATTTCCTTTTCCACCACAAACCACAAAGCCCTCCAAACGTCCACTTGCAGATTCTAGAAAAAGAGTGTTTCATAGCTGCTCTTTCCAAAGGAAAGTTCAACTCTGGGAGTTGAATACAAACATCACCAAAAAGTTCCTGAGAATGCATCTGTCTAGTTTTTCTATGAAGCTATTCCCTTTACTACCATAGGCCTCAAAGCGCTCCAAATCTCCACTTGCACATTCCACAACAAGAGTGTTTCCAAACTGCTCTATCAATAGGAATGTTCAACTCTGTGAGGTGAATGCAATCATCACAAAGCAGTTTCTGAGAATGCTTCCGTTTAGTTAGGTGCAGTTATCCCGTTTCCAACGAAATCCTCAGAGAGGTCCAAATATCCACTTGTAGATTCTACAAAAAGTGTGTCTCAAACCTGCTCCATCCAAAGGAATGGTCAGCTCTGTGATTTAAACTCAATCATCACAAAGTATTTTCTGAGAATGCTTCTGTCTAGATTTTATGCGAAGATATACCCGTTTCGAACGAAGGCCACAGAGTGGTCCAAATAGCCACTTGCAGATCCTACAGAAAGAGTGTTTCAAACCTGAACTATCAAAGGAAGGTTCAACTCTGGGATTTGAATGCAAACATCACCAAGAAGTTTCTGAGAATGCTTCTGTTTAGTTTTTATGTGAAGATATTCCCGTTTCCAAAGACATCTTCGGAGAGGTCCACATATCCACTTGCAGATTCCACAAAAAGAGAGTTTCAACACTGCTCTATCCATAGGAGGGTTCAACTCTGTGAGTTGAATGCAATCATCACAGAGAAGTTTCTGAGAAGGCTTCTCTCCAGTTTTTATGTGACCATAATTCGTTTTCCACCACAGGCCTGAAAGCGCTCCAAATGTCCACTTGCAGACACTACGAAAAGCATGTTTCAGAACTACTCTATGAAAAGCAACGTGAAACTCTGGGAGTTGAACACAAACATCACAGAGAAGTTTCTGAGAATGCTTCTGTTTTAGTTCTGTGCGTTTTATCCCGTTTCCAACGAAATCCTCAGAGAGGCCCAAATATCCACTTGCAGATTCCACAGAAAGAGTGATTGGAAACTGCTGTTTGAAAAGGAACCTTCAACTCTGTGAGTTGAATGCAATCATCACAAAGAAGTTTCTGACAATGCTTCTGTTTTAGTTCTGTGCGGTTTATCCCGTTTCCAACGAAATCCTCAGAGAGGACCAAACATCCACTTGCAGTTTCTACAAAAAGAGTGTTTCAAAGCTGCACTATCAAAGAAAGGTTCAGCACTGTGAGTTGAATGCAAACATCACGAAGAGGGCTCTGAGAATTCTTCTGTTTAGTTCTGTGCGGTTTATCCCGTTTCCAACGAAATCCTCAGAGAGGACCAAATATCCACTTGCAGTTTCTACAAGAAGAGTGTTTCAAAGCTGAACTATCAAAGAAAGGTTCAGCACTGTGAGTTGAATGCAAACATCACGAAGAGGGTTCTGAGAATGCTTCTGTCTTCTTTCTATAGGAAGTTATTTCCTTTACTACGGTAGGCCTCAAAGAAGTGCAATTATCCCCTTGCAGTTTCTACAAAAAGAGTGTTTCAAACCTGAACTATCAAAGAAAGGTTCCACACTGTGAGTTGAATGCAGACATCACGAAGAAGGTTCTGAGAATGCTTCTGTTTAGTCAGCTGAAATTATCCCGTTTCCAACGAATTCCTCAGAGAGGTCCAAATATGCACTTGCAGATTCTGCAGAAAGTGTGTTTCTAAACTGCTACATCGCAAGGAATGTTCAGCTCTGTGAGTTCCACTCAATCATCCCAAAGAATTTTCTGAGAAAGCTTCTGTCTAGATGTCGTGTGAAGATATACCCGTTTCGAACGAAGGACACAGAGTGGTCCAAATATCCACTTGTAGATCCTGCAAAAAGAGTGTTTCAAACGTGAACTTTGAAAGGAAAGTTCAACTCTGGGATTTGAATGCAAACATCACAAAGAAGATTCTGAGACTGCTTCTGTATAGTTTTTATGTGAAGATGATTCCGTTTCCAACGAAATCTTCAAAGAGGTCTACATGTCCCCTTGCAGATGCCACAGAAAGAGAGTTTCAAAACTGCGCTCTCAAAAGGAGTGTTCAACTCCGTGAGTTGAATGCAGTCATCACAGAGAAGCTTCTGAGAATGCTTCTGTCTAGTATTTAGGTGAAGATATTTCCTTTTCCACCACAAACCACAAAGCCCTCCAAACGTCCACTTGCAGATTCTAGAAAAAGAGTGTTTCATAGCTGCTCTTTCCAAAGGAAAGTTCAACTCTGGGAGTTGAATACAAACATCACCAAAAAGTTCCTGAGAATGCATCTGTCTAGTTTTTCTATGAAGCTATTCCCTTTACTACCATAGGCCTCAAAGCGCTCCAAATCTCCACTTGCACATTCCACAACAAGAGTGTTTCCAAACTGCTCTATCAATAGTAATGTTCAACTCTGTGAGGTGAATGCAATCATCACAAAGCAGTTTCTGAGAATGCTTCCGTTTAGTTAGGTGCAGTTATCCCGTTTCCAACGAAATCCTCAGAGAGGTCCAAATATCCACTTGTAGATTCTACAAAAAGTGTGTCTCAAACCTGCTCCATCCAAAGGAATGTTCAGCTCTGTGATTTAAACTCAATCATCACAAAGTATTTTCTGAGAATGCTTCTGTCTAGATTTTATGCGAAGATGTACCCGTTTCGAACGAAGGCCACAGAGTGGTCCAAATATCCACTTGCAGATCCTACAAAAAGAGTGTTTCAAACCTGAACTCTCAAAAGAAGGTTCAACTTTGGGATTTGAATGCAAACATCACCAAGAAGTTTCTGAGAATGCTTCTGTTTAGTTTTTATGTGAAGATAGTCCCGTTTCCAAAGACATCTTCGGAGAGGTCCACATATACACTTGCAGATTCCACAAAAAGAGAGTTTCAACACTGCTCTATCCATAGGGAGGGTTCAACTCTGTGAGTTGAATGCAATCATCACAGAGAAGTTTCTGAGAAGGCTTCTCTCCAGTTTTTATGTGACCATAATTCGTTTTCCACCACAGGCCTGAAAGCGCTCCAAATGTCCCCTTGCAGGCACTACGAAAAGCATGTTTCAGAACTACTCTATGAGAAGCAATGTGACACTCTGGGAGTTGAACACAAACATCACAGAGAAGTTTCTGAGAATGCTTCTGTTTAGCTTTTCTGTGAAGATTATCCCTTTCCCAACGAAATCTTCAAAGAGGTCCAAATATCCACTTGCAGATTCCACAGAAAGAGTGTTTGGAAACTGCTGTTTGAAAAGCAACCTTCAACTCTGTGAGTTGAATGCAATCATCACAAAGAAGTTTCTGACAATGCTTCTATCTAGCTTTTACGGGAAGATAATTCCTTTTCCACCACAGGCCTCAAAGCCCTCCAAATGTCCACTTGCAGATTCTGGAAAAAGAGTGTTTCAAAGCTTCTCTCTCGAAAGGAAAGTTCAACTCTGTGAGTTGAATGCAAGCATCACAAAGAAGTTTCTGAGAATGCTACTGTATAGCTTGTCTATGAAGCTATTTCCTTTACTACCATAGTCCTCAAAGCATTCCATATCTGCACTTGCAGATTCTACACAAAGAGAGTTTCCAAACTGCTCTGTCAAAGGGAATGTTCAGCTCTGTGACTTGAATGCAATCATCACAAAGTAGTTTCTGAGAATGCTTCTGTTTTAGTTCTGTGCGGTTTATCCCGTTTCCAACGAAATCCTCAGAGAGGCCCAAATATCCACTTGCACATTCTACAAAGAGTGTGTTTCGAAACTGCTCCATCCAAAGGAATGTTCAGCTCTGTGAGTTAAACACAGTCGTCACCAAGTGTTTTCTGTGAATGCTTCTGTTTAGTTCTGTGCGGTTTATGCCGTTTCCAACGAAATCCTCAGAGAGGATCAAATATCCACTTGCAGTTTCTACAAAAAGAGTGTTTCAAAGCTGAACTATCAAAGAAAGGTTCAGCACTGTGAGTTGAATGCAAACATCACGAAGAGGGTTCTGAGAATGCTTCTGTCTTCTTTTTATAGGAAGTTATTTCCATTACTACGGTGGGCCTCAAAGAAGTGCAATTATCCCCTTGCAGTTTCCACAAAAAGAGTGTTTCAAACCTGAACTATCAAAGAAAGGTTCCACACTGTGAGTTGCATGCAGACATCACGAAGAAGGTACTGAGAATGCTTCTGTTTAGTCAGCTGAAATTATCCCGTTTCCAACGAATTCCTCAGAGAGGTCCACATATGCACTTGCAGATTCTGCAGAAAGTGTGTTTCTAAACTGCTACATCGCAAGGAGTGTTCAGCTCTGTTTGCTGAACTCAATCATCCCAAAGAATTTTCTGAGAAAGCTTCTGTCTAGATGTCATGTGAAGATATACCCGTTTCGAACGAAGGACACAGAGTGGTCCAAATATCCACTTGTAGATCCTGCAAAAAGAGTGTTTCAAACGTGAACTTTGAAAGGAAAGTTCAACTCTGGGATTTGAATGCAAACATCACAAAAAAGATGCTGAGACTGCTTCTGTATAGTTTTTATGTGAAGATGATTCCGTTTCCAACGAAATCTTCAAAGAGGTCTACATGTCCCCTTGCAGATGCCACAGAAAGAGAGTTTCAAAACTGCGCTCTCAAAAGGAGTGTTCAACTCCGTGAGTTGAATGCAGTCATCACAGAGAAGCTTCTGAGAATGCTTCTATGTAGTATTTACGTGAAGATATTTCCTTTTCCACCACAAACCACAAAGCCCTCCAAACGTCCACTTGCAGATTCTAGAAAAAGAGTGTTTCATAGCTGCTCTTTCCAAAGGAAAGTTCAACTCTGGGAGTTGAATACAAACATCACCAAAAAGTTCCTGAGAATGCATCTGTCTAGTTTTTCTATGAAGTTATTCCCTTTACTACCATAGGCCTCAAAGCGCTCCAAATCTCCACTTGCACATTCCACAACAGGAGTGTTTCCAAACTGCTCTATCAATAGGAATGTTCAACTCTGTGAGGTGAATGCAATCATCACAAAGCAGTTTCTGAGAATGCTTCCGTTTAGTTAGGTGCAGTTATCCCGTTTCCAACGAAATCCTCAGAGAGGTCCAAATATCCACTTGTAGCTTCTACAAAAAGTGTGTCTCAAACCTGCTCCATCCAAAGGAATGTTCAGCTCTGTGATTTAAACTCAATCATCACAAAGTATTTTCTGAGAATGCTTCTGTCTAGATTTTATGCGAAGATATACCCGTTTCGAACGAAGGCCACAGAGTGGTCCAAATAGCCACTTGCAGATCCTACAAAAAGAGTGTTTCAAACCTGAACTATCAAAGGAAGGTTCAACTCTGGGATTTGAATGCAAACATCACCAAGAAGTTTCTGAGAATGCTTCTGTTTAGTTTTTATGTGAAGATATTCCCGTTTCCAAAGACATCTTCGGAGAGGTCCACATATCCACTTGCAGATTCCACAAAAAGAGAGTTTCAACACTGCTCTATCCATAGGAGGGTTCAACTCTGTGAGTTGAATGCAATCATCACAGAGAAGTTTCTGAGAAGGCTTCTCTCCAGTTTTTATGTGACCATAATTCGTTTTCCACCACAGGCCTGAAAGCGCTCCAAATGTCCACTTGCAGACACTACGAAAAGCATGTTTCAGAACTACTCTATGAAAAGCAACGTGAAACTCTGGGAGTTGAACACAAACATCACAGAGAAGTTTCTGAGAATGCTTCTGTTTTAGTTCTGTGCGTTTTATCCCGTTTCCAACGAAATCCTCAGAGAGGCCCAAATATCCACTTGCAGATTCCACAGAAAGAGTGATTGGAAACTGCTGTTTGAAAAGGAACCTTCAACTCTGTGAGTTGAATGCAATCATCACAAAGAAGTTTCTGACAATGCTTCTGTTTTAGTTCTGTGCGGTTTATCCCGTTTCCAACGAAATCCTCAGAGAGGACCAAACATCCACTTGCAGTTTCTACAAAAAGAGTGTTTCAAAGCTGCACTATCAAAGAAAAGTTCAGCACTGTGAGTTGAATGCAAACATCACGAAGAGGGCTCTGAGAATTCTTCTGTTTAGTTCTGTGCGGTTTATCCCGTTTCCAACGAAATCCTCAGAGAGGACCAAATATCCACTTGCAGTTTCTACAAGAAGAGTGTTTCAAAGCTGAACTATCAAAGAAAGGTTCAGCACTGTGAGTTGAATGCAAACATCACGAAGAGGGTTCTGAGAATGCTTCTGTCTTCTTTCTATAGGAAGTTATTTCCTTTACTACGGTAGGCCTCAAAGAAGTGCAATTATCCCCTTGCAGTTTCTACAAAAAGAGTGTTTCAAACCTGAACTATCAAAGAAAGGTTCCACACTGTGAGTTGAATGCAGACATCACGAAGAAGGTTCTGAGAATGCTTCTGTTTAGTCAGCTGAAATTATCCCGTTTCCAACGAATTCCTCAGAGAGGTCCAAATATGCACTTGCAGATTCTGCAGAAAGTGTGTTTCTAAACTGCTACATCGCAAGGAATGTTCAGCTCTGTGAGTTCCACTCAATCATCCCAAAGAATTTTCTGAGAAAGCTTCTGTCTAGATGTCGTGTGAAGATATACCCGTTTCGAACGAAGGACACAGAGTGGTCCAAATATCCACTTGTAGATCCTGCAAAAAGAGTGTTTCAAACGTGAACTTTGAAAGGAAAGTTCAACTCTGGGATTTGAATGCAAACATCACAAAGAAGATTCTGAGACTGCTTCTGTATAGTTTTTATGTGAAGATGATTCCGTTTCCAACGAAATCTTCAAAGAGGTCTACATGTCCCCTTGCAGATGCCACAGAAAGAGAGTTTCAAAACTGCGCTCTCAAAAGGAGTGTTCAACTCCGTGAGTTGAATGCAGTCATCACAGAGAAGCTTCTGAGAATGCTTCTATCTAGTATTTAGGTGAAGATATTTCCTTTTCCACCACAAACCACAAAGCCCTCCAAACGTCCACTTGCAGATTCTAGAAAAAGAGTGTTTCATAGCTGCTCTTTCCAAAGGAAAGTTCAACTCTGGGAGTTGAATACAAACATCACCAAAAAGTTCCTGAGAATGCATCTGTCTAGTTTTTCTATGAAGCTATTCCCTTTACTACCATAGGCCTCAAAGCGCTCCAAATCTCCACTTGCACATTCCACAACAAGAGTGTTTCCAAACTGCTCTATCAATAGGAATGTTCAACTCTGTGAGGTGAATGCAATCATCACAAAGCAGTTTCTGAGAATGCTTCCGTTTAGTTAGGTGCAGTTATCCCGTTTCCAACGAAATCCTCAGAGAGGTCCAAATATCCACTTGTAGATTCTACAAAAAGTGTGTCTCAAACCTGCTCCATCCAAAGGAATGTTCAGCTCTGTGAGTTAAACTCAATCATCACAAAGTATTTTCTGAGAATGCTTCTGTCTAGATTTTATGCGAAGATATACCCGTTTCGAACGAAGGCCACAGAGTGGTCCAAATATCCACTTGCAGATCCTACAAAAAGAGTGTTTCAAACCTGAACTATCAAAGGAAGGTTCAACTCTGGGATTTGAATGCAAACATCACCAAGAAGTTTCTGAGAATGCTTCTGTTTAGTTTTTATGTGAAGATATTCCCGTTTCCAAAGACATCTTCAGAGAGGTCCACATATCCACTTGCAGATTCCACAAAAAGAGAGTTTCAACAATGCTCTATCCATAGGAGGGTTCAAATCTGTGAGTTGAATGCAATCATCACAGAGAAGTTTCTGTGAAGGCTTCTTTCCAGTTTTTATGGGACCATAATTCGTTTTGCACCACAGGCCTGAAAGCGCTCCAAATGTCCACTTGCAGACACTACGAAAAGCATGTTTCAGAACTACTCTATGAAAAGCAATGTGAAACTCTGGGAGTTGAACACAAACATCACAGAGAAGTTTCTGAGAATGCTTCTGTTTAGCTTTTCTGTGAAGATTCTCCCGTTTCCAACGAAATCTTCAAAGAGATCCAAATATCCACTTGCAGATTCCACAGAAAGAGTGTTTGGAAACTGCTGTTTGAAAAGGAACCTTCATCTCTGTGAGTTGAATGCAATCATCACAAAGAAGTTTCTGACAATGCTTCTATCTAGCTTTTACGGGAAGTTAATTCCTTTTCTACCACAGGCCTCAAAGCCCTCCAAATGTCCACTTGCAGATTCTGGAAAAAGAGTGTTTCAAAGCTTCTCTCTCGAAAGGAAAGTTCAACTCTGTGAGTTGAATGCAAGCATCACAAAGAAGTTTCTGAGAATGCTACTGTCTAGCTTTTATATGAAGCTATTTCCTTTACTACCACAGGCCTCAAAGCGGTCCATATCTCCACTTGCAGATTCTACAGAAAGAGAGTTTCCAAACTGCTCTGTCAAAGGGAATGTTCAACTCTGTGACTTGAATGCAATCATCACAAAGTAGTTTCTGAGAATGCTTCTGTTTAGTTCTGTGCGGTTTATCCCGTTTCCAACGAAATCCTCAGAGAGGCCCAAATATCCACTTGCACATTCTACAAATAGTGTGTTTCGAAACTGCTCCATCCAAAGGAATGTTCAGCTCTGTGAGTTAAACTCAGTCGTCACCAAGAGTTTTCTGTGAATGCTTCTGTTTTAGTTCTGTGCGGTTTATCCCGTTTCCAACGAAATCCTCAGAGAGGTCCAAATATCTACTTGCAGTTTCTACAGAAAGACCGTTTCAAACCTGAACTATCAAAGAAAGGTTCAACACTGTGAGTTGAATGCAAACATCACGAAGAAGGTTCTGAGAATGCTTCTGTTTAGTTCTGTGCAGTTTATCCCGTTTCCAACGAAATCCTCAGAGAGGACCAAATATCCACTTGCAGTTTCTACAAAAAGAGTGTTTCAAAGCTGAACTATCAAAGAAAGGTTCAGCACTGTGAGTTGAATGCAAACATCACGAAGAGGGTTCTGAGAATGCTTCTGTCTTCTTTTTAGAGGAAGTTATTTCCTTTACTACGGTACTCCTCAAAGAGTGCAATTATCCCCTTGCAGTTTCTACAAAAAGAGTGTTTCAAACCTGAACTATCAAAGAAAGGTTCCACACTGTGAGTTGAATGCAGACATCACGAAGAAGGTTCTGAGAATGCTTCTGTTTAGTCAGCTGAAATTATCCCGTTTCCAACGAATTCCTCACAGAGGTCCAAATATGCACTTGCAGATTCTGCAGAAAGTGTGTTTCTAAACTGCTACATCGCAAGGAATGCTCAGCTCTGTGAGTTCAACTCAATCATCCCAAAGAATTTTCTGAGAAAGCTTCTGTCTAGATGTCATGTGAAGTTTATACCCGTTTCGAACGAAGGACACAGAGTGGTCCAAATATCCACTTGTAGATCCTGCAAAAAGAGTGTTTCAAACGTGAACTTTGAAAGGAAAGTTCAATTCTGGGATTTGAATGCAAACATCACAAAGAAGATTCTGAGACTGCTTCTGTATACTTTTTATGTGAAGATGATTCCGTTTCCAACGAAATCTTCAAAGAGGTCTACATGTCCCCTTGCAGATGCCACAGAAAGAGAGTTTCAAAACTGCGCTCTCAAAAGGAGTGTTCAACTCCGTGAGTTGAATGCAGTCATCACAGAGAAGCTTTCTGAGAATGCTTCTATCTAGTATTTAGGTGAAGATATTTCCTTTTCCACCACAAACCACAAAGCCCTCCAAACGTCCACTTGCAGATTCTAGAAAAAGAGTGTTTCATAGCTGCTCTTTCCAAAGGAAAGTTCAACTCTGGGAGTTGAATACAAACATCACCAAAAGGTTCCTGAGAATGCATCTGTCTAGTTTTTCTATGAAGCTATTCCCTTTACTACCATAGACCTCAAAGCGCTCCAAATCTCCACTTGCACATTCCACAACAAGAGTGTTTCCAAACTGCTCTATCAATAGGAATGTTCAACTCTGTGAGGTGAATGCAATCATCACAAAGCAGTTTCTGAGAATGCTTCCGTTTAGTTAGGTGCAGTTATCCCGTTTCCAACGAAATCCTCAGAGAGGTCCAAATATCCACTTGTAGATTCTACAAAAAGTGTGTCTCAAACCTGCTCCATCCAAAGGAATGGTCAGCTCTGTGATTTAAACTCAATCATCACAAAGTATTTTCTGAGAATGCTTCTGTCTAGATTTTATGCGAAGATATACCCGTTTCGAACGAAGGCCACAGAGTGGTCCAAATAGCCACTTGCAGATCCTACAGAAAGAGTGTTTCAAACCTGAACTATCAAAGGAAGGTTCAACTCTGGGATTTGAATGCAAACATCACCAAGAAGTTTCTGAGAATGCTTCTGTTTAGTTTTTATGTGAAGATATTCCCGTTTCCAAAGACATCTTCGGAGAGGTCCACATATCCACTTGCAGATTCCACAAAAAGAGAGTTTCAACACTGCTCTATCCATAGGAGGGTTCAACTCTGTGAGTTGAATGCAATCATCACAGAGAAGTTTCTGAGAAGGCTTCTCTCCAGTTTTTATGTGACCATAATTCGTTTTCCACCACAGGCCTGAAAGCGCTCCAAATGTCCACTTGCAGACACTACGAAAAGCATGTTTCAGAACTACTCTATGAAAAGCAACGTGAAACTCTGGGAGTTGAACACAAACATCACAGAGAAGTTTCTGAGAATGCTTCTGTTTTAGTTCTGTGCGTTTTATCCCGTTTCCAACGAAATCCTCAGAGAGGCCCAAATATCCACTTGCAGATTCCACAGAAAGAGTGATTGGAAACTGCTGTTTGAAAAGGAACCTTCAACTCTGTGAGTTGAATGCAATCATCACAAAGAAGTTTCTGACAATGCTTCTGTTTTAGTTCTGTGCGGTTTATCCCGTTTCCAACGAAATCCTCAGAGAGGACCAAACATCCACTTGCAGTTTCTACAAAAAGAGTGTTTCAAAGCTGCACTATCAAAGAAAGGTTCAGCACTGTGAGTTGAATGCAAACATCACGAAGAGGGCTCTGAGAATTCTTCTGTTTAGTTCTGTGCGGTTTATCCCGTTTCCAACGAAATCCTCAGAGAGGACCAAATATCCACTTGCAGTTTCTACAAGAAGAGTGTTTCAAAGCTGAACTATCAAAGAAAGGTTCAGCACTGTGAGTTGAATGCAAACATCACGAAGAGGGTTCTGAGAATGCTTCTGTCTTCTTTCTACAGGAAGTTATTTCCTTTACTACGGTAGGCCTCAAAGAAGTGCAATTATCCCCTTGCAGTTTCTACAAAAAGAGTGTTTCAAACCTGAACTATCAAAGAAAGGTTCCACACTGTGAGTTGAATGCAGACATCACGAAGAAGGTTCTGAGAATGCTTCTGTTTAGTCAGCTGAAATTATCCCGTTTCCAACGAATTCCTCAGAGAGGTCCAAATATGCACTTGCAGATTCTGCAGAAAGTGTGTTTCTAAACTGCTACATCGCAAGGAATGTTCAGCTCTGTGAGTTCCACTCAATCATCCCAAAGAATTTTCTGAGAAAGCTTCTGTCTAGATGTCGTGTGAAGATATACCCGTTTCGAACGAAGGACACAGAGTGGTCCAAATATCCACTTGTAGATCCTGCAAAAAGAGTGTTTCAAACGTGAACTTTGAAAGGAAAGTTCAACTCTGGGATTTGAATGCAAACATCACAAAGAAGATTCTGAGACTGCTTCTGTATAGTTTTTATGTGAAGATGATTCCGTTTCCAACGAAATCTTCAAAGAGGTCTACATGTCCCCTTGCAGATGCCACAGAAAGAGAGTTTCAAAACTGCGCTCTCAAAAGGAGTGTTCAACTCCGTGAGTTGAATGCAGTCATCACAGAGAAGCTTCTGAGAATGCTTCTATCTAGTATTTAGGTGAAGATATTTCCTTTTCCACCACAAACCACAAAGCCCTCCAAACGTCCACTTGCAGATTCTAGAAAAAGAGTGTTTCATAGCTGCTCTTTCCAAAGGAAAGTTCAACTCTGGGAGTTGAATACAAACATCACCAAAAAGTTCCTGAGAATGCATCTGTCTAGTTTTTCTATGAAGCTATTCCCTTTACTACCACAGGCCTCAAAGCGCTCCAAATCTCCACTTGCACATTCCACAACAAGAGTGTTTCCAAACTGCTCTATCAATAGGAATGTTCAACTCTGTGAGGTGAATGCAATCATCACAAAGCAGTTTCTGAGAATGCTTCCGTTTAGTTAGGTGCAGTTATCCCGTTTCCAACGAAATCCTCAGAGAGGTCCAAATATCCACTTGTAGATTCTACAAAAAGTGTGTCTCAAACCTGCTCCATCCAAAGGAATGGTCAGCTCTGTGATTTAAACTCAATCATCACAAAGTATTTTCTGAGAATGCTTCTGTCTAGATTTTATGCGAAGATATACCCGTTTCGAACGAAGGCCACAGAGTGGTCCAAATAGCCACTTGCAGATCCTACAGAAAGAGTGTTTCAAACCTGAACTATCAAAGGAAGGTTCAACTCTGGGATTTGAATGCAAACATCACCAAGAAGTTTCTGAGAATGCTTCTGTTTAGTTTTTATGTGAAGATATTCCCGTTTCCAAAGACATCTTCGGAGAGGTCCACATATCCACTTGCAGATTCCACAAAAAGAGAGTTTCAACACTGCTCTATCCATAGGAGGGTTCAACTCTGTGAGTTGAATGCAATCATCACAGAGAAGTTTCTGAGAAGGCTTCTCTCCAGTTTTTATGTGACCATAATTCGTTTTCCACCACAGGCCTGAAAGCGCTCCAAATGTCCACTTGCAGACACTACGAAAAGCATGTTTCAGAACTACTCTATGAAAAGCAACGTGAAACTCTGGGAGTTGAACACAAACATCACAGAGAAGTTTCTGAGAATGCTTCTGTTTTAGTTCTGTGCGTTTTATCCCGTTTCCAACGAAATCCTCAGAGAGGCCCAAATATCCACTTGCAGATTCCACAGAAAGAGTGATTGGAAACTGCTGTTTGAAAAGGAACCTTCAACTCTGTGAGTTGAATGCAATCATCACAAAGAAGTTTCTGACAATGCTTCTGTTTTAGTTCTGTGCGGTTTATCCCGTTTCCAACGAAATCCTCAGAGAGGACCAAACATCCACTTGCAGTTTCTACAAAAAGAGTGTTTCAAAGCTGCACTATCAAAGAAAGGTTCAGCACTGTGAGTTGAATGCAAACATCACGAAGAGGGCTCTGAGAATTCTTCTGTTTAGTTCTGTGCGGTTTATCCCGTTTCCAACGAAATCCTCAGAGAGGACCAAATATCCACTTGCAGTTTCTACAAGAAGAGTGTTTCAAAGCTGAACTATCAAAGAAAGGTTCAGCACTGTGAGTTGAATGCAAACATCACGAAGAGGGTTCTGAGAATGCTTCTGTCTTCTTTCTATAGGAAGTTATTTCCTTTACTACGGTAGGCCTCAAAGAAGTGCAATTATCCCCTTGCAGTTTCTACAAAAAGAGTGTTTCAAACCTGAACTATCAAAGAAAGGTTCCACACTGTGAGTTGAATGCAGACATCACGAAGAAGGTTCTGAGAATGCTTCTGTTTAGTCAGCTGAAATTATCCCGTTTCCAACGAATTCCTCAGAGAGGTCCAAATATGCACTTGCAGATTCTGCAGAAAGTGTGTTTCTAAACTGCTACATCGCAAGGAATGTTCAGCTCTGTGAGTTCCACTCAATCATCCCAAAGAATTTTCTGAGAAAGCTTCTGTCTAGATGTCGTGTGAAGATATACCCGTTTCGAACGAAGGACACAGAGTGGTCCAAATATCCACTTGTAGATCCTGCAAAAAGAGTGTTTCAAACGTGAACTTTGAAAGGAAAGTTCAACTCTGGGATTTGAATGCAAACATCACAAAGAAGATTCTGAGACTGCTTCTGTATAGTTTTTATGTGAAGATGATTCCGTTTCCAACGAAATCTTCAAAGAGGTCTACATGTCCCCTTGCAGATGCCACAGAAAGAGAGTTTCAAAACTGCGCTCTCAAAAGGAGTGTTCAACTCCGTGAGTTGAATGCAGTCATCACAGAGAAGCTTCTGAGAATGCTTCTATCTAGTATTTAGGTGAAGATATTTCCTTTTCCACCACAAACCACAAAGCCCTCCAAACGTCCACTTGCAGATTCTAGAAAAAGAGTGTTTCATAGCTGCTCTTTCCAAAGGAAAGTTCAACTCTGGGAGTTGAATACAAACATCACCAAAAAGTTCCTGAGAATGCATCTGTCTAGTTTTTCTATGAAGCTATTCCCTTTACTACCACAGGCCTCAAAGCGCTCCAAATCTCCACTTGCACATTCCACAACAAGAGTGTTTCCAAACTGCTCTATCAATAGGAATGTTCAACTCTGTGAGGTGAATGCAATCATCACAAAGCAGTTTCTGAGAATGCTTCCGTTTAGTTAGGTGCAGTTATCCCGTTTCCAACGAAATCCTCAGAGAGGTCCAAATATCCACTTGTAGATTCTACAAAAAGTGTGTCTCAAACCTGCTCCATCCAAAGGAATGGTCAGCTCTGTGATTTAAACTCAATCATCACAAAGTATTTTCTGAGAATGCTTCTGTCTAGATTTTATGCGAAGATATACCCGTTTCGAACGAAGGCCACAGAGTGGTCCAAATAGCCACTTGCAGATCCTACAGAAAGAGTGTTTCAAACCTGAACTATCAAAGGAAGGTTCAACTCTGGGATTTGAATGCAAACATCACCAAGAAGTTTCTGAGAATGCTTCTGTTTAGTTTTTATGTGAAGATATTCCCGTTTCCAAAGACATCTTCGGAGAGGTCCACATATCCACTTGCAGATTCCACAAAAAGAGAGTTTCAACACTGCTCTATCCATAGGAGGGTTCAACTCTGTGAGTTGAATGCAATCATCACAGAGAAGTTTCTGAGAAGGCTTCTCTCCAGTTTTTATGTGACCATAATTCGTTTTCCACCACAGGCCTGAAAGCGCTCCAAATGTCCACTTGCAGACACTACGAAAAGCATGTTTCAGAACTACTCTATGAAAAGCAACGTGAAACTCTGGGAGTTGAACACAAACATCACAGAGAAGTTTCTGAGAATGCTTCTGTTTTAGTTCTGTGCGTTTTATCCCGTTTCCAACGAAATCCTCAGAGAGGCCCAAATATCCACTTGCAGATTCCACAGAAAGAGTGATTGGAAACTGCTGTTTGAAAAGGAACCTTCAACTCTGTGAGTTGAATGCAATCATCACAAAGAAGTTTCTGACAATGCTTCTGTTTTAGTTCTGTGCGGTTTATCCCGTTTCCAACGAAATCCTCAGAGAGGACCAAACATCCACTTGCAGTTTCTACAAAAAGAGTGTTTCAAAGCTGCACTATCAAAGAAAGGTTCAGCACTGTGAGTTGAATGCAAACATCACGAAGAGGGCTCTGAGAATGCTTCTGTTTAGTTCTGTGCGGTTTATCCCGTTTCCAACGAAATCCTCAGAGAGGACCAAATATCCACTTGCAGTTTCTACAAGAAGAGTGTTTCAAAGCTGAACTATCAAAGAAAGGTTCAGCACTGTGAGTTGAATGCAAACATCACGAAGAGGGTTCTGAGAATGCTTCTGTCTTCTTTCTATAGGAAGTTATTTCCTTTACTACGGTAGGCCTCAAAGAAGTGCAATTATCCCCTTGCAGTTTCTACAAAAAGAGTGTTTCAAACCTGAACTATCAAAGAAAGGTTCCACACTGTGAGTTGAATGCAGACATCACGAAGAAGGTTCTGAGAATGCTTCTGTTTAGTCAGCTGAAATTATCCCGTTTCCAACGAATTCCTCAGAGAGGTCCAAATATGCACTTGCAGATTCTGCAGAAAGTGTGTTTCTAAACTGCTACATCGCAAGGAATGTTCAGCTCTGTGAGTTCCACTCAATCATCCCAAAGAATTTTCTGAGAAAGCTTCTGTCTAGATGTCATGTGAAGATATACCCGTTTCGAATGAAGGACACAGAGTGGTCCAAATATCCACTTGTAGATCCTGCAAAAAGAGTGTTTCAAACGTGAACTTTGAAAGGAAAGTTCAACTCTGGGATTTGAATGCAAACATCACAAAGAAGATTCTGAGACTGCTTCTGTATAGTTTTTATGTGAAGATGATTCCGTTTCCAACGAAATCTTCAAAGAGGTCTACATGTCCCCTTGCAGATGCCACAGAAAGAGAGTTTCAAAACTGCGCTCTCAAAAGGAGTGTTCAACTCCGTGAGTTGAATGCAGTCATCACAGAGAAGCTTCTGAGAATGCTTCTATCTAGTATTTAGGTGAAGATATTTCCTTTTCCACCACAAACCACAAAGCCCTCCAAACGTCCACTTGCAGATTCTAGAAAAAGAGTGTTTCATAGCTGCTCTTTCCAAAGGAAAGTTCAACTCTGGGAGTTGAATACAAACATCACCAAAAAGTTCCTGAGAATGCATCTGTCTAGTTTTTCTATGAAGCTATTCCCTTTACTACCACAGGCCTCAAAGCGCTCCAAATCTCCACTTGCACATTCCACAACAAGAGTGTTTCCAAACTGCTCTATCAATAGGAATGTTCAACTCTGTGAGGTGAATGCAATCATCACAAAGCAGTTTCTGAGAATGCTTCCGTTTAGTTAGGTGCAGTTATCCCGTTTCCAACGAAATCCTCAGAGAGGTCCAAATATCCACTTGTAGATTCTACAAAAAGTGTGTCTCAAACCTGCTCCATCCAAAGGAATGGTCAGCTCTGTGATTTAAACTCAATCATCACAAAGTATTTTCTGAGAATGCTTCTGTCTAGATTTTATGCGAAGATATACCCGTTTCGAACGAAGGCCACAGAGTGGTCCAAATAGCCACTTGCAGATCCTACAGAAAGAGTGTTTCAAACCTGAACTATCAAAGGAAGGTTCAACTCTGGGATTTGAATGCAAACATCACCAAGAAGTTTCTGAGAATGCTTCTGTTTAGTTTTTATGTGAAGATATTCCCGTTTCCAAAGACATCTTCGGAGAGGTCCACATATCCACTTGCAGATTCCACAAAAAGAGAGTTTCAACACTGCTCTATCCATAGGAGGGTTCAACTCTGTGAGTTGAATGCAATCATCACAGAGAAGTTTCTGAGAAGGCTTCTCTCCAGTTTTTATGTGACCATAATTCGTTTTCCACCACAGGCCTGAAAGCGCTCCAAATGTCCACTTGTAGACACTACGAAAAGCATGTTTCAGAACTACTCTATGAAAAGCAATGTGAAACTCTTGGGAGTTGAACACAAACATCACAGAGAAGTTTCTGAGAATGCTTCTGTTTAGCTTTTCTGTGAAGATTCTCCCGTTTCCAACGAAATCTTCAAAATAGGTCCAAATATCCACTTGCAGATTCCACAGAAAGAGTGATTGGAAACTGCTCTTTGAAAAGGAAGCTTCAACTCTGTGAGTTGAATGCAATCATCACAAAGAAGTTTCTGACAATGCTTCTATCTAGCTTTTACGGGAAGATAATTCCTTTTCCACCACAGGCCTCAAAGCCCTCCAAATGTCCACTTGCAGATTCTGGAAAAAGAGTGTTTCAAAGCTTCTCTCTCGAAAGGAAAGTTCAACTCTGTGAGTTGAATGCAAGCATCACAAAGAAGTTTCTGAGAATGCTACTGTCTAGCTTTTATATGAAGCTATTTCCTTTATTACCATAGGCCTCAAAGCGGTCCATATCTCCACTTGCAGATTCTACACAAAGAGAGTTTCCAAACTGCTCTGTCAAAGGGAATGTTCAACTCTGTGACTTGAATGCAATCATCACAAAGTAGTTTCTGAGAATGCTTCTGTTTAGTTCTGTGCGGTTTATCCCGTTTCCAACGAAATCCTCACAGAGGCCCCAATATCCACTTGCACATTCTACAAATATTGTTTTTCGAAACTGCTCCATCCAAAGGGATGTTCAGCTCTGTGAGTTAAACTCAGTCGTCACCAAGAGTTTTCTGTGAATGCTTCTGTTTTAGTTCTGTGCGGGTTATCCCGTTTCCAACGAAATCCTCAGAGAGGTCCAAATATCTACTTGCAGTTTCTACAGAAAGACCGTTTCAAACCTGAACTATCAAAGAAAGGTTCAACACTGTGAGTTGAATGCAAACATCACGAAGAAGGTTCTGAGAATGCTTCTGTTTAGTTCTGTGCGGTTTATCCCGTTTCCAACGAAATCCTCAGAGAGGACCAAATATCCACTTGCAGTTTCTACAAGAAGAGTGTTTCAAAGCTGAACTATCAAAGAAAGGTTCAGCACTGTGAGTTGAATGGAAACATCACGAAGAGGGTTCTGAGAATGCTTCTGTCTTCTTTTTATAGGAAGTTATCTCCTTTACTACGGTAGGCCTCAAAGAAGTGCAATTATCCCCTTGCAGTTTCTACAAAAAGAGTGATTCAAACCTGAACTATCAAAGAAATGTTCCACACTGTGAGTTGAATGCAGACATCACGAAGAAGGTTCTGAGAATGCTTCTGTTTAGTCAGCTGAAATTATCCCGTTTCCAACGAATTCCTCAGAGAGGTCCACATATGCACTTGCAGATTCTGCAGAAAGTGTGTTTCTAAACTGCTACATCGCAAGGAGTGTTCAGCTCTGTTTGCTCAACTCAATCATCCCAAAGAATTTTCTGAGAAAGCTTCTGTCTAGATGTCATGTGAAGATATACCCGTTTCGAACGAAGGACACAGAGTGGTCCAAATATCCACTTGTAGATCCTGCAAAAAGAGTGTTTCAAACGTGAACTTTGAAAGGAAAGTTCAACTCTGGGATTTGAATGCAAACATCACAAAGAAGATTCTGAGACTGCTTCTGTATAGTTTTTATGTGAAGATGATTCCCTTTCCAAAGAAATCTTCAAACAGGTCTACATGTCCCCTTGCGGATGCCACAGAAAGAGAGTTTCAAAACTGCGCTCTCAAAAGGAGTGTTCAACTCCGTGAGTTGAATGCAGTCATCACAGAGAAGCTTCTGAGAATGCTTCTATCTAGTATTTAGGTGAAGATATTTCCTTTTCCACCACAAACCACAAAGCCCTCCAAACGTCCACTTGCAGATTCTAGAAAAAGAGTGTTTCATAGCTGCTCTTTCCAAAGGAAAGTTCAACTCTTGGGAGTTGAATACAAACATCACCAAAAAGTTCCTGAGAATGCATCTGTCTAGTTTTTCTATGAAGCTATTCCCTTTACTACCATAGGCCTCAAAGCGCTCCAAATCTCCACTTGCACATTCCACAACAAGAGTGTTTCCAAACTGCTCTATCAATAGGAATGTTCAACTCTGTGAGGTGAATGCAATCATCACAAAGCAGTTTCTGAGAATGCTTCCGTTTAGTTAGGTGCAGTTATCCCGTTTCCAACGAAATCCTCAGAGAGGTCCAAATATCCACTTGTAGATTCTACAAAAAGTGTGTCTCAAACCTGCTCCATCCAAAGGAATGGTCAGCTCTGTGATTTAAACTCAATCATCACAAAGTATTTTCTGAGAATGCTTCTGTCTAGATTTTATGCGAAGATATACCCGTTTCGAACGAAGGCCACAGAGTGGTCCAAATAGCCACTTGCAGATCCTACAGAAAGAGTGTTTCAAACCTGAACTATCAAAGGAAGGTTCAACTCTGGGATTTGAATGCAAACATCACCAAGAAGTTTCTGAGAATGCTTCTGTTTAGTTTTTATGTGAAGATATTCCCGTTTCCAAAGACATCTTCGGAGAGGTCCACATATCCACTTGCAGATTCCACAAAAAGAGAGTTTCAACACTGCTCTATCCATAGGAGGGTTCAACTCTGTGAGTTGAATGCAATCATCACAGAGAAGTTTCTGAGAAGGCTTCTCTCCAGTTTTTATGTGACCATAATTCGTTTTCCACCACAGGCCTGAAAGCGCTCCAAATGTCCACTTGCAGACACTACGAAAAGCATGTTTCAGAACTACTCTATGAAAAGCAACGTGAAACTCTGGGAGTTGAACACAAACATCACAGAGAAGTTTCTGAGAATGCTTCTGTTTTAGTTCTGTGCGTTTTATCCCGTTTCCAACGAAATCCTCAGAGAGGCCCAAATATCCACTTGCAGATTCCACAGAAAGAGTGATTGGAAACTGCTGTTTGAAAAGGAACCTTCAACTCTGTGAGTTGAATGCAATCATCACAAAGAAGTTTCTGACAATGCTTCTGTTTTAGTTCTGTGCGGTTTATCCCGTTTCCAACGAAATCCTCAGAGAGGACCAAACATCCACTTGCAGTTTCTACAAAAAGAGTGTTTCAAAGCTGCACTATCAAAGAAAGGTTCAGCACTGTGAGTTGAATGCAAACATCACGAAGAGGGCTCTGAGAATTCTTCTGTTTAGTTCTGTGCGGTTTATCCCGTTTCCAACGAAATCCTCAGAGAGGACCAAATATCCACTTGCAGTTTCTACAAGAAGAGTGTTTCAAAGCTGAACTATCAAAGAAAGGTTCAGCACTGTGAGTTGAATGCAAACATCACGAAGAGGGTTCTGAGAATGCTTCTGTCTTCTTTCTATAGGAAGTTATTTCCTTTACTACGGTAGGCCTCAAAGAAGTGCAATTATCCCCTTGCAGTTTCTACAAAAAGAGTGTTTCAAACCTGAACTATCAAAGAAAGGTTCCACACTGTGAGTTGAATGCAGACATCACGAAGAAGGTTCTGAGAATGCTTCTGTTTAGTCAGCTGAAATTATCCCGTTTCCAACGAATTCCTCAGAGAGGTCCAAATATGCACTTGCAGATTCTGCAGAAAGTGTGTTTCTAAACTGCTACATCGCAAGGAATGTTCAGCTCTGTGAGTTCCACTCAATCATCCCAAAGAATTTTCTGAGAAAGCTTCTGTCTAGATGTCGTGTGAAGATATACCCGTTTCGAACGAAGGACACAGAGTGGTCCAAATATCCACTTGTAGATCCTGCAAAAAGAGTGTTTCAAACGTGAACTTTGAAAGGAAAGTTCAACTCTGGGATTTGAATGCAAACATCACAAAGAAGATTCTGAGACTGCTTCTGTATAGTTTTTATGTGAAGATGATTCCGTTTCCAACGAAATCTTCAAAGAGGTCTACATGTCCCCTTGCAGATGCCACAGAAAGAGAGTTTCAAAACTGCGCTCTCAAAAGGAGTGTTCAACTCCGTGAGTTGAATGCAGTCATCACAGAGAAGCTTCTGAGAATGCTCCTATCTAGTATTTAGTTGAAAATATTTCCTTTTCCACCACAAACCACATAGCCCTCCAAACGTCCACTTGCAGATTCTAGAAAAAGAGTGTTTCATAGCTGCTCTTTCCAAAGGAAAGTTCAACTCTGGGAGTTGAATACAAACATCACCAAAAAGTTCCTGAGAATGCATCTGTCTAGTTTTTCTATGAAGCTATTCCCTTTACTACCATAGGCCTCAAAGCGCTCCAAATCTCCACTTGTACATTCCACAAGAAGAGTGTTTCCAAACTGCTCTATCAATAGGAATGTTCAACTCTGTGAGGTGAATGCAATCATCACAAAGCAGTTTCTGAGAATGCTTCCGTTTAGTTAGGTGCAGTTATCCCGTTTCCAACGAAATCCTCAGAGAGGTCCAAATATCCACTTGTAGATTCTACAAAAAGTGTGTCTCAAACCTGCTCCATCCAAAGGAATGTTCAGCTCTGTGAGTTCAACTCAATCATCACAAAGTATTTTCTGAGAATGCTTCTGTCTAGATTTTATGCGAAGATGTACCCGTTTCGAAAGAAGGCCACAGAGTGGTCCAAATATCCACTTGCAGATCCTACAAAAAGAGTGTTTCAAACCTGAACTCTCAAAGGAAGGTTCAACTCTGGGATTTGAATGCAAACATCACCAAGAAGATTCTGAGAATGCTTCTGTTTAGTTTTTATGTGAAGATATTCCCGTTGCCAAAGACATCTTCGGAGAGGTCCACATATCCGCTTGCAGATTCCACAAAAAGAGAGTTTCAACACTGCTCTATCCATAGGAGGGTTCAACTCTGTGAGTTGAATGCAATCATCACAGAGAAGTTTCTGAGAAGGCTTCTCTCCAGTTTTTATGTGACCATAATTCGTTTTCCACCACAGACCTGAAAGCGCTCCAAATGTCCACTTGCAGACACTACGAAAAGCATGTTTCAGAACTACTCTATGAGAAGCAATGTGAAACTCTGGGAGTTGAACAAAAACATCACAGAGAAGTTTCTGAGAATGCTTCTGTTTAGCTTTTCTGTGAAGATTCTCCCGTTTCCAACGAAATCTTCAAAGAGGTCCAAATATCCACTTGCAGATTCCACAGAAAGAGTGATTGGAAACTGCTCTTTGAAAAGGAACCTTCAACTCTGTGACTTGAATGCAATCATCACAAAGAAGTTTCTGACAATGCTTCTATCTAGCTTTTACGGGAAGATAATTCCTTTTCCACCACAGGCCTCAAAGCCCTCCAAATGTCCACTTGCAGATTCTGGAAAAAGAGTGTTTCAAAGCTTCTCTCTCGAAAGGAAAGTTCAACTCTGTGAGTTGAATGCAAGCATCACAAAGAAGTTTCTGAGGATGCTACTGTCTAGCTTTTATATGAAGCTATTTCCTTTACTACCATAGGCCTCAAAGCGGTCCATATCTCCACTTGCAGATTCTACACAAAGAGAGTTTCCAAACTGCTCTGTCAAAGGGAATGTTCAACTCTGTGACTTGAATGCAATCATCACAAAGTAGTTTCTGAGAATGCTTCTGTTTAGTTCTGTGCGGTTTATCCCGTTTCCAACGAAATCCTCAGAGAGGCCCACATATCCACTTGCACATTCTACAAATAGTGTGTTTCGAAACTGCTCCATCCAAAGGAATGTTCAGCTCTGTGAGTTAAACTCAGTCGTCACCAAGAGTTTTCTGTGAATGCTTCTGTTTTAGTTGTGTGCGGTTTATCCCGTTTCCAACGAAATCCTCAGAGAGGTCCAAATATCTACTTGCAGTTTCTACAGAAAGACCGTTTCAAACCTGAACTATCAAAGAAAGGTTCAACACTGTGAGTTGAATGCAAACATCACGAAGAAGGTTCTGAGAATGCTTCTGTTTAGTTCTGTGCGGTTTATCCCGTTTCCAACGAAATCCTCAGAGAGGACCAAATATCCACTTGCAGTTTCTACAAAAAGAGTGTTTCAAAGCTGAACTATCAAAGAAAGGTTCAGCACCGTGAGTTGAATGCAAACATCACGAAGAGTGTTCTGAGAATGCTTCTGTCTTCTTTTTATAGGAACTTATCTCCTTTACTACGGTAGGCCTCAAAGAAGTGCAATGATCCCCTTGCAGTTTCTACAAAAAGAGTGTTTCAAACCTGAACTATCAAAGAAAGGTTCCACACTGTGAGTTGAATGCAGACATCACGAAGAAGGTTCTGAGAATGCTTCTGTTTAGTCAGCTGAAATTATCCCATTTCCAACGAATTCCTCAGAGAGGTCCACATATGCACTTGCAGATTCTGCAGAAAGTGTGTTTCTAAACTGCTACATCGCAAGGAGTGTTCAGCTCTGTTTGCTCAACTCAATCATCCCAAAGAATTTTCTGAGAAAGCTTCAGTCTAGATGTCATGTGAAGATATACCCGTTTCGAACGAAGGACGCAGAGTGGTCCAAATATCGACTTGTAGATCCTGCAAAAAGAGTGTTTCAAACGTGAACTTGGAAAGGAAAGTTCAACTCTGGGATTTGAATGCAAACATCACAAAGAAGATTCTGGGACTGCTTCTGTATAGTTTTTATGTGAAGATGATTCCGTTTCCAACGAAATCTTCAAAGAGGTCTACATGTCCCCTTGCAGATGCCACAGAAAGAGAGTTTCAAAACTGCGCTCTCAAAAGGAGTGTTCAACTCCGTGAGCTGAATGCAGTCATCACAGAGAAGCTTCTGAGAATGCTTCTATCTAGTATTTAGGTGAAGATATTTCCTTTTCCACCACAAACCACAAAGCCCTACAAACGTCCACTTGCAGATTCTAGAAAAAGAGTGTTTCATAGCTGCTCTTTCCAAAGGAAAGTTCAACTCTGGGAGTTGAATACAAACATCACCAAAAAGTTCCTGAGAATGCATCTGTCTAGTTTTTCTATGAAGCTATTCCCTTTACTACCATAGGCCTCAAAGCGCTCCAAATCTCCACTTGCACATTCCACAACAAGAGTGTTTCCAAACTGCTCTATCAATAGGAATGTTCAACTCTGTGAGGTGAATGCAATCATGACAAAGCAGTTTCTGAGAATGCTTCCGTTTAGTTAGGTGCAGTTATCCCGTTTCCAACGAAATCCTCAGAGAGGTCCAAATATCCACTTGTAGATTCTACAAAAAGTGTGTCTCAAACCTGCTCCATCCAAAGGAATGTTCAGCTCTGTGAGTTCAACTCAGTCATCAAAAAGTATTTTCTGAGAATGCTTCTGTCTAGATTTTATGCGAAGATGTACCCGTTTCGAACGAAGGCCACAGAGTGGTCCAAATATCCACTTGCAGATCCTACAAAAAGAGTGTTGCAAACCTGAACTATGAAAGGAAGGTTCAACTCTGGGATTTGAATGCAAACATCACCAAGAAGTTTCTGAGAATGCTTCTGTTTAGTTTTTATGTGAAGATATTCCCGTTGCCAAAGACATCTTCGGAGAGGTCCACATATCCGCTTGCAGATTCCACAAAAAGAGAGTTTCAACACTGCTCTATCCATAGGAGGGTTCAACTCTGTGAGTTGAATGCAATCATCACAGAGAAGTTTCTGAGAAGGCTTCTCTCCAGTTTTTATGTGACCATAATTCGTTTTCCACCACAGGCCTGAAAGCGCTCCAAATGTCCACTTGCAGACACTACGAAAAGCATGTTTCAGAACTACTCTATGAGAAGCAATGTGAAACTCCGGGAGTTGAACACAAACATCACAGAGAAGTTTCTGAGAATGCTTCTGTTTAGCTTTTCTGTGAAGATTCTCCCGTTTCCAACGAAATCTTCAAAGAGGTCCAAATATCCACTTGCAGATTCCACAGAAAGAGTGATTGAAACTGCTCTTTGAAAAGGAACCTTCAACTCTGTGACTTGAATGCAATCATCACAAAGAAGTTTCTGACAATGCTTCTATCTAGCTTTTACGGGAAGATAATTCCTTTTCCACCACAGGCCTCAAAGCCCTCCAAATGTCCACTTGCAGATTCTGGAAAAAGAGTGTTTCAAAGCTTCTCTCTCGAAAGGAAAGTTCAACTCTGTGAGTTGAATGCAAGCATCACAAAGAAGTTTCTGAGAATGCTACTGTCTAGCTTTTATATGAAGCTATTTCCTTTACTACCATAGGCCTCAAAGCGGTCCATATCTCCACTTGCAGATTCTACACAAAGAGAGTTTCCAAACTGCTCTGTCAAAGGGAATGTTCAACTCTGTGACTTGAATGCAATCATCACAAAGTAGTTTCTGAGAATGCTTCTGTTTAGTTCTGTGCGGTTTATCCCGTTTCCAACGAAATCCTCAGAGAGGCCTAAATATCCACTTGCACATTCTACAAATAGTGTGTTTCGAAACTGCTCCATCCAAAGGAATGTTCAGCTCTGTGAGTTAAACTCAGTCGTCACCAAGAGTTTTCTGTGAATGCTTCTGTTTTAGTTCTGTGCGGGTTATCCCGTTTCCAACGAAATCCTCAGAGAGGTCCAAATATCTACTTGCAGTTTCTACAGAAAGACCGTTTCAAACCTGAACTATCAAAGAAAGGTTCAACACTGTGAGTTGAATGCAAACATCACGAAGAAGGTTCTGAGAATGCTTCTGTTTAGTTCTGTGCAGTTTATCCCGTTTCCAACGAAATCCTCAGAGAGGACCAAATATCCACTTGCAGTTTCCACAAAAAGAGTGTTTCAAAGCTGAACTATCAAAGAAAGGTTCAGCACTGTGAGTTGAATGCAAACATCACGAAGAGGGTTCTGAGAATGCTTCTGTCTTCTTTTTATAGGAAGTTATTTCCTTTACTACGGTACTCCTCAAAGAGTGCAATTATCCCCTTGCAGTTTCTACAAAAAGAGTGTTTCAAACCTGAACTATCAAAGAAAGGTTCCACACTGTGAGTTGAATGCAGACATCACGAAGAAGGTTCTGAGAATGCTTCTGTTTAGTCAGCTGAAATTATCCCGTTTCCAACGAATTCCTCACAGAGGTCCAAATATGCACTTGCAGATTCTGCAGAAAGTGTGTTTCTAAACTGCTACATCGCAAGGAATGCTCAGCTCTGTGAGTTCAACTCAATCATCCCAAAGAATTTTCTGAGAAAGCTTCTGTCTAGATGTCATGTGAAGATATACCCGTTTCGAACGAAGGACACAGAGTGGTCCAAATATCCACTTGTAGATCCTGCAAAAAGAGTGTTTCAAACGTGAACTTTGAAAGGAAAGTTCAACTCGGGGATTTGAATGCAAACATCACAAAGAAGATTCTGAGACTGCTTCTGTGTAGTTTTTATGTGAAGATGATTCCGTTTCCAACGAAATCTTCAAAGAGGTCTACATGTCCCCTTGCAGATGCCACAGAAAGAGAGTTTCAAAACTGCGCTCTCAAAAGGAGTGTTCAACTCCATGAGTTGAATGCAGTCATCACAGAGAAGCTTCTGAGGATGCTTCTATCTAGTATTTAGGTGAAGATATTTCCTTTTCCACCACAAACCACAAAGCCCTCCAAACGTCCACTTGCAGATTCTAGAAAAAGAGTGTTTCATAGCTGCTCTTTCCAAAGGAAAGTTCAACTCTGGGAGTTGAATACAAACATCACCAAAAAGTTCCTGAGAATGCATCTGTCTAGTTTTTCTATGAAGCTATTCCCTTTACTACCACAGGCCTCAAAGCGCTCCAAATCTCCACTTGCACATTCCACAACAAGAGTGTTTCCAAACTGCTCTATCAATAGGAATGTTCAACTCTGTGAGGTGAATGCAATCATCACAAAGCAGTTTCTGAGAATGCTTCCGTTTAGTTAGGTGCAGTTATCCCGTTTCCAACGAAATCCTCAGAGAGGTCCAAATATCCACTTGTAGATTCTACAAAAAGTGTGTCTCAAACCTGCTCTATCCAAAGGAATGTTCAGCTCTGTGATTTAAACTCAATCATCACAAAGTATTTTCTGAGAATGCTTCTGTCTAGATTTTATGCGAAGATATACCCGTTTCGAACGAAGGCCACAGAGTGGTCCAAATAGCCACTTGCAGATCCTACAAAAAGAGTGTTTCAAACCTGAACTATCAAAGGAAGGTTCAACTCTGGGATTTGAATGCAAACATCACCAAGAAGTTTCTGAGAATGCTTCTGTTTAGTTTTTATGTGAAGATATTCCCGTTTCCAAAGACATCTTCGGAGAGGTCCACATATCCACTTGCAGATTCCACAAAAAGAGAGTTTCAACACTGCTCTATCCATAGGAGGGTTCAACTCTGTGAGTTGAATGCAATCATCACAGAGAAGTTTCTGAGAAGGCTTCTCTCCAGTTTTCATGTGACCATAATTCGTTTTCCACCACAGGCCTGAAAGCGCTCCAAATGTCCACTTGCAGACACTACGAAAAGCATGTTTCAAAACTACTCTATGAAAAGCAACGTGAAACTCTGGGAGTTGAACACAAACATCACAGAGAAGTTTCTGAGAATGCTTCTGTTTAGCTTTTCTGTGAAGATTCTCCCTTTTCCAACGAAATCTTCAAAGAGGTCGAAATATCCACTTGCAGATTCCACAGAAAGAGTGATTGGAAACTGCTGTTTGAAAAGGAACCTTCAACTCTGTGAGTTGAATGCAATCATCACAAAGAAGTTTCTGACAATGCTTCTATCTAGCTTTTACGGGAAGATAACTCCTTTTCCACCACAGGCCTCAAAGCCCTCCAAATGTCCACTTGCACATTCTGGAAAAAGAGTGTTTCAAAGCTTCTCTCTCGAAAGGGAAGTTCAACTCTGTGAGTTGAATGCAAGCATCACAAAGAAGTTTCTGAGAATGCTACTGTCAAGCTTTTATATGAAGCTATTTCCTTTACTACCATAGGCCTCAAAGCGGTCCATATCTCCACTTGCAGATTCTACACAAAGAGAGTTTCCAAACTGCTCTGTCAAAGGGAATGTTCAACTCTGTGACTTGAATGCAATCATCACAAAGTAGTTTCTGAGAATGCTTCTGTTTTAGTTCTGTGCGGTTTATCCCGTTTCCAACGAAATCCTCAGAGAGGCCCAAATATCCACTTGCACATTCTACAAATAGTGTGTTTCGAAACTGCTCCATCCAAAGGAATGTTCAGCTCTGTGAGTTAAACTCAGTCGTCACCAAGAGTTTTCTGTGAATGCTTCTGTTTAATTCTGTGCGGTTTATCCCGTTTCCAACGAAATCCTCAGAGAGGACCAAATATCCACTTGCAGTTTCTACAAGAAGAGTGTTTCAAAGCTGAACTATCAAAGAAAGGTTCAGCACTGTGAGATGAATGCAAACATCACGAAGAGGGTTCTGAGAATGCTTCTGTCTTCTTTTTATAGGAAGTTATTTCCTTTACTACGGTAGGCCTCAAAGAAGTGCAATTATCCCCTTGCAGTTTCTACAAAAAGAGTGTTTCAAACCTGAACTATCAAAGAAAGGTTCCACACTGTGAGTTGAATGCAGACATCATGAAGAAGGTTCTGAGAATGCTTCTGTTTAGTCAGCTGAAATTATCCTGTTTCCAACGAATTCCTCAGAGAGGTCCAAATATGCACTTGCAGATTCTGCAGAAAGTGTGTTTCTAAACTGCTACATCGCAAGGAATGTTCAGCTCCGTGAGTTCAACTCAATCATCCCAAAGAATTTTCTGAGAAAGCTTCTGTCTAGATGTCATGTGAAGATATACCCTTTTCGAACGAAGGACACAGAGTAGTCCAAATATCCACTTGTAGATCCTGCAAAAAGAGTGTTTCAAACGTGAACTTTGAAAGGAAAGTTCAACTCTGGGATTTGAATGCAAACATCACAAAGAAGATTCTGAGACTGCTTCTGTATAGTTTTTATGTGTTAGATGATTCCGTTTCCAACGAAATCTTCAAAGAGGTCTACATGTCCCCTTGCAGATGCCACAGAAAGAGAGTTTCAAAACTGCGCTCTCAAAAGGAGTGTTCAACTCCGTGAGTTGAATGCAGTCATCACAGAGAAGCTTCTGAGAATGCTTCTATCTAGTATTTAGGTGAAGATATTTCCTTTTCCACCACAAACCACAAAGCCCTCCAAACGTCCACTTGCAGATTCTAGAAAAAGAGTGTTTCATAGCTGCTCTTTCCAAAGGAAAGTTCAACTCTGGGAGTTGAATACAAACATCACCAAAAAGTTACCTGAGAATGCATCTGTCTAGTTTTTCTATGAAGCTATTCCCTTTACTACCATAGACCTCAAAGCGCTCCAAATCTCCACTTGCACATTCCACAACAAGAGTGTTTCCAAACTGCTCTATCAATAGGAATGTTCAACTCTGTGAGGTGAATGCAATCATCACAAAGCAGTTTCTGAGAATGCTTCCGTTTAGTTAGGTGCAGTTATCCCGTTTCCAACGAAATCCTCAGAGAGGTCCAAATATCCACTTGTAGATTCTACAAAAGGTGTGTCTCAAACCTGCTCCATCCAAAGGAATGTTCAGCTCTGTGAGTTAAACTCAATCATCACAAAGTATTTTCTGAGAATGCTTCTGTCTAGATTTTATGCGAAGATATACCCGTTTCGAACGAAGGCCACAGAGTGGTCCAAATATCCACTTGCAGATCCTACAAAAAGAGTGTTTCAAACCTGAACTATCAAAGGAAGGTTCAACTCTGGGATTTGAATGCAAACATCACCAAGAAGTTTCTGAGAATGCTTCTGTTTAGTTTTTATGTGAAGATATTCCCGTTTCCAAAGACATCTTCGGAGAGGTCCACATATCCACTTGCAGATTCCACAAAAAGAGAGTTTCAACACTGCTCTATCCATAGGAGGGTTCAACTCTGTGAGTTGAATGCAATCATCACAGAGAAGTTTCTGAGAAGGCTTCTCTCCAGTTTTTATGTGACCATAATTCGTTTTCCACCACAGGCCTGAAAGCGCTCCAAACGTCCACTTGCAGACACTACGAAAAGCATGTTTCAGAACTACTCAATGAAAAGCAATGTGAAACTCTGGGAGTTGAACACAAACATCACAGAGAAGTTTCTGAGAAAGCTTCTGTTTAGCTTTTCTGTGAAGATTCTCCCGTTTCCAACGAAATCTTCCAAGAGGTCCAAACATCCACTTGCAGATTCCACAGAAAGGGTGTTTGGAAACTGCTGTTTGAAAAGGAACCTTCAACTCTGTGAGTTGAATGCAATCATCACAAAGAAGTTTCTGACAATGCTTCTATCTAGCTTTTACGGGAAGATAATTCCTTTTCCACCACAGGCCTCAAAGCCCTCCAAATGTCCACTTGCAGATTCTGGAAAAAGAGTGTTTCAAAGCTTCTCTCTCGAAAGGAAACTTCAACTCTGTGAGTTGAATGCAAGCATCACAAAGAAGTTCCTGAGAATGCTACTGTCTAGCTTTTATATGAAGCTATTTCCTTTACTACCATAGTCCTCAAAGCATTCCATATCTCCACTTGCAGATTCTACACAAAGAGAGTTTCCAAACTGCTCTGTCAAAGGGAATGTTCAGCTCTGTGACTTGAATGCAATCATCACAAAGTAGTTTCTGAGAATGCTTCTGTTTTAGTTCTGTGCGGTTTATCCCTTTTCCAATTAAATCCTCAGAGAGGCCCAAATATCCACTTGCAGATTCTACAAATAGTGTGTTTCAAAACTGCTCCATCCAAAGGAATGTTCAGCTCTGTGAGTTAAACTCAGTCGTCACCAAGAGTTTTCTGTGAATGCTTCTGTTTAGTTCTGTGCGGTTTATCCCTTTTCCAACGAAATCCTCAGAGAGGACCAAATATCCACTTGCAGTTTCTACAAAAAGAGTGTTTCAAAGCTGAACTATCAAAGAAAGGTTCAGCAGTGTGAGTTGAATGCAAACATCACGAAGAGGGTTCTGAGAATGCTTCTGTCTTCTTTTTATAGGAAGTTATTTCCTTTACTACGTTAGGCCTCAAAGAAGTGCAATTATCTCCTTGCAGTTTCTACAAAAAGAGTGTTTCAAACCTGAACTATCAAAGAAAGGTTCCACACTGTGAGTTGAATGCAGACATCACGAAGAAGGTTCTGAGAATGCTTCTGTTTAGTCAGCTGAAATTATCCTGTTTCCAACGAATTCCTCAGAGAGGTCCACATATGCACTTGCAGATTCTGCAGAAAGTGTGTTTCTAAACTGCTACATCGCAAGGAATGCTCAGCTCTGTGAGTTCAACTCAATCATCCCAAAGAATTTTCTGAGAAAGCTTCTGTCTAGATGTCATGTGAAGATATACCCGTTTCGAACGAAAGACACAGAGTGGTCCAAATATCCACTTGTAGATCCTGCAAAAAGAGTGTTTCAAACGTGAACTTTGAAAGGAAAGTTCAACTCTGGGATTTGAATGCAAACATCACAAAGAAGATTATGAGACTGCTTCTGTATAGTTTTTATGTGAAGATGATTCCGTTTCCAACGAAATCTTCAAAGAGGTCTACATGTCCCCTTGCAGATGCCACAGAAAGAGAGTTTCAAAACTGCGCTCTCAAAAGGAGTGTTCAACTCCGTGAGTTGAATGCAGTCATCACAGAGAAGCTTCTGAGAATGCTTCTATCTAGTATTTAGGTGAAGATATTTCCTTTTCCACCACAAACCACAAAGCCCTCCAAACGTCCACTTGCAGATTCTAGAAAAAGAGTGTTTCATAGCTGCTCTTTCCAAAGGAAAGTTCAAGTCTGGGAGTTGAATACAAACGTCACCAAAAAGTTCCTGAGAATGCATCTGTCTAGTTTTTCTATGAAGCTATTCCCTTTACTACCATAGGCCTCAAAGCGCTCCAAATCTCCACTTGCACATTCCACAACAAGAGTGTTTCCAAACTGCTCTATCAATAGGAATGTTCAACTCTGTGAGGTGAATGCAATCATCACAAAGCAGTTTCTGAGAATGCTTCCGTTTAGTTAGGTGCAGTTATCCCGTTTCCAACGAAATCCTCAGAGAGGTCCAAATATCCACTTGTAGATTCTACAAAAAGTGTGTCTCAAACCTGCTCCATCCAAAGGAATGTTCAGCTCTGTGAGTTAAACTCAATCATCACAAAGTATTTTCTGAGAATGCTTCTGTCTAGATTTTATGCGAAGATATACCCGTTTCGAACGAAGGCCACAGAGTGGTCCAAATATCCACTTGCAGATCCTACAAAAAGAGTGTTTCAAACCTGAACTATCAAAGGAAGGTTCAACACTGGGATTTGAATGCAAACATCACCAAGAAGTTTCTGAGAATGCTTCTGTTTAGTTTTTATGTGAAGATATTCCCGTTTCCAAAGACATCTTTGGAGAGGTCCACATATCCACTTGCAGATTCCACAAAAAGAGAGTTTCAACACTGCTCTATCCATAGGAGGGTTCAACTCTGTGAGTTGAATGCAATCAGCACAGAGAAGTTTCTGAGAAGGCTTCTCTCCAGTTTTTATGTGACCATAATTCGTTTTCCACCACAGGCCTGAAAGCGCTCCAAATGTCCACTTGTAGACACTACGAAAAGCATGTTTCAGAACTACTCTATGAAAAGCAATGTGAAACTCTGGGAGTTGAACACAAACATCACAGAGAAGTTTCTGAGAATGCTTCTGTTTAGCTTTCCTGTGAAGATTCTCCCGTTTCCAACGAAATCTTCAAAATAGGTCCAAATATCCACTTGCAGATTCCACAGAAAGAGTGATTGGAAACTGCTCTTTGAAAAGGAACCTTCAACTCTGTGAGTTGAATGCAATCATCACAAAGAAGTTTCTGACAATGCTTCTATCTAGCTTTTACGGGAAGATAATTCCTTTTCCACCACAGGCCTCAAAGCCCTCCAAATGTCCACTTGCAGATTCTGGAAAAAGAGTGTTTCAAAGCTTCTCTCTCGAAAGGAAAGTTCAACTCTGTGAGTTGAATGCAAGCATCACAAAGAAGTTTCTGAGAATGCTACTGTCTAGCTTTTATATGAAGCTATTTCCTTTACTACCATAGGCCTCAAAGCGGTCCATATCTCCACTTGCAGATTCTACACAAAGAGAGTTTCCAAACTGCTCTGTCAAAGGGAATGTTCAACTCTGTGACTTGAATGCAATCATCACAAAGTAGTTTCTGAGAATGCTTCTGTTTAGTTCTGTGCGGTTTATCCCGTTTCCAACGAAATCCTCAGAGAGGCCTAAATATCCACTTGCACATTCTACAAATAGTGTGTTTCGAAACTGCTCCATCCAAAGGAATGTTCAGCTCTGTGAGTTAAACTCAGTCGTCACCAAGAGTTTTCTGTGAATGCTTCTGTTTTAGTTCTGTGCGGGTTATCCCGTTTCCAACGAAATCCTCAGAGAGGTCCAAATATCTACTTGCAGTTTCTACAGAAAGACCGTTTCAAACCTGAACTATCAAAGAAAGGTTCAACACTGTGAGTTGAATGCAAACATCACGAAGAAGGTTCTGAGAATGCTTCTGTTTAGTTCTGTGCAGTTTATCCCGTTTCCAACGAAATCCTCAGAGAGGACCAAATATCCACTTGCAGTTTCTACAAAAAGAGTGTTTCAAAGCTGAACTATCAAAGAAAGGTTCAGCACTGTGAGTTGAATGCAAACATCACGAAGAGGGTTCTGAGAATGCTTCTGTCTTCTTTTTATAGGAAGTTATTTCCTTTACTACGGGTACTCCTCAAAGAGTGCAATTATCCCCTTGCAGTTTCTACAAAAAGAGTGTTTCAAACCTGAACTATCAAAGAAAGGTTCCACACTGTGAGTTGAATGCAGACATCACGAAGAAGGTTCTGAGAATGCTTCTGTTTAGTCAGCTGAAATTATCCCGTTTCCAACGAATTCCTCAGAGAGGTCCAAATATGCACTTGCAGATTCTGCAGAAAGTGTGTTTCTAAACTGCTACATCGCAAGGAATGTTCAGCTCTGTGAGTTCCACTAAATCATCCCAAAGAATTTTCTGAGAAAGCTTCTGTCTAGATGTCATGTGAAGATATACCCGTTTCGAACGAAGGACACAGAGTGGTACAAATATCCACTTTTAGATCCTGCAAAAAGAGTGTTTCAAACGTGAACTTTGAAAGGAAAGTTCAACTCTGGGATTTGAATGCAAACATCACAAAGAAGATTCTGAGACTGCTTCTGTATAGTTTTTATGTGAAGATGATTCCGTTTCCAACAAAATCTTCAAAGAGGTCTACATGTCCCCTTGCAGATGCCACAGAAAGAGAGTTTCAAAACTGCGCTCTCAAAAGGAGTGTTCAACTCCGTGAGTTGAATGCAGTCATCACAGAGAAGCTTCTGAGAATGCTTCTATCTAGTATTTAGGTGAAGATATTTCCTTTTCCACCACAAACCACAAAGCCCTCCAAACGTCCACTTGCAGATTCTAGAAAAAGAGTGTTTCATAGCTGCTCTTTCCAAAGGAAAGTTCAACTCTGGGAGTTGAATACAAACATCACCAAAAAGTTCCTGAGAATGCATCTGTCTAGTTTTTCTATGAAGCTATTCCCTTTACTACCATAGGCCTCAAAGCGCTCCAAATCTCCACTTGCACATTCCACAACAAGAGTGTTTCCAAACTGCTCTATCAATAGGAATGTTCAACTCTGTGAGGTGAATGCAATCATCACAAAGCAGTTTCTGAGAATGCTTCCGTTTAGTTAGGTGCAGTTATCCCGTTTCCAACGAAATCCTCAGAGAGGTCCAAATATCCACTTGTAGATTCTACAAAAAGTGTGTCTCAAACCTGCTCCATCCAAAGGAATGGTCAGCTCTGTGATTTAAACTCAATCATCACAAAGTATTTTCTGAGAATGCTTCTGTCTAGATTTTATGCGAAGATATACCCGTTTCGAACGAAGGCCACAGAGTGGTCCAAATAGCCACTTGCAGATCCTACAGAAAGAGTGTTTCAAACCTGAACTATCAAAGGAAGGTTCAACTCTGGGATTTGAATGCAAACATCACCAAGAAGTTTCTGAGAATGCTTCTGTTTAGTTTTTATGTGAAGATATTCCCGTTTCCAAAGACATCTTCGGAGAGGTCCACATATCCACTTGCAGATTCCACAAAAAGAGAGTTTCAACACTGCTCTATCCATAGGAGGGTTCAACTCTGTGAGTTGAATGCAATCATCACAGAGAAGTTTCTGAGAAGGCTTCTCTCCAGTTTTTATGTGACCATAATTCGTTTTCCACCACAGGCCTGAAAGCGCTCCAAATGTCCACTTGCAGACACTACGAAAAGCATGTTTCAGAACTACTCTATGAAAAGCAACGTGAAACTCTGGGAGTTGAACACAAACATCACAGAGAAGTTTCTGAGAATGCTTCTGTTTTAGTTCTGTGCGTTTTATCCCGTTTCCAACGAAATCCTCAGAGAGGCCCAAATATCCACTTGCAGATTCCACAGAAAGAGTGATTGGAAACTGCTGTTTGAAAAGGAACCTTCAACTCTGTGAGTTGAATGCAATCATCACAAAGAAGTTTCTGACAATGCTTCTATCTAGCTTTTACGGGAAGATAATTCCTTTTCCACCACAGGCCTCAAAGCCCTCCAAATGTCCACTTGCAGATTCTGGAAAAAGAGTGTTTCAAAGCTTCTCTCTCGAAAGGAAAGTTCAACTCTGTGAGTTGAATGCAAGCATCACAAAGAAGTTTCTGGGAATGCTACTGTCTAGCTTTTATATGAAGCTATTTCCTTTACTACCATAGGCCTCAAAGCGGTCCATATCTCCACTTGCAGATTCTACACAAAGAGAGTTTCCAAACTGCTCTGTCAAAGGGAATGTTCAACTCTGTGACTTGAATGCAATCATCACAAAGTAGTTTCTGAGAATGCTTCTGTTTAGTTCTGTGCGGTTTATCCCGTTTCCAACGAAATCATCAGAGAGGCCCACATATCCACTTGCACCTTCTAGAAATAGTGTGTTTCGAAACTGCTCCATCCAAAGGAATGTTCAGCTCTGTGAGTTAAACTCAGTCGTCACCAAGAGTTTTCTGTGAATGCTTCTGTTTTAGTTGTGTGCGGTTTATCCCGTTTCCAACGAAATCCTCAGAGAGGTCCAAATATCTACTTGCAGTTTCTACAGAAAGACCGTTTCAAACCTGAACTATCAAAGAAAGGTTCAACACTGTGAGTTGAATGCAAACATCACGAAGAAGGTTCTGAGAATGCTTCTGTTTAGTTCTGTGCAGTTTATCCCGTTTCCAACGAAATCCTCAGAGAGGACCAAATATCCACTTGCAGTTTCTACAAAAAGAGTGTTTCAAAGCTGAACTATCAAAGAAAGGTTCAGCACTGTGAGTTGAATGCAAACATCACGAAGAGGGTTACTGAGAATGCTTCTGTCTTCTTTTTATAGGAAGTTATTTCCTTTACTACGGTACTCCTCAAAGAGTGCAATTATCCCCTTGCAGTTTCTACAGAAAGAGTGTTTCAAACCTGAACTATCAAAGAAAGGTTCCACACTGTGAGTTGAATGCAGACATCACGAAGAAGGTTCTGAGAATGCTTCTGTTTAGTCAGCTGAAATTATCCCGTTTCCAACGAATTCCTCACAGAGGTCCAAATATGCACTTGCAGATTCTGCAGAAAGTGTGTTTCTAAACTGCTACATCGCAAGGAATGCTCAGCTCTGTGAGTTCAACTCAATCATCCCAAAGAATTTTCTGAGAAAGCTTCTGTCTAGATGTCATGTGAAGATATACCCGTTTCGAACGAAGGACACAGAGTGGTCCAAATATCCACTTGTAGATCCTGCAAAAAGAGTGTTTCAAACGTGAACTTTGAAAGGAAAGTTCAACTCGGGGATTTGAATGCAAACATCACAAAGAAGATTCTGAGACTGCTTCTGTATAGTTTTTATGTGAAGATGATTCCGTTTCCAACGAAATCTTCAAAGAGGTCTACATGTCCCCTTGCAGATGCCACAGAAAGACAGTTTCAAAACTGCGCTCTCAAAAGGAGTGTTCAACTCCGTGAGTTGAATGCAGTCATCACAGAGAAGCTTCTGAGGATGCTTCTATCTAGTATTTAGGTGAAGATATTTCCTTTTCCACCACAAACCACAAAGCCCTCCAAACGTCCACTTGCAGATTCTAGAAAAAGAGTGTTTCATAGCTGCTCTTTCCAAAGGAAAGTTCAACTCTGGGAGTTGAATACAAACATCACCAAAAAGTTCCTGAGAATGCATCTGTCTAGTTTTTCTATGAAGCTATTCCCTTTACTACCATAGGCCTCAAAGCGCTCCAAATCTCCACTTGCACATTCCACAACAAGAGTGTTTCCAAACTGCTCTATCAATAGGAATGTTCAACTCTGTGAGGTGAATGCAATCATCACAAAGCAGTTTCTGAGAATGCTTCCGTTTAGTTAGGTGCAGTTATCCCGTTTCCAACGAAATCCTCAGAGAGGTCCAAATATCCACTTGTAGATTCTACAAAAAGTGTGTCTCAAACCTGCTCCATCCAAAGGAATGGTCAGCTCTGTGATTTAAACTCAATCATCACAAAGTATTTTCTGAGAATGCTTCTGTCTAGATTTTATGCGAAGATATACCCGTTTCGAACGAAGGCCACAGAGTGGTCCAAATAGCCACTTGCAGATCCTACAGAAAGAGTGTTTCAAACCTGAACTATCAAAGGAAGGTTCAACTCTGGGATTTGAATGCAAACATCACCAAGAAGTTTCTGAGAATGCTTCTGTTTAGTTTTTATGTGAAGATATTCCCGTTTCCAAAGACATCTTCGGAGAGGTCCACATATCCACTTGCAGATTCCACAAAAAGAGAGTTTCAACACTGCTCTATCCATAGGAGGGTTCAACTCTGTGAGTTGAATGCAATCATCACAGAGAAGTTTCTGAGAAGGCTTCTCTCCAGTTTTTATGTGACCATAATTCGTTTTCCACCACAGGCCTGAAAGCGCTCCAAATGTCCACTTGCAGACACTACGAAAAGCATGTTTCAGAACTACTCTATGAAAAGCAACGTGAAACTCTGGGAGTTGAACACAAACATCACAGAGAAGTTTCTGAGAATGCTTCTGTTTTAGTTCTGTGCGTTTTATCCCGTTTCCAACGAAATCCTCAGAGAGGCCCAAATATCCACTTGCAGATTCCACAGAAAGAGTGATTGGAAACTGCTGTTTGAAAAGGAACCTTCAACTCTGTGAGTTGAATGCAATCATCACAAAGAAGTTTCTGACAATGCTTCTGTTTTAGTTCTGTGCGGTTTATCCCGTTTCCAACGAAATCCTCAGAGAGGACCAAACATCCACTTGCAGTTTCTACAAAAAGAGTGTTTCAAAGCTGCACTATCAAAGAAAGGTTCAGCACTGTGAGTTGAATGCAAACATCACGAAGAGGGCTCTGAGAATTCTTCTGTTTAGTTCTGTGCGGTTTATCCCGTTTCCAACGAAATCCTCAGAGAGGACCAAATATCCACTTGCAGTTTCTACAAGAAGAGTGTTTCAAAGCTGAACTATCAAAGAAAGGTTCAGCACTGTGAGTTGAATGCAAACATCACGAAGAGGGTTCTGAGAATGCTTCTGTCTTCTTTCTATAGGAAGTTATTTCCTTTACTACGGTAGGCCTCAAAGAAGTGCAATTATCCCCTTGCAGTTTCTACAAAAAGAGTGTTTCAAACCTGAACTATCAAAGAAAGGTTCCACACTGTGAGTTGAATGCAGACATCACGAAGAAGGTTCTGAGAATGCTTCTGTTTAGTCAGCTGAAATTATCCCGTTTCCAACGAATTCCTCAGAGAGGTCCAAATATGCACTTGCAGATTCTGCAGAAAGTGTGTTTCTAAACTGCTACATCGCAAGGAATGTTCAGCTCTGTGAGTTCCACTCAATCATCCCAAAGAATTTTCTGAGAAAGCTTCTGTCTAGATGTCATGTGAAGATATACCCGTTTCGAACGAAGGACACAGAGTGGTCCAAATATCCACTTGTAGATCCTGCAAAAAGAGTGTTTCAAACGTGAACTTTGAAAGGAAAGTTCAACTCTGGGATTTGAATGCAAACATCACAAAGAAGATTCTGAGACTGCTTCTGTATAGTTTTTATGTGAAGATGATTCCGTTTCCAACGAAATCTTCAAAGAGGTCTACATGTCCCCTTGCGGATGCCACAGAAAGAGAGTTTCAAAACTGCGCTCTCAAAAGGAGTGTTCAACTCCGTGAGTTGAATGCAGTCATCACAGAGAAGCTTCTGAGAATGCTTCTATCTAGTATTTAGGTGAAGATATTTCCTTTTCCA
Organism: Homo sapiens; assembly: GCF_000001405.40. NCBI lineage: Eukaryota > Metazoa > Chordata > Mammalia > Primates > Hominidae > Homo > Homo sapiens. The sequence continues at coordinate 23,899,407 of NC_000017.11, read as the reverse complement.
CCACAAACCACAAAGCCCTCCAAACGTCCACTTGCAGATTCTAGAAAAAGAGTGTTTCATAGCTGATCTTTCCAAAGGAAAGTTCAACTCTGGGAGTTGAATACAAACATCACCAAAAAGTTCCTGAGAATGCATCTGTCTAGTTTTTCTATGAAGCTATTCCCTTTACTACCATAGGCCTCAAAGCGCTCCAAATCTCCACTTGCACATTCCACAACAAGAGTGTTTCCAAACTGCTCTATCAATAGGAATGTTCAACTCTGTGAGGTGAATGCAATCATCACAAAGCAGTTTCTGAGAATGCTTCCGTTTAGTTAGGTGCAGTTATCCCGTTTCCAACGAAATCCTCAGAGAGGTCCAAATATCCACTTGTAGATTCTACAAAAGGTGTGTCTCAAACCTGCTCCATCCAAAGGAATGTTCAGCTCTGTGAGTTAAACTCAATCATCACAAAGTATTTTCTGAGAATGCTTCTGTCTAGATTTTATGCGAAGATGTACCCGTTTCGAACGAAGGCCACAGAGTGGTCCAAATATCCACTTGCAGATCCTACAAAAAGAGTGTTTCAAACCTGAACTCTCAAAGGAAGGTTCAACTCTGGGATTTGAATGCAAACATCACGAAGAAGTTTCTGAGAATGCTTCTGTTTAGTTTTTATGTGAAGATATTCCCGTTTCCAAAGACATCTTCGGAGAGGTCCACATATCCACTTGCAGATTCCACAAAAAGAGAGTTTCAACACTGCTCTATCTATAGGAGGGTTCAACTCTGTGAGTTGAATGCAATCATCACAGAGAAGTTTCTGAGAAGGCTTCTCTCCAGTTTTTATGTGACCATAATCCGTTTTCCACCACAGGCCTGAAAGCGCTCCAAATGTCCACTTGCAGACACTACGAAAAGCATGTTTCAGAACTACTCTATGAGAAGCAATGTGAAACTCTGGGAGTTGAACACAAACATCACAGAGAAGTTTCTGAGAATGCTTCTGTTTAGCTTTCCTGTGAAGATTCTCCCGTTTCCAACGAAATCTTCAAAATAGGTCCAAATATCCACTTGCAGATTCCACACAAAGAGTGATTGGAAACTGCTCTTTGAAAAGGAACCTTCAACTCTGTGAGTTGAATGCAATCATCACAAAGAAGTTTCTGACAATGCTTCTATCTAGCTTTTACGGGAAGATAATTCCTTTTCCACCACAGGCCTCAAAGCCCTCCAAATGTCCACTTGCAGATTCTGGAAAAAGAGTGTTTCAAAGCTTCTCTCTCGAAAGGAAAGTTCAACTCTGTGAGTTGAATGCAAGCATCACAAAGAAGTTTCTGAGAATGCTACTGTCTAGCTTTTATATGAAGCTATTTCCTTTACTACCATAGGCCTCAAAGCGGTCCATATCTCCACTTGCAGATTCTACACAAAGAGAGTTTCCAAACTGCTCTGTCAAAGGGAATGTTCAACTCTGTGACTTGAATGCAATCATCACAAAGTAGTTTCTGAGAATGCTTCTGTTTAGTTCTGTGCGGTTTATCCCGTTTCCAACGAAATCCTCAGAGAGGCCCAAATATCCACTTGCACATTCTACAAATAGTGTGTTTCGAAACTGCTCCATCCAAAGGAATGTTCAGCTCTGTGAGTTAAACTCAGTCGTCACCAAGAGTTTTCTGTGAATGCTTCTGTTTTAGTTCTGTGCGGTTTATCCCGTTTCCAACGAAATCCTCAAAGTGGTCCAAATATCTACTTGCAGTTTCTACAGAAAGACCGTTTCAAACCTGAACTATCAAAGAAAGGTTCAACACTGTGAGTTGAATGCAAACATCACGAAGAAGGTTCTGAGAATGCTTCTGTTTAGTTCTGTGCGTTTTATCCTGTTTCCAACGAAATCCTCAGAGAGGACCAAATATTCACTTGCAGTTTCTACAAAAAGAGTGTTTCAAAGCTGAACTATCAAAGAAAGGTTCAGCACTGTGAGTTGAATGCAAACATCACGAAGAGGGTTCTGAGAATGCTTCTGTCTTCTTTTTATAGGAAGTTATTTCCTTTACTACGGTACTCCTCAAAGAGTGCAATTATCCCCTTGCAGTTTCTACAAAAAGAGTTTTTAAAACCTGAACTATCAAAGAAAGGTTCCACACTTTGTGTTGAATGCAGACATCACGAAGAAGGTTCTGAGAATGCTTCTGTTTAGTCAGCTGAAATTATCCCGTTTCCAACGAATTCCTCACAGAGGTCCAAATATGCACTTGCAGATTCTGCAGAAAGTGTGTTTCTAAACTGCTACATCGCAAGGAATGCTCAGCTCTGTGAGTTCAACTCAATCATCGCAAAGAATTTTCTGAGAAAGCTTCTGTCTAGATGTCATGTGAAGATATACCCGTTTCGAACGAAGGACACAGAGTGGTCCAAATATCCACTTGTAGATCCTGCAAAAAGAGTGTTTCAAACGTGAAATTTGAAACGAAAGTTCAACTCTGGGATTTGAATGCAAACATCACAAAGAAGATTCTGAGACTGCTTCTGTATAGTTTTTATGTGAAGATGATTCCGTTTCCAACGAAATCTTCAAAGAGGTCTACATGTCCCCTTGCAGATGCCACAGAAAGAGAGTTTCAAAACTGCGCTCTCAAAAGGAGTGTTCAACTCCGTGAGTTGAATGCAGTCATCACAGAGAAGCTTCTGAGAATGCTTCTATCTAGTATTTAGGTGAAGATATTTCCTTTTCCACCACAAACCACAAAGCCCTCCAAACGTCCACTTGCAGATTCTAGAAAAAGAGTGTTTCATAGCTGCTCTTTCCAAAGGAAAGTTCAACTCTGGGAGTTGAATACAAACATCACCAAAAAGTTCCTGAGAATGCATCTGTCTAGTTTTTCTATGAAGCTATTCCCTTTACTACCACAGGCCTCAAAGCGCTCCAAATCTCCACTTGCACATTCCGCAACAAGAGTGTTTCCAAACTGCTCTATCAATAGGAATGTTCAACTCTGTGAGGTGAATGCAATCATCACAAAGCAGTTTCTGAGAATGCTTCCGTTTAGTTAGGTGCAGTTACCCCGTTTCCAACGAAATCCTCAGAGAGGTCCAAATATCCACTTGTAGATTCTACAAAAAGTGTGTCTCAAACCTGCTCCATCCAAAGGAATGGTCAGCTCTGTGATTTAAACTCAATCATCACAAAGTATTTTCTGAGAATGCTTCTGTCTAGATTTTATGCGAAGATATACCCGTTTCGAACGAAGGCCACAGAGTGGTCCAAATAGCCACTTGCAGATCCTACAGAAAGAGTGTTTCAAACCTGAACTATCAAAGGAAGGTTCAACTCTGGGATTTGAATGCAAACATCACCAAGAAGTTTCTGAGAATGCTTCTGTTTAGTTTTCATGTGAAGATATTCCCGTTTCCAAAGACATCTTCGGAGAGGTCCACATATCCACTTGCAGATTCCACAAAAAGAGAGTTTCAACACTGCTCTATCCATAGGAGGGTTCAACTCCGTGAGTTGAATGCAATCATCACAGAGAAGTTTCTGAGAAGGTTTCTCTCCAGTTTTTATGTGACCATAATTCGTTTTCCACCACAGGCCTGAAAGCGCTCCAAATGTACACTTGCAGACACTACGAAAAGCATGTTTCAGAACTACTCTATGAAAAGCAACGTGAAACTCTGGGAGTTGAACACAAACATCACAGAGAAGTTTCTGAGAATGCTTCTGTTTTAGTTCTGTGCGTTTTATCCCGTTTCCAACGAAATCCTCAGAGAGGCCCAAATATCCACTTGCAGATTCCACAGAAAGAGTGATTGGAAACTGCTGTTTGAAAAGGAACCTTCAACTCTGTGAGTTGAATGCAATCATCACAAAGAAGTTTCTGACAATGCTTCTGTTTTAGTTCTGTGCGGTTTATCCCGTTTCCAACGAAATCCTCAGAGAGGACCAAACATCCACTTGCAGTTTCTACAAAAAGAGTGTTTCAAAGCTGCACTATCAAAGAAAGGTTCAGCACTGTGAGTTGAATGCAAACATCACGAAGAGGGCTCTGAGAATGCTTCTGTTTAGTTCTGTGCGGTTTATCCCGTTTCCAACGAAATCCTCAGAGAGGACCAAATATCCACTTGCAGTTTCTACAAGAAGAGTGTTTCAAAGCTGAACTATCAAAGAAAGGTTCAGCACTGTGAGTTGAATGCAAACATCACGAAGAGGGTTCTGAGAATGCTTCTGTCTTCTTTCTATAGGAAGTTATTTCCTTTACTACGGTAGGCCTCAAAGAAGTGCAATTATCCCCTTGCAGTTTCTACAAAAAGAGTGTTTCAAACCTGAACTATCAAAGAAAGGTTCCACACTGTGAGTTGAATGCAGACATCACGAAGAAGGTTCTGAGAATGCTTCTGTTTAGTCAGCTGAAATTATCCCGTTTCCAACGAATTCCTCAGAGAGGTCCAAATATGCACTTGCAGATTCTGCAGAAAGTGTGTTTCTAAACTGCTACATCGCAAGGAATGTTCAGCTCTGTGAGTTCCACTCAATCATCCCAAAGAATTTTCTGAGAAAGCTTCTGTCTAGATGTCGTGTGAAGATATACCCGTTTCGAACGAAGGACACAGAGTGGTCCAAATATCCACTTGTAGATCCTGCAAAAAGAGTGTTTCAAACGTGAACTTTGAAAGGAAAGTTCAACTCTGGGATTTGAATGCAAACATCACAAAGAAGATTCTGAGACTGCTTCTGTATAGTTTTTATGTGAAGATGATTCCGTTTCCAACGAAATCTTCAAAGAGGTCTACATGTCCCCTTGCAGATGCCACAGAAAGAGAGTTTCAAAACTACGCTCTCAAAAGGAGTGTTCAACTCCGTGAGTTGAATGCAGTCATCACAGAGAAGCTTCTGAGAATGCTTCTATCTAGTATTTAGGTGAAGATATTTCCTTTTACACCACAAACCACAAAGCCCTCCAAACGTCCACTTGCAGATTCTAGAAAAAGAGTGTTTCATAGCTGCTCTTTCCAAAGGAAAGTTCAACTCTGGGAGTTGAATACAAACATCACCAAAAAGTTCCTGAGAATACATCTGTCTAGTTTTTCTATGAAGCTATTCCCTTTACTACCATAGGCCTCAAAGCGCTCCAAATCTCCACTTGCACATTCCACAACAAGAGTGTATCCAAACTGCTCTATCAATAGGAATGTTCAACTCTGTGAGGTGAATGCAATCATCACAAAGCAGTTTCTGAGAATGCTTCCGTTTAGTTAGGTGCAGTTATCCCGTTTCCAACGAAATCCTCAGAGAGGTCCAAATATCCACTTGTAGATTCTACAAAAAGTGTGTCTCAAACCTGCTCCATCCAAAGGAATGTTCAGCTCTGTGAGTTCAACTCAATCATCACAAAGTATTTTCTGAGAATGCTTCTGTCTAGATTTTATGCGAAGATGTACCCGTTTCGAACGAAGGCCACAGAGTGGTCCAAATATCCACTTGCAGATCCTACAAAAAGAGTGTTTCAAACCTGAACTCTCAAAGGAAGGTTCAACTCTGGGATTTGAATGCAAACATCACCAAGAAGTTTCTGAGAATGCTTCTGTTTAGTTTTTATGTGAAGATATTCCCGTTTCCAAAGACGTCTTCGGAGAGGTCCACATATCCGCTTGCAGATTAAACAAAAAGAGAGTTTCAACACTGCTCTATCCATAGGAGGGTTCAACTCTGTGAGTTGAATGCAATCATCACAGAGAAGTTTCTGAGAAGGCTTCTCTCCAGTTTTTATGTGACCATAATTCGTTTTCCACCACAGGCCTGAAAGCGCTCCAAATGTCCACTTGCAGACACTACGAAAAGCATGTTTCAGAACTACTCTATGAGAAGCAATGTGAAACTCTGGGAGTTGAACACAAACATCACAGAGAAGTTTCTGAGAATGCTTCTGTTTAGCTTTTCTGTGAAGATTCTCCCGTTTCCAACGAAATCTTCAAAGAGGTCCAAATATCCACTTGCAGATTCCACAGAAAGAGTGATTGGAAACTGCTCTTTGAAAAGGAACCTTCAACTCTGTGACTTGAATGCAATCATCACAAAGAAGTTTCTGACAATGCTTTCTATCTAGCTTTTACGGGAAGATAATTCCTTTTCCACCACAGGCCTCAAAGCCCTCCAAATGTCCACTTGCAGATTCTGGAAAAAGAGTGTTTCAAAGCTTCTCTCTCGAAAGGAAAGTTCAACTCTGTGAGTTGAATGCAAGCATCACAAAGAAGTTTCTGAGAATGCTGCTGTCTAGCTTTTATATGAAGCTATTTCCTTTACTACCATAGGCCTCAAAGCGGTCCATATCTCCACTTGCAGATTCTACGCAAAGAGAGTTTCCAAACTGCTCTGTCAAAGGGAATGTTCAACTCTGTGACTTGAATGCAATCATCACAAAGTAGTTTCTGAGAATGCTTCTGTTTAGTTCTGTGCGGTTTATCCCGTTTCCAACGAAATCCTCAGAGAGGCCCACATATCCACTTGCACATTCTACAAATAGTGTGTTTCGAAACTGCTCCATCCAAAGGAATGTTCAGCTCTGTGAGTTAAACTCAGTCGTCACCAAGAGTTTTCTGTGAATGCTTCTGTTTTAGTTCTGTGCGGTTTATCCCGTTTCCAACGAAATCCTCAGAGAGGTCCAAATATCTACTTGCAGTTTCTACAGAAAGACCGTTTCCAACCTGAACTATCAAAGAAAGGTTCAACACTGTGAGTTGAATGCAAACATCACGAAGAAGGTTCTGAGAATGCTTCTGTTTTAGTTCTGTGCGGTTTATCCCGTTTCCAAAGAAATCCGCAGAGAGGTCCAAATATCTACTTGCATTTTCTACAGAAAGACCGTTTCAAAGCTGAACTCTCAAAGAAAGGTTCAACACTGTGAGTTGAATGCAAACATCACGAAGAGGGTTCTGAGAATGCTTCTGTCTTCTTTCTATAGGAAGTTATTTCCTTTACTACGGTAGGCCTCAAAGAAGTGCAATTATCCCCTTGCAGTTTCTACAAAAAGAGTGTTTCAAACCTGAACTATCAAAGAAAGGTTCCACACTGTGAGTTGAATGCAGACATCACGAAGAAGGTTCTGAGAATGCTTCTGTTTAGTCAGCTGAAATTATCCCGTTTCCAACGAATTCCTCAGAGAGGTCCAAATATGCACTTGCAGATTCTGCAGAAAGTGTGTTTCTAAACTGCTACATCGCAAGGGAATGTTCAGCTCTGTGAGTTCCACTCAATCATCCCAAAGAATTTTCTGAGAAAGCTTCTGTCTAGATGTCGTGTGAAGATATACCCGTTTCGAACGAAGGACACAGAGTGGTCCAAATATCCACTTGTAGATCCTGCAAAAAGAGTGTTTCAAACGTGAACTTTGAAAGGAAAGTTCAACTCTGGGATTTGAATGCAAACATCACAAAGAAGATTCTGAGACTGCTTCTGTATAGTTTTTATGTGAAGATGATTCCGTTTCCAACGAAATCTTCAAAGAGGTCTACATGTCCCCTTGCAGATGCCACAGAAAGAGAGTTTCAAAACTGCGCTCTCAAAAGGAGTGTTCAACTCCGTGAGTTGAATGCAGTCATCACAGAGAAGCTTCTGAGAATGCTTCTATCTAGTATTTAGGTGAAGATATTTCCTTTTCCACCACAAACCACAAAGCCCTCCAAACGTCCACTTGCAGATTCTAGAAAAAGAGTGTTTCATAGCTGCTCTTTCCAAAGGAAAGTTCAACTCTGGGAGTTGAATACAAACATCACCAAAAAGTTCCTGAGAATGCATCTGTCTAGTTTTTCTATGAAGCTATTCCCTTTACTACCATAGGCCTCAAAGCGCTCCAAATCTCCACTTGCACATTCCACAACAAGAGTGTTTCCAAACTGCTCTATCAATAGGAATGTTCAACTCTGTGAGGTGAATGCAATCATCACAAAGCAGTTTCTGAGAATGCTTCCGTTTAGTTAGGTGCAGTTATCCCGTTTCCAACGAAATCCTCAGAGAGGTCCAAATATCCACTTGTAGATTCTACAAAAAGTGTGTCTCAAACCTGCTCCATCCAAAGGAATGGTCAGCTCTGTGATTTAAACTCAATCATCACAAAGTATTTTCTGAGAATGCTTCTGTCTAGATTTTATGCGAAGATATACCCGTTTCGAACGAAGGCCACAGAGTGGTCCAAATAGCCACTTGCAGATCCTACAGAAAGAGTGTTTCAAACCTGAACTATCAAAGGAAGGTTCAACTCTGGGATTTGAATGCAAACATCACCAAGAAGTTTCTGAGAATGCTTCTGTTTAGTTTTTATGTGAAGATATTCCCGTTTCCAAAGACATCTTCGGAGAGGTCCACATATCCACTTGCAGATTCCACAAAAAGAGAGTTTCAACACTGCTCTATCCATAGGAGGGTTCAACTCTGTGAGTTGAATGCAATCATCACAGAGAAGTTTCTGAGAAGGCTTCTCTCCAGTTTTTATGTGACCATAATTCGTTTTCCACCACAGGCCTGAAAGCGCTCCAAATGTCCACTTGCAGACACTACGAAAAGCATGTTTCAGAACTACTCTATGAAAAGCAACGTGAAACTCTGGGAGTTGAACACAAACATCACAGAGAAGTTTCTGAGAATGCTTCTGTTTTAGTTCTGTGCGTTTTATCCCGTTTCCAACGAAATCCTCAGAGAGGCCCAAATATCCACTTGCAGATTCCACAGAAAGAGTGATTGGAAACTGCTGTTTGAAAAGGAACCTTCAACTCTGTGAGTTGAATGCAATCATCACAAAGAAGTTTCTGACAATGCTTCTGTTTTAGTTCTGTGCGGTTTATCCCGTTTCCAACGAAATCCTCAGAGAGGACCAAACATCCACTTGCAGTTTCTACAAAAAGAGTGTTTCAAAGCTGCACTATCAAAGAAAGGTTCAGCACTGTGAGTTGAATGCAAACATCACGAAGAGGGCTCTGAGAATTCTTCTGTTTAGTTCTGTGCGGTTTATCCCGTTTCCAACGAAATCCTCAGAGAGGACCAAATATCCACTTGCAGTTTCTACAAGAAGAGTGTTTCAAAGCTGAACTATCAAAGAAAGGTTCAGCACTGTGAGTTGAATGCAAACATCACGAAGAGGGTTCTGAGAATGCTTCTGTCTTCTTTCTATAGGAAGTTATTTCCTTTACTACGGTAGGCCTCAAAGAAGTGCAATTATCCCCTTGCAGTTTCTACAAAAAGAGTGTTTCAAACCTGAACTATCAAAGAAAGGTTCCACACTGTGAGTTGAATGCAGACATCACGAAGAAGGTTCTGAGAATGCTTCTGTTTAGTCAGCTGAAATTATCCCGTTTCCAACGAATTCCTCAGAGAGGTCCAAATATGCACTTGCAGATTCTGCAGAAAGTGTGTTTCTAAACTGCTCCATCGCAAGGAATGTTCAGCTCTGTGAGTTCCACTCAATCATCCCAAAGAATTTTCTGAGAAAGCTTCTGTCTAGATGTCGTGTGAAGATATACCCGTTTCGAACGAAGGACACAGAGTGGTCCAAATATCCACTTGTAGATCCTGCAAAAAGAGTGTTTCAAACGTGAACTTTGAAAGGAAAGTTCAACTCTGGGATTTGAATGCAAACATCACAAAGAAGATTCTGAGACTGCTTCTGTATAGTTTTTATGTGAAGATGATTCCGTTTCCAACGAAATCTTCAAAGAGGTCTACATGTCCCCTTGCAGATGCCACAGAAAGAGAGTTTCAAAACTACGCTCTCAAAAGGAGTGTTCAACTCCGTGAGTTGAATGCAGTCATCACAGAGAAGCTTCTGAGAATGCTTCTATCTAGTATTTAGGTGAAGATATTTCCTTTTCCACCACAAACCACAAAGCCCTCCAAACGTCCACTTGCAGATTCTAGAAAAAGAGTGTTTCATAGCTGCTCTTTCCAAAGGAAAGTTCAACTCTGGGAGTTGAATACAAACATCACCAAAAAGTTCCTGAGAATGCATCTGTCTAGTTTTTCTATGAAGCTATTCCCTTTACTACCATAGGCCTCAAAGCGCTCCAAATCTCCACTTGCACATTCCACAACAAGAGTGTTTCCAAACTGCTCTATCAATAGGAATGTTCAACTCTGTGAGGTGAATGCAATCATCACAAAGCAGTTTCTGAGAATGCTTCCGTTTAGTTAGGTGCAGTTATCCCGTTTCCAACGAAATCCTCAGAGAGGTCCAAATATCCACTTGTAGATTCTACAAAAAGTGTGTCTCAAACCTGCTCCATCCAAAGGAATGGTCAGCTCTGTGATTTAAACTCAATCATCACAAAGTATTTTCTGAGAATGCTTCTGTCTAGATTTTATGCGAAGATATACCCGTTTCGAACGAAGGCCACAGAGTGGTCCAAATAGCCACTTGCAGATCCTACAGAAAGAGTGTTTCAAACCTGAACTATCAAAGGAAGGTTCAACTCTGGGATTTGAATGCAAACATCACCAAGAAGTTTCTGAGAATGCTTCTGTTTAGTTTTTATGTGAAGATATTCCCGTTTCCAAAGACATCTTCGGAGAGGTCCACATATCCACTTGCAGATTCCACAAAAAGAGAGTTTCAACACTGCTCTATCCATAGGAGGGTTCAACTCTGTGAGTTGAATGCAATCATCACAGAGAAGTTTCTGAGAAGGCTTCTCTCCAGTTTTTATGTGACCATAATTCGTTTTCCACCACAGGCCTGAAAGCGCTCCAAATGTCCACTTGCAGACACTACGAAAAGCATGTTTCAGAACTACTCTATGAAAAGCAATGTGAAACTCTGGGAGTTGAACACAAACATCACAGAGAAGTTTCTGAGAATGCTTCTGTTTAGCTTTCCTGTGAAGATTCTCCCGTTTCCAACGAAATCTTCAAAATAGGTCCAAATATCCACTTGCAGATTCCACACAAAGAGTGATTGGAAACTGCTCTTTGAAAAGGAACCTTCAACTCTGTGAGTTGAATGCAATCATCACAAAGAAGTTTCTGACAATGCTTCTATCTAGCTTTTACGGGAAGATAATTCCTTTTCCACCACAGGCCTCAAAGCCCTCCAAATGTCCACTTGCAGATTCTGGAAAAAGAGTGTTTCAAAGCTTCTCTCTCGAAAGGAAAGTTCAACTCTGTGAGTTGAATGCAAGCATCACAAAGAAGTTTCTGAGAATGCTACTGTCTAGCTTTTATATGAAGCTATTTCCTTTACTACCATAGGCCTCAAAGCGGTCCATATCTCCACTTGCAGATTCTACACAAAGAGAGTTTCCAAACTGCTCTGTCAAAGGGAATGTTCAACTCTGTGACTTGAATGCAATCATCACAAAGTAGTTTCTGAGAATGCTTCTGTTTAGTTCTGTGCGGTTTATCCCGTTTCCAACGAAATCCTCAGAGAGGCCCAAATATCCACTTGCACATTCTACAAATAGTGTGTTTCGAAACTGCTCCATCCAAAGGAATGTTCAGCTCTGTGAGTTAAACTCAGTCGTCACCAAGAGTTTTCTGTGAATGCTTCTGTTTTAGTTCTGTGCGGGTTATCCCGTTTCCAACGAAATCCTCAGAGAGGTCCAAATATCTACTTGCAGTTTCTACAGAAAGACCGTTTCAAACCTGAACTATCAAAGAAAGGTTCAACACTGTGAGTTGAATGCAAACATCACGAAGAAGGTTCTGAGAATGCTTCTGTTTTAGTTCTGTGCGGTTTATCCCGTTTCCAACGAAATCCTCAGCAGAGGACCAAACATCCACTTGCAGTTTCTACAAAAAGAGTGTTTCAAAGCTGCACTATCAAAGAAAGGTTCAGCACTGTGAGTTGAATGCAAACATCACGAAGAGGGCTCTGAGAATTCTTCTGTCTTCTTTCTATAGGAAGTTATTTCCTTTACTACGGTAGGCCTCAAAGAAGTGCAATTATCCCCTTGCAGTTTCTACAAAAAGAGTGTTTCAAACCTGAACTATCAAAGAAAGGTTCCACACTGTGAGTTGAATGCAGACATCACGAAGAAGTTCTGAGAATGCTTCTGTTTAGTCAGCTGAAATTATCCCGTTTCCAACGAATTCCTCAGAGAGGTCCAAATATGCACTTGCAGATTCTGCAGAAAGTGTGTTTCTAAACTGCTACATCGCAAGGAATGTTCAGCTCTGTGAGTTCCACTCAATCATCCCAAAGAATTTTCTGAGAAAGCTTCTGTCTAGATGTCATGTGAAGATATACCCGTTTCGAACGAAGGACACAGAGTGGTCCAAATATCCACTTGTAGATCCTGCAAAAAGAGTGTTTCAAACGTGAACTTTGAAAGGAAAGTTCAACTCTGGGATTTGAATGCAAACATCACAAAGAAGATTCTGAGACTGCTTCTGTATAGTTTTTATGTGAAGATGATTCCGTTTCCAACGAAATCTTCAAAGAGGTCTTCATGTCCCCTTGTAGATGCCACAGAAAGAGAGTTTCAAAACTGCGCTCTCAAAAGGAGTGTTCAACTCCGTGAGTTGAATGCAGTCATCACAGAGAAGCTTCTGAGAATGCTTCTATCTAGTATTTAGGTGAAGATATTTCCTTTTCCACCACAAACCGCAAAGCCCTCCAAACGTCCACTTGCAGATTCTAGAAAAAGAGTGTTTCATAGCTGCTCTTTCCAAAGGAAAGTTGAACTCTGGGAGTTGAATACAAACATCACCAAAAAGTTCCTGAGAATGCATCTGTCTAGTTTTTCTATGAAGCTATTCCCTTTACTACCATAGACCTCAAAGCGCTCCAAATCTCCACTTGCACATTCCACAACAAGACTGTTTCCAAACTGCTCTATCAATAGGAATGTTCAACTCTGTGAGGTGAATGCAATCATCACAAAGCAGTTTCTGAGAATGCTTCCGTTTAGTTAGGTGCAGTTATCCCGTTTCCAACGAAATCCTCAGAGAGGTCCAAATATCCACTTGTAGATTCTGCAAAAAGTGTGTCTCAAACCTGCTCCATCCAAAGGAATGTTCAGCTCTGTGAGTTAAACTCAATCATCACAAAGTATTTTCTGAGAATGCTTCTGTCTAGATTTTATGCGAAGATATACCCGTTTCGAACGAAGGCCACAGAGTGGTCCAAATATCCACTTGCAGATCCTACAAAAAGAGTGTTTCAAACCTGAACTATCAAAGGAAGGTTCAACTCTGGGATTTGAATGCAAACATCACCAAGAAGTTTCTGAGAATGCTTCTGTTTAGTTTTTATGTGAAGATATTCCCGTTTCCAAAGACATCTTCGGAGAGGTCCACATATCCACTTGCAGATTCCACAAAAAGAGAGTTTCAACACTGCTCTATCCATAGGAGGGTTCAACTCTGTGAGTTGAATGCAATCATCACAGAGAAGTTTCTGAGAAGGCTTCTCTCCAGTTTTTATGTGACCATAATTCGTTTTCCACCACAGGCCTGAAAACGCTCCAAATGTCCACTTGTAGACACTACGAAAAGCATGTTTCAGAACTACTCTATGAAAAGCAATGTGAAACTCTGGGAGTTGAACACAAACATCACAGAGAAGTTTCTGAGAATGCTTCTGTTTAGCTTTTCTGTGAAGATTCTCCCGTTTCCAACGAAATCTTCAAAGAGGTCCAAATATCCACTTGCAGATTCCACAGAAAGAGTGATTGGAAACTGCTCTTTGAAAAGGAACCTTCAACTCTGTGAGTTGAATGCAATCATCACAAAGAAGTTTCTGACAATGCTTCTATCTAGCTTTTACGGGAAGATAATTCCTTTTCCACCACAGGCCTCAAAGCCCTCCAAATGTCCACTTGCAGATTCTGGAAAAAGAGTGTTTCAAAGCTTCTCTCTCGAAAGGAAAGTTCAACTCTGTGAGTTGAATGCAAGCATCACAAAGAAGTTTCTGAGAATGCTACTGTCTAGCTTTTATATGAAGCTATTTCCTTTACTACCATGGGCCTCAACGCGGTCCATATCTCCACTTGCAGATTCTACACAAAGAGAGTTTCCAAACTGCTCTGTCAAAGGGAATGTTCAACTCTGTGACTTGAATGCAATCATCACAAAGTAGTTTCTGAGAATGCTTCTGTTTTAGTTCTGTGCGGTTTATCCCGTTTCCAACGAAATCCTCAGAGAGGCCCACATATCCACTTGCAGATTCTACAAATAGTGTGTTTTGAAACTGCTCCATCCAAAGGAATGTTCAGCTCTGTGAGTTAAACTCAGTCGTCACCAAGAGTTTTCTGTGAATGCTTCTGTTTAGTTCTGTGCGTTTTATCCCTTTTCCAACGAAATCCTCAGAGAGGACCAAATATCCATTTGCAGTTTCTACAAAAAGAGTGTTTCAAAGCTGCACTATCAAAGAAAGGTTCAGCACTGTGAGTTGAATGCAAACATCACGAAGAGGGTTCTGAGAATGCTTCTGTCTTCTTTTTATAGGAAGTTATTTCCTTTACTACGGTACTCCTCAAAGAGTGCAATTATCCCCTTGCAGTTTCTACAAAAAGAGTGTTTCAAACCTGAACTATCAAAGAAAGGTTCCACACTGTGAGTTGAATGCAGACATCACGAAGAAGGTTCTGAGAATGCTTCTGTTTAGTCAGCTGAAATTATCCCGTTTCCAACGAATTCCTCAGAGAGGTCCACATATGCACTTGCAGATTCTGCAGAAAGTGTGTTTCTAAACTGCTACATCGCAAGGAATGCTCAGCTCTGTGAGTTCAAATCAATCATCCCAAACAATTTTCTGAGAAAGCTTCTGTCTAGATGTCATGTGAAGATATACCCGTTTCGAACGAAGGACACAGAGTGGTCCAAATATCCACTTGTAGATCCTGCAAAAAGTGTTTCAAACGTGAACTTTGAAAGGAAAGTTCAACTCTGGGATTTGAATGCAAACATCACAAAGAAGATTCTGAGACTGCTTCTGTATAGTTTTTATGTGAAGATGATTCCGTTTCCAACGAAATCTTCAAAGAGGTCTACATGTCCCCTTGCAGATGCCACAGAAAGAGAGTTTCAAAACTGCGCTCCCAAAAGGAGTGTTCAACCCCGTGAGTTGAATGCAGTCATCACAGAGAAGCTTCTGAGAATGCTTCTCTCTAGTATTTAGGTGAAGATATTTCCTTTTCCACCACAAACCACAAAGCCCTCCAAACGTCCACTTGCAGATTCTAGAAAAAGAGTGTTTCATAGCTGCTCTTTCCAAAGGAAAGTTCAACTCTGGGAGTTGAATACAAACATCACCAAAAAGTTCCTGAGAATGCATCTGTCTAGTTTTTCTATGAAGCTATTCCCTTTACTACCATAGGCCTCAAAGCGCTCCAAATCTCCACTTGCACATTCCACAACAAGAGTGTTTCCAAACTGCTCTATCAATAGGAATGTTCAACTCTGTGAGGTGAATGCAATCATCACAAAGCAGTTTCTGAGAATGCTTCCGGTTTAGTTAGGTGCAGTTATCCCGTTTCCAACGAAATCCTCAGAGAGGTCCAAATATCCACTTGTAGATTCTACAAAAAGTGTGTCTCAAACCTGCTCCATCCAAAGGAATGGTCAGCTCTGTGATTTAAACTCAATCATCACAAAGTATTTTCTGAGAATGCTTCTGTCTAGATTTTATGCGAAGATATACCCGTTTCGAACGAAGGCCACAGAGTGGTCCAAATAGCCACTTGCAGATCCTACAGAAAGAGTGTTTCAAACCTGAACTATCAAAGGAAGGTTCAACTCTGGGATTTGAATGCAAACATCACCAAGAAGTTTCTGAGAATGCTTCTGTTTAGTTTTTATGTGAAGATATTCCCGTTTCCAAAGACATCTTCGGAGAGGTCCACATATCCACTTGCAGATTCCACAAAAAGAGAGTTTCAACACTGCTCTATCCATAGGAGGGTTCAACTCTGTGAGTTGAATGCAATCATCACAGAGAAGTTTCTGAGAAGGCTTCTCTCCAGTTTTTATGTGACCATAATTCGTTTTCCACCACAGGCCTGAAAGCGCTCCAAATGTCCACTTGCAGACACTACGAAAAGCATGTTTCAGAACTACTCTATGAAAAGCAACGTGAAACTCTGGGAGTTGAACACAAACATCACAGAGAAGTTTCTGAGAATGCTTCTGTTTTAGTTCTGTGCGTTTTATCCCGTTTCCAACGAAATCCTCAGAGAGGCCCAAATATCCACTTGCAGATTCCACAGAAAGAGTGATTGGAAACTGCTGTTTGAAAAGGAACCTTCAACTACTGTGAGTTGAATGCAATCATCACAAAGAAGTTTCTGACAATGCTTCTGTTTTAGTTCTGTGCGGTTTATCCCGTTTCCAACGAAATCCTCAGAGAGGACCAAACATCCACTTGCAGTTTCTACAAAAAGAGTGTTTCAAAGCTGCACTATCAAAGAAAGGTTCAGCACTGTGAGTTGAATGCAAACATCACGAAGAGGGCTCTGAGAATTCTTCTGTTTAGTTCTGTGCGGTTTATCCCGTTTCCAACGAAATCCTCAGAGAGGACCAAATATCCACTTGCAGTTTCTACAAGAAGAGTGTTTCAAAGCTGAACTATCAAAGAAAGGTTCAGCACTGTGAGTTGAATGCAAACATCACGAAGAGGGTTCTGAGAATGCTTCTGTCTTCTTTCTATAGGAAGTTATTTCCTTTACTACGGTAGGCCTCAAAGAAGTGCAATTATCCCCTTGCATTTTCTACAAAAAGAGTGTTTCAAACCTGAACTATCAAAGAAAGGTTCCACACTGTGAGTTGAATGCAGACATCACGAAAAAGGTTCTGAGAATGCTTCTGTTTAGTCAGCTGAAATTATCCCGTTTCCAACGAATTCCTCAGAGAGGTCCAAATATGCACTTGCAGATTCTGCAGAAAGTGTGTTTCTAAACTGCTACATCGCAAGGAATGTTCAGCTCTGTGAGTTCCACTCAATCATCCCAAAGAATTTTCTGAGAAAGCTTCTGTCTAGATGTCATGTGAAGATATACCCGTTTCGAACGAAGGACACAGAGTGGTCCAAATATCCACTTGTAGATCCTGCAAAAAGAGTGTTTCAAACGTGAACTTTGAAAGGAAAGTTCAACTCTGGGATTTGAATGCAAACATCACAAAGAAGATTCTGAGACTGCTTCTGTATAGTTTTTATGTGAAGATGATTCCGTTTCCAACGAAATCTTCAAAGAGGTCTACATGTCCCCTTGCAGATGCCACAGAAAGAGAGTTTCAAAACTGCGCTCTCAAAAGGAGTGTTCAACTCCGTGAGTTGAATGCAGTCATCACAGAGAAGCTTCTGAGAATGCTTCTATCTAGTATTTAGGTGAAGATATTTCCTTTTCCACCACAAACCACAAAGCCCTCCAAACGTCCACTTCCAGATTCTAGAAAAAGAGTGTTTCATAGCTGCTCTTTCCAAAGGAAAGTTCAACTGCTGGGAGTTGAATACAAACATCACCAAAAAGTTCCTGAGAATGCATCTGTCTAGTTTTTCTATGAAGCTATTCCCTTTACTACCATAGGCCTCAAAGCGCTCCAAATCTCCACTTGCACATTCCACAACAAGAGTGTTTCCAAACTGCTCTATCAATAGGAATGTTCAACTCTGGTGAGGTGAATGCAATCATCACAAAGCAGTTTCTGAGAATGCTTCCGTTTAGTTAGGTGCAGTTATCCCGTTTCCAACGAAATCCTCAGAGAGGTCCAAATATCCACTTGTAGATTCTACAAAAGGTGTGTCTCAAACCTGCTCCATCCAAAGGAATGTTCAGCTCTGTGAGTTAAACTCAATCATCACAAAGTATTTTCTGAGAATGCTTCTGTCTAGATTTTATGCGAAGATGTACCCGTTTCGAACGAAGGCCACAGAGTGGTCCAAATATCCACTTGCAGATCCTACAAAAAGAGTGTTTCAAACCTGAACTATCAAAGGAAGGTTCAACTCTGGGATTTGAATGCAAACATCACCAAGAAGTTTCTGAGAATGCTTCTGTTTAGTTTTTATGTGAAGATAGTCCCGTTTCCAAACACATCTTCGGAGAGGTCCACATATCCACTTGCAGATTCCACAAAAAGAGAGTTTCAACACTGCTCTATCCATAGGAGGGTTCAACTCTGTGAGTTGAATGCAATCATCACAGAGAAGTTTCTGAGAAGGCTTCTGTCCAGTTTTTATGTGACCATAATTCGTTTTCCACCACAGGCCTGAAAGCGCTCCAAATGTCCACTTGCAGACACTACGAAAAGCATGTTTCAGAACTACTCTATGAGAAGCAATGTGACACTCTGGGAGTTGAACACAAACATCACAGAGAAGTTTCTGAGAATGCTTCTGTTTAGCTTTTCTGTGAAGGTTATCCCGTTTCCAACGAAATCTTCAAAGAGGTCCAAATATCCACTTGCAGATTCCACAGAAAGAGTGTTTGGAAACTGCTGTTTGAAAAGGAACCTTCAACTCTGTGAGTTGAATGCAATCATCACAAAGAAGTTTCTGACAATGCTTCTATCCAGCTTTTACGGGAAGATAATTCCTTTTCCACCACAGGCCTCAAAGCCCTCCAAATGTCCACTTGCAGATTCTGGAAAAAGAGTGTTTCAAAGCTTCTCTCTCGAAAGGAAAGTTCAACTCTGTGAGTTGAATGCAAGCATCACAAAGAAGTTTCTGAGAATGCTACTGTCTAGCTTTTATATGAAGCTATTTCCTTTACTACCATAGTCCTCAAAGCATTCCATATCTCCACTTGCAGATTCTACACAAAGAGAGTTTCCAAACTGCTCTGTCAAAGGGAATGTTCAGCTCTGTGACTTGAATGCAATCATCACAAAGTAGTTTCTCAGAATGCTTCTGTTTTAGTTCTGTGCGGTTTATCCCGTTTCCAACGAAATCCTCAGAGAGGCCCAAATATCCACTTGCAGATTCTACAAATAGTGTGTTTCGAAACTGCTCCATCCAAAGGAATGTTCAGCTCTGTGAGTTAAACTCAGTCGTCACCAAGAGTTTTCTGTGAATGCTTCTGTTTAGTTCTGTGCGGTTTATCCCGTTTCCAAGGAAATCCTCAGAGAGGACCAAATATCCACTTGCAGTTTCTACAAGAAGAGTGTTTCAAAGCTGAACTATCATAGAAAGGTTCAGCACTGTGAGTTGAATGCAAACATCACGAAGAGGGTTCTGAGAATGCTTCTGTCTTCTTTCTATAGGAAGTTATTTCCTTTACTACGGTAGGCCTCAAAGAAGTGCAATTATCCCCTTGCAGTTTCTACAAAAAGAGTGTTTCAAACCTGAACTATCAAAGAAAGGTTCCACACTGTGAGTTGAATGCAGACATCACGAAGAAGGTTCTGAGAATGCTTCTGTTTAGTCAGCTGAAATTATCCCGTTTCCAACGAATTCCTCAGAGAGGTCCACATATGCACTTGCAGATTCTGCAGAAAGTGTGTTTCTAAACTGCTACATCGCAAGGAATGTTCAGCTTCTGTGAGTTCCACTCAATCATCCCAAAGAATTTTCTGAGAAAGCTTCTGTCTAGATGTCATGTGAAGATATACCCGTTTCGAACGAAGGACACAGAGTGGTCCAAATATCCACTTGTAGATCCTGCAAAAAGAGTGTTTCAAACGTGAACTTTGAAAGGAAAGTTCAACTCGGGGATTTGAATGCAAACATCACAAAGAAGATTCTGAGACTGCTTCTGTATAGTTTTTATGTGAAGATGATTCCGTTTCCAACGAAATCTTCAAAGAGGTCTACATGTCCCCTTGCAGATGCCACAGAAAGAGAGTTTCAAAACTGCGCTCTCAAAAGGAGTGTTCAACTCCCTGAGTTGAATGCAGTCATCACAGAGAAGCTTCTGAGAATGCTTCTATCTAGTATTTAGGTGAAGATATTTCCTTTTCCACCACAAACCACAAAGCCCTCCAAACGTCCACTTGCAGATTCTAGAGAAACAGTGTCTCATAGCTGCTCTTTCCAAAGGAAAGTTCAACTCTGGGAGTTGAATACAAACATCACCAAAAAGTTCCTGAGAATGCATCTGTCTAGTTTTTCTATGAAGCTATTCCCTTTACTACCATAGGCCTCAAAGCGCTCCAAATCTCCACTTGCACATTCCACAACAAGAGTGTTTCCAAACTGCTCTATCAATAGGAATGTTCAACTCTGTGAGGTGAATGCAATCATCACAAAGCAGTTTCTGAGAATGCTTCCGTTTAGTTAGGTGCAGTTATCCCGTTTCCAACGAAATCCTCAGAGAGGTCCAAATATCCACTTGTAGATTCTACAAAAAGTGTGTCTCAAACCTGCTCCATCCAAAGGAATGTTCAGCTCTGTGAGTTAAACTCAATCATCACAAAGTATTTTCTGAGAATGCTTCTGTCTAGATTTTATGCGAAGATATACCCGTTTCGAACGAAGGCCACAGAGTGGTCCAAATATCCACTTGCAGATCCTACAAAAAGAGTGTTTCAAACCTGAACTATCAAAGGAAGGTTCTACTCTGGGATTTGAATGCAAACATCACCAAGAAGTTTCTGAGAATGCTTCTGTTTAGCTTTCCTGTGAAGATTCTCCCGTTTCCAACGAAATCTTCAAAATAGGTCCAAATATCCACTTGCAGATTCCACAGAAAGAGTGATTGGAAACTGCTCTTTGAAAAGGAACCTTCAACTCTGTGAGTTGAATGCAATCATCACAGAGAAGTTTCTGAGAAGGCTTCTATCTAGCTTTTACGGGAAGATAATTCCTTTTCCACCACAGGCCTCAAAGCCCTCCAAATGTCCACTTGCAGATTCTGGAAAAAGAGTGTTTCAAAGCTTCTCTCTCGAAAGGAAAGTTCAACTCTGTGAGTTGAATGCAAGCATCACAAAGAAGTTTCTGAGAATGCTACTGTCTAGCTTTTATATGAAGCTATTTCCTTTACTACCATAGGCCTCAAAGCGGTCCATATCTCCACTTGCAGATTCTACACAAAGAGAGTTTCCAAACTGCTCTGTCAAAGGGAATGTTCAACTCTGTGACTTGAATGCAATCATCACAAAGTAGTTTCTGAGAATGCTTCTGTTTAGTTCTGTGCGGTTTATCCCGTTTCCAACGAAATCCTCAGAGAGGCCTAAATATCCACTTGCACATTCTACAAATAGTGTGTTTCGAAACTGCTCCATCCAAAGGAATGTTCAGCTCTGTGAGTTAAACTCAGTCGTCACCAAGAGTTTTCTGTGAATGCTTCTGTTTTAGTTCTGTGCGGGTTATCCCGTTTCCAACGAAATCCTCAGAGAGGTCCAAATATCTACTTGCAGTTTCTACAGAAAGACCGTTTCAAACCTGAACTATCAAAGAAAGGTTCAACACTGTGAGTTGAATGCAAACATCACGAAGAAGGTTCTGAGAATGCTTCTGTTTAGTTCTGTGCAGTTTATCCCGTTTCCAACGAAATGCTCAGAGAGGACCAAATATCCACTTGCAGTTTCTACAAAAAGAGTGTTTCAAAGCTGAACTATCAAAGAAAGGTTCAGCACTGTGAGTTGAATGCAAACATCACGAAGAGGGTTCTGAGAATGCTTCTGTCTTCTTTTTATAGGAAGTTATTTCCTTTACTACGGTACTCCTCAAAGAGTGCAATTATCCCCTTGCAGTTTCTACAAAAAGAGTGTTTCAAACCTGAACTATCAAAGAAAGGTTCCACACTGTGAGTTGAATGCAGACATCACGAAGAAGGTTCTGAGAATGCTTCTGTTTAGTCAGCTGAAATTATCCCGTTTCCAACGAATTCCTCACAGAGGTCCAAATATGCACTTGCAGATTCTGCAGAAAGTGTGTTTCTAAACTGCTACATCGCAAGGAATGCTCAGCTCTGTGAGTTCAACTCAATCATCCCAAAGAATTTTCTGAGAAAGCTTCTGTCTAGATGTCATGTGAAGATATACCCGTTTCGAACGAAGGACACAGAGTGGTCCAAATATCCACTTGTAGATCCTGCAAAAAGAGTGTTTCAAACGTGAACTTTGAAAGGAAAGTTCAACTCGGGGATTTGAATGCAAACATCACAAAGAAGATTCTGAGACTGCTTCTGTATAGTTTTTATGTGAAGATGATTCCGTTTCCAACGAAATCTTCAAAGAGGTCTACATGTCCCCTTGCAGATGCCACAGAAAGAGAGTTTCAAAACTGCGCTCTCAAAAGGAGTGTTCAACTCCGTGAGTTGAATGCAGTCATCACAGAGAAGCTTCTGAGGATGCTTCTATCTAGTATTTAGGTGAAGATATTTCCTTTTCCACCACAAACCACAAAGCCCTCCAAACGTCCACTTGCAGATTCTAGAAAAAGAGTGTTTCATAGCTGCTCTTTCCAAAGGAAAGTTCAACTCTGGGAGTTGAATACAAACATCACCAAAAAGTTCCTGAGAATGCATCTGTCTAGTTTTTCTATGAAGCTATTCCCTTTACTACCATAGGCCCCAAAGCGCTCCAAATCTCCACTTGCACATTCCACAAGAAGAGTGTTTCCAAACTGCTCTATCAATACGAATGTTCAACTCTGTGAGGTGAATGCAATCATCACAAAGCAGTTTCTGAGAATGCTTCCGTTTAGTTAGGTGCAGTTATCCCGTTTCCAACGAAATCCTCAGAGAGGTCCAAATATCCACTTGTAGATTCTACAAAAAGTGTGTCTCAAACCTGCTCCATCCAAAGGAATGGTCAGCTCTGTGATTTAAACTCAATCATCACAAAGTATTTTCTGAGAATGCTTCTGTCCAGATTTTATGCGAAGATATACCCGTTTCGAACGAAGGCCACAGAGTGGTCCAAATATCCACTTGCAGATCCTACAAAAAGAGTGTTTCAAACCTGAACTATCAAAGGAAGGTTCAACTCTGGGATTTGAATGCAAACATCACCAAGAAGTTTCTGAGAATGCTTCTGTTTAGATTTTATGTGAAGATATTCCCGTTTCCAAAGACATCTTCGGAGAGGTCCACATATCCACTTGCAGATTCCACAAAAAGAGAGTTTCAACACTGCTCTATCCATAGGAGGGTTCAACTCTGTGAGTTGAATGCAATCATCACAGAGAAGTTTCTGAGAAGGCTTCTCTCCAGTTTTTATGTGACCATAATTCGTTTTCCACCACAGGCCTGAAAGCGCTCCAAATGTCCACTTGCAGACACTACGAAAAGCATGTTTCAGAACTACTCTATGAAAAGCAACGTGAAACTCTGGGAGTTGAACACAAACATCACAGAGAAGTTTCTGAGAATGCTTCTGTTTTAGTTCTGTGCGTTTTATCCCGTTTCCAACGAAATCCTCAGAGAGGCCCAAATATCCACTTGCAGATTCCACAGAAAGAGTGATTGGAAACTGCTGTTTGAAAAGGAACCTTCAACTCTGTGAGTTGAATGCAATCATCACAAAGAAGTTTCTGACAATGCTTCTGTTTTAGTTCTGTGCGGTTTATCCCGTTTCCAACGAAATCCTCAGAGAGGACCAAACATCCACTTGCAGTTTCTACAAAAAGAGTGTTTCAAAGCTGCACTATCAAAGAAAGGTTCAGCACTGTGAGTTGAATGCAAACATCACGAAGAGGGCTCTGAGAATTCTTCTGTTTAGTTCTGTGCGGTTTATCCCGTTTCCAACGAAATCCTCAGAGAGGACCAAATATCCACTTGCAGTTTCTACAAGAAGAGTGTTTCAAAGCTGAACTATCAAAGAAAGGTTCAGCACTGTGAGTTGAATGCAAACATCACGAAGAGGGTTCTGAGAATGCTTCTGTCTTCTTTCTATAGGAAGTTATTTCCTTTACTACGGTAGGCCTCAAAGAAGTGCAATTATCCCCTTGCAGTTTCTACAAAAAGAGTGTTTCAAACCTGAACTATCAAAGAAAGGTTCCACACTGTGAGTTGAATGCAGACATCACGAAGAAGGTTCTGAGAATGCTTCTGTTTAGTCAGCTGAAATTATCCCGTTTCCAACGAATTCCTCAGAGAGGTCCAAATATGCACTTGCAGATTCTGCAGAAAGTGTGTTTCTAAACTGCTACATCGCAAGGAATGTTCAGCTCTGTGAGTTCCACTCAATCATCCCAAAGAATTTTCTGAGAAAGCTTCTGTCTAGATGTCGTGTGAAGATATACCCGTTTCGAACGAAGGACACAGAGTGGTCCAAATATCCACTTGTAGATCCTGCAAAAAGAGTGTTTCAAACGTGAACTTTGAAAGGAAAGTTCAACTCTGGGATTTGAATGCAAACATCACAAAGAAGATTCTGAGACTGCTTCTGTATAGTTTTTATGTGAAGATGATTCCGTTTCCAACGAAATCTTCAAAGAGGTCTACATGTCCCCTTGCAGATGCCACAGAAAGAGAGTTTCAAAACTGCGCTCTCAAAAGGAGTGTTCAACTCCGTGAGTTGAATGCAGTCATCACAGAGAAGCTTCTGAGAATGCTTCTATCTAGTATTTAGGTGAAGATATTTCCTTTTCCACCACAAACCACAAAGCCCTCCAAACGTCCACTTGCAGATTCTAGAAAAAGAGTGTTTCATAGCTGCTCTTTCCAAAGGAAAGTTCAACTCTGGGAGTTGAATACAAACATCACCAAAAAGTTCCTGAGAATGCATCTGTCTAGTTTTTCTATGAAGCTATTCCCTTTACTACCACAGGCCTCAAAGCGCTCCAAATCTCCACTTGCACATTCCACAACAAGAGTGTTTCCAAACTGCTCTATCAATAGGAATGTTCAACTCTGTGAGGTGAATGCAATCATCACAAAGCAGTTTCTGAGAATGCCTCCGTTTAGTTAGGTGCAGTTTTCCCGTTTCCAACGAAATCCTCAGAGAGGTCCAAATATCCACTTGTAGATTCTACAAAAAGTGTGTCTCAAACCTGCTCCATCCAAAGGAATGGTCAGCTCTGTGATTTAAACTCAATCATCACAAAGTATTTTCTGAGAATGCTTCTGTCTAGATTTTATGCGAAGATATACCCGTTTCGAACGAAGGCCACAGAGTGGTCCAAATAGCCACTTGCAGATCCTACAGAAAGAGTGTTTCAAACCTGAACTATCAAAGGAAGGTTCAACTCTGGGATTTGAATGCAAACATCACCAAGAAGTTTCTGAGAATGCTTCTGTTTAGTTTTTATGTGAAGATATTCCCGTTTCCAAAGACATCTTCGGAGAGGTCCACATATCCACTTGCAGATTCCACAAAAAGAGAGTTTCAACACTGCTCTATCCATAGGAGGGTTCAACTCTGTGAGTTGAATGCAATCATCACAGAGAAGTTTCTGAGAAGGCTTCTCTCCAGTTTTTATGTGACCATAATTCGTTTTCCACCACAGGCCTGAAAGCGCTCCAAATGTCCACTTGCAGACACTACGAAAAGCATGTTTCAGAACTACTCTATGAAAAGCAATGTGAAACTCTGGGAGTTGAACACAAACATCACAGAGAAGTTTCTGAGAATGCTTCTGTTTAGCTTTTCTGTGAAGATTCTCCCGTTTCCAACGAAATCTTCAAACTAGGTCCAAATATCCACTTGCAGATTCCACAGAAAGAGTGATTGGAAACTGCTGTTTGAAAAGGAACCTTCAACTCTGTGAGTTGAATGCAATCATCACAAAGAAGTTTCTGACAATGCTTCCATCTAGCTTTTACGGGAAGATAATTCCTTTTCCACCACAGGCCTCAAAGCCCTCCAAATCTCCACTTGCACATTCTGGAAAAAGAGTGTTTCAAAGCTTCTCTCTCGAAAGGAAAGTTCAACTCTGTGAGTTGAATGCAAGCATCACAAAGAAGTTTCTGAGAATGCTACTGTCTAGCTTTCATATGAAGCTATTTCCTTTACTACCATAGGCCTCAAAGCGGTCCATATCTCCACTTGCAGATTCTACGCAAAGAGAGTTTCCAAACTGCTCTGTCAAAGGGAATGTTCAACTCTGTGACTTGAATGCAATCATCACAAAGTAGTTTCTGAGAATGCTTCTGTTTAGTTCTGTACGGTTTATCCCGTTTCCAACGAAATCCTCAGAGAGGCCCAAATATCCACTTGCACATTCTACAAATAGTGTGTTTCGAAACTGCTCCATCCAAAGGAATGTTCAGCTCTGTGAGTTAAACTCAGTCGTCACCAAGAGTTTTCTGTGAATGCTTCTGTTTTAGTTCTGTGTGGTTTATCCCGTTTCCAACGAAATCCTCAGAGAGGTCCAAATATCTACTTGCAGTTTCTACAGAAAGACCGTTTCCAACCTCAACTATCAAAGAAAGGTTCAACACTGTGAGTTGAATGCAAACATCACGAAGAAGGTTCTGAGAATGCTTCTGTTTAGTTCTGTGCGGTTTATCCCTTTTCCAACGAAATCCTCAGAGAGGACCAAGTATCCACTTGCAGTTTCTACAAAAAGAGTGTTTCAAAGCTGAACTATCAAAGAAAGGTTCAGCACTGTGAGTTGAATGCAAACATCACGAAGAAGGTTCTGAGAATGCTTCTGTCTTCTTTCTATAGGAAGTTATTTCCTTTACTACGGTAGGCCTCAAAGAAGTGCAATTATCCCCTTGCAGTTTCTACAAAAAGAGTGTTTCAAACCTGAACTATCAAAGAAAGGTTCCACACTGTGAGTTGAATGCAGACATCACGAAGAAGGTTCTGAGAATGCTTCTGTTTAGTCAGCTGAAATTATCCCGTTTCCAACGAATTCCTCAGAGAGGTCCAAATATGCACTTGCAGATTCTGCAGAAAGTGTGTTTCTAAACTGCTACATCGCAAGGAATGTTCAGCTCTGTGAGTTCCACTCAATCATCCCAAAGAATTTTCTGAGAAAGCTTCTGTCTAGATGTCGTGTGAAGATATACCCGTTTCGAACGAAGGACACAGAGTGGTCCAAATATCCACTTGTAGATCCTGCAAAAAGAGTGTTTCAAACGTGAACTTTGAAAGGAAAGTTCAACTCTGGGATTTGAATGCAAACATCACAAAGAAGATTCTGAGACTGCTTCTGTATAGTTTTTATGTGAAGATGATTCCGTTTCCAACGAAATCTTCAAAGAGGTCTACATGTCCCCTTGCAGATGCCACAGAAAGAGAGTTTCAAAACTGCGCTCTCAAAAGGAGTGTTCAACTCCGTGAGTTGAATGCAGTCATCACAGAGAAGCTTCTGAGAATGCTTCTATCTAGTATTTAGGTGAAGATATTTCCTTTTCCACCACAAACCACAAAGCCCTCCAAACGTCCACTTGCAGATTCTAGAAAAAGAGTGTTTCATAGCTGCTCTTTCCAAAGGAAAGTTCAACTCTGGGAGTTGAATACAAACATCACCAAAAGGTTCCTGAGAATGCATCTGTCTAGTTTTTCTATGAAGCTATTCCCTTTACTACCACAGGCCTCAAAGCGCTCCAAATCTCCACTTGCACATTCCACAACAAGAGTGTTTCCAAACTGCTCTATCAATAGGAATGTTCAACTCTGTGAGGTGAATGCAATCATCACAAAGCAGTTTCTGAGAATGCTTCCGTTTAGTTAGGTGCAGTTATCCCGTTTCCAATGAAATCCTCAGAGAGGTCCAAATATCCACTTGTAGATTCTACAAAAAGTGTGTCTCAAACCTGCACCATCCAAAGGAATGTTCAGCTCTGTGAGTTAAACTCAATCTTCACAAAGTATTTTCTGAGAATGCTTCTGTCTAGATTTTATGCGAAGATATACCCGTTTCGAACGAAGGCCACAGAGTGGTCCAAATATCCACTTGCAGATCCTACAAAAAGAGTGTTTCAAACCTGAACTATCAAAGGAAGGTTCAACTCTGGGATTTGAATGCAAACATCACCAAGAAGTTTCTGAGAATGCTTCTGTTTAGTTTTTATGTGAAGATATTCCCGTTTCCAAAGACATCTTCGGAGAGGTCCACATATCCACTTGCAGATTCCACAAAAAGAGAGTTTCAACACTGCTCTATCCATAGGAGGGTTCAACTCTGTGAGTTGAATGCAATCATCACAGAGAAGTTTCTGAGAAGGCTTCTCTCCAGTTTTTATGTGACCATAATTCGTTTTCCACCACAGGCCTGAAAGCGCTCCAAATGTCCACTTGTAGACACTACGAAAAGCATGTTTCAGAACTACTCTATGAAAAGCAATGTGAAACTCTGGGAGTTGAACACAAACATCACAGAGAAGTTTCTGAGAATGCTTCTGTTTAGCTTTCCTGTGAAGATTCTCCCGTTTCCAACGAAATCTTCAAAATAGGTCCAAATATCCACTTGCAGATTCCACACAAAGAGTGATTGGAAACTGCTCTTTGAAAAGGAACCTTCAACTCTGTGAGTTGAATGCAATCATCACAAAGAAGTTTCTGACAATGCTTCTATCTAGCTTTTACGGGAAGATAATTCCTTTTCCACCACAGGCCTCAAAGCCCTCCAAATGTCCACTTGCAGATTCTGGAAAAAGAGTGTTTCAAAGCTTCTCTCTCGAAAGGAAAGTTCAACTCTGTGAGTTCAATGCAAGCATCACAAAGAAGTTTCTGAGAATGCTACTGTCTAGCTTTTATATGAAGCTATTTCCTTTACTACCATAGGCCTCAAAGCGGTCCATATCTCCACTTGCAGATTCTACACAAAGAGAGTTTCCAAACTGCTCTGTCAAAGGGAATGTTCAACTCTGTGACTTGAATGCAATCATCACAAAGTAGTTTCTGAGAATGCTTCTGTTTAGTTCTGTGCGGTTTATCCCGTTTCCAACGAAATCCTCAGAGAGGCCTAAATATCCACTTGCACATTCTACAAATAGTGTGTTTCGAAACTGCTCCATCCAAAGGAATGTTCAGCTCTGTGAGTTAAACTCAGTCGTCACCAAGAGTTTTCTGTGAATGCTTCTGTTTTAGTTCTGTGCGGGTTATCCCGTTTCCAACGAAATCCTCAGAGAGGTCCAAATATCTACTTGCAGTTTCTACAGAAAGACCGTTTCAAACCTGAACTATCAAAGAAAGGTTCAACACTGTGAGTTGAATGCAAACATCACGAAGAAGGTTCTGAGAATGCTTCTGTTTAGTTCTGTGCAGTTTATCCCGTTTCCAACGAAATCCTCAGAGAGGACCAAATATCCACTTGCAGTTTCTACAAAAAGAGTGTTTCAAAGCTGAACTATCAAAGAAAGGTTCAGCACTGTGAGTTGAATGCAAACATCACGAAGAGGGTTCTGAGAATGCTTCTGTCTTCTTTTTATAGGAAGTTATTTCCTTTACTACGGTACTCCTCAAAGAGTGCAATTATCCCCTTGCAGTTTCTACAAAAAGAGTGTTTCAAACCTGAACTATCAAAGAAAGGTTCCACACTGTGAGTTGAATGCAGACATCACGAAGAAGGTTCTGAGAATGCTTCTGTTTAGTCAGCTGAAATTATCCCGTTTCCAACGAATTCCTCACAGAGGTCCAAATATGCACTTGCAGATTCTGCAGAAAGTGTGTTTCTAAACTGCTACATCGCAAGGAATGCTCAGCTCTGTGAGTTCAACTCAATCATCCCAAAGAATTTTCTGAGAAAGCTTCTGTCTAGATGTCATGTGAAGATATACCCGTTTCGAACGAAGGACACAGAGTGGTCCAAATATCCACTTGTAGATCCTGCAAAAAGAGTGTTTCAAACGTGAACTTTGAAAGGAAAGTTCAACTCGGGGATTTGAATGCAAACATCACAAAGAAGATTCTGAGACTGCTTCTGTGTAGTTTTTATGTGAAGATGATTCCGTTTCCAACGAAATCTTCAAAGAGGTCTACATGTCCCCTTGCAGATGCCACAGAAAGAGAGTTTCAAAACTGCGCTCTCAAAAGGAGTGTTCAACTCCGTGAGTTGAATGCAGTCATCACAGAGAAGCTTCTGAGGATGCTTCTATCTAGTATTTAGGTGAAGATATTTCCTTTTCCACCACAAACCACAAAGCCCTCCAAACGTCCACTTGCAGATTCTAGAAAAACAGTGTTTCATAGCTGCTCTTTCCAAAGGAAAGTTCAACTCTGGGAGTTGAATACAAACATCACCAAAAAGTTCCTGAGAATGCATCTGTCTAGTTTTTCTATGAAGCTATTCCCTTTACTACCATAGGCCTCAAAGCGCTCCAAATCTCCACTTGCACATTCCACAACAAGAGTGTTTCCAAACTGCTCTATCAATAGGAATGTTCAACTCTGTGAGGTGAATGCAATCATCACAAAGCAGTTTCTGAGAATGCTTCCGTTTAGTTAGGTGCAGTTATCCCGTTTCCAACGAAATCCTCAGAGAGGTCCAAATATCCACTTGTAGATTCTACAAAAGGTGTGTCTCAAACCTGCTCCATCCAAAGGAATGTTCAGCTCTGTGAGTTAAACTCAATCATCACAAAGTATTTTCTGAGAATGCTTCTGTCTAGATTTTATGCGAAGATATACCCGTTTCGAACGAAGGCCACAGAGTGGTCCAAATATCCACTTGCAGATCCTACAAAAAGAGTGTTTCAAACCTGAACTAGCAAAGGAAGGTTCAACTCTGGGATTTGAATGCAAACATCACCAAGAAGTTTCTGAGAATGCTTCTGTTTAGTTTTTATGTGAAGATATTCCCGTTTCCAAAGACATCTTCGGAGAGGTCCACATATCCACTTGCAGATTCCACAAAAAGAGAGTTTCAACACTGCTCTATCCATAGGAGGGTTCAACTCTGTGAGTTGAATGCAATCATCACAGAGAAGTTTCTGAGAAGGCTTCTCTCCAGTTTTTATGTGACCATAATTCGTTTTCCACCACAGGCCTGAAAGCGCTCCAAATGTCCACTTGTAGACACTACGAAAAGCATGTTTCAGAACTACTCTATGAAAAGCAATGTGAAACTCTGGGAGTTGAACACAAACATCACAGAGAAGTTTCTGAGAATGCTTCTGTTTAGCTTTCCTGTGAAGATTCTCCCGTTTCCAACGAAATCTTCAAAATAGGTCCAAATATCCACTTGCAGATTCCACACAAAGAGTGATTGGAAACTGCTCTTTGAAAAGGAACCTTCAACTCTGTGAGTTGAATGCAATCATCACAAAGAAGTTTCTGACAATGCTTCTATCTAGCTTTTACGGGAAGATAATTCCTTTTCCACCACAGGCCTCAAAGCCCTCCAAATGTCCACTTGCAGATTCTGGAAAAAGAGTGTTTCAAAGCTTCTCTCTCGAAAGGAAAGTTCAACTCTGTGAGTTGAATGCAAGCATCACAAAGAAGTTTCTGAGAATGCTACTGTCTAGCTTTTATATGAAGCTATTTCCTTTACTACCATAGGCCTCAAAGCGGTCCATATCTCCACTTGCAGATTCTACACAAAGAGAGTTTCCAAACTGCTCTGTCAAAGGGAATGTTCAACTCTGTGACTTGAATGCAATCATCACAAAGTAGTTTCTGAGAATGCTTCTGTTTAGTTCTGTGCGGTTTATCCCGTTTCCAACGAAATCCTCAGAGAGGCCTAAATATCCACTTGCACATTCTACAAATAGTGTGTTTCGAAACTGCTCCATCCAAAGGAATGTTCAGCTCTGTGAGTTAAACTCAGTCGTCACCAAGAGTTTTCTGTGAATGCTTCTGTTTTAGTTCTGTGCGGGTTATCCCGTTTCCAACGAAATCCTCAGAGAGGTCCAAATATCTACTTGCAGTTTCTACAGAAAGACCGTTTGAAACCTGAACTATCAAAGAAAGGTTCAACACTGTGAGTTGAATGCAAACATCACGAAGAAGGTTCTGAGAATGCTTCTGTTTAGTTCTGTGCAGTTTATCCCGTTTCCAACGAAATGCTCAGAGAGGACCAAATATCCACTTGCAGTTTCTACAAAAAGAGTGTTTCAAAGCTGAACTATCAAAGAAAGGTTCAGCACTGTGAGTTGAATGCAAACATCACGAAGAGGGTTCTGAGAATGCTTCTGTCTTCTTTTTATAGGAAGTTATTTCCTTTACTACGGTACTCCTCAAAGAGTGCAATGATCCCCTTGCAGTTTCTACAAAAAGAGTGTTTCAAACCTGAACTATCAAAGAAAGGTTCCACACTGTGAGTTGAATGCAGACATCACGAAGAAGGTTCTGAGAATGCTTCTGTTTAGTCAGCTGAAATTATCCCGTTTCCAACGAATTCCTCACAGAGGTCCAAATATGCACTTGCAGATTCTGCAGAAAGTGTGTTTCTAAACTGCTACATCGCAAGGAATGCTCAGCTCTGTGAGTTCAACTCAATCATCCCAAAGAATTTTCTGAGAAAGCTTCTGTCTAGATGTCATGTGAAGATATACCCGTTTCGAACGAAGGACACAGAGTGGTCCAAATATCCACTTGTAGATCCTGCAAAAAGAGTGTTTCAAACGTGAACTTTGAAAGGAAAGTTCAACTCGGGGATTTGAATGCAAACATCACAAAGAAGATTCTGAGACTGCTTCTGTATAGTTTTTATGTGAAGATGATTCCGTTTCCAACGAAATCTTCAAAGAGGTCTACATGTCCCCTTGCAGATGCCACAGAAAGAGAGTTTCAAAACTGCGCTCTCAAAAGGAGTGTTCAACTCCGTGAGTTGAATGCAGTCATCACAGAGAAGCTTCTGAGGATGCTTCTATCTAGTATTTAGGTGAAGATATTTCCTTTTCCACCACAAACCACAAAGCCCTCCAAACGTCCACTTGCAGATTCTAGAAAAAGAGTGTTTCATAGCTGCTCTTTCCAAAGGAAAGTTCAACTCTGGGAGTTGAATACAAACATCACCAAAAAGTTCCTGAGAATGCATCTGTCTAGTTTTTCTATGAAGCTATTCCCTTTACTACCATAGGCCTCAAAGCGCTCCAAATCTCCACTTGCACATTCCACAACAAGAGTGTTTCCAAACTGCTCTATCAATAGGAATGTTCAACTCTGTGAGGTGAATGCAATCATCACAAAGCAGTTTCTGAGAATGCTTCCGTTTAGTTAGGTGCAGTTATCGCGTTTCCAACGAAATCCTCAGAGAGGTCCAAATATCCACTTGTAGATTCTACAAAAAGTGTGTCTCAAACCTGCTCCATCCAAAGGAATGTTCAGCTCTGTGAGTTAAACTCAATCATCACAAAGTATTTTCTGAGAATGCTTCTGTCTAGATTTTATGTGAAGATGTACCCGTTTCGAAGGAAGGCCACAGAGTGGTCCAAATATCCACTTGCATATCCTACAAAAAGAGTGTTTCAAACCTGAACTATCACAGGAAGGTTCAACTCTGGGATTTGAATGCAAACATCACCAAGAAGTTTCTGAGAATGCTTCTGTTTAGTTTTTATGTGAAGATATTCCCGTTTCCAAAGACATCTTCGGAGAGGTCCACATATCCACTTGCAGATTCCACAAAAAGAGAGTTTCAACAATGCTCTATCCATAGGAGGGTTCAAATCTGTGAGTTGAATGCAATCATCACAGAGAAGTTTCTGAGAAGGCTTCTCTCCAG
Source organism: Homo sapiens (assembly GCF_000001405.40). Lineage (NCBI taxonomy): Eukaryota > Metazoa > Chordata > Mammalia > Primates > Hominidae > Homo > Homo sapiens. The sequence goes on along the minus strand of NC_000017.11, from coordinate 23,866,006 downwards.
TTTTTATGGGACCATAATTCGTTTTCCACCACAGGCCTGAAAGCGCTCCAAATGTCCACTTGCAGACACTACGAAAAGCATGTTTCAGAACTACTCTATGAAAAGCAATGTGAAACTCTGGGAGTTGAACACAAACATCACAGAGAAGTTTGTGAGAATGCTTCTGTTTAGCTTTTCTGTGAAGATTCTCCCGTTTCCAACGAAATCTTCAAAGAGGTCCAAATATCCACTTGCAGATTCCACAGAAAGACTGTTTGGAAACTGCTGTTTGAAAAGGAACCTTCATCTCTGTGAGTTGAATGCAATCATCACAAAGAAGTTTCTGACAATGCTTCTATCTAGCTTTTACGGGAAGTTAATTCCTTTTCCACCACAGGCCTCAAAGCCCTCCAAATGTCCACTTGCAGATTCTGGAAAAAGAGTGTTTCAAAGCTTCTCTCTCGAAAGGAAAGTTCAACTCTGTGAGTTGAATGCAAGCATCACAAAGAAGTTTCTGAGAATGTTACTGTCTAGCTTTTATATGAAGCTATTTCCTTTACTACCATAGGCCTGAAAGCGGTCCATATCTCCACTTGCAGATTCTACAGAAAGAGAGTTTCCAAACTGCTCTGTCAAAGGGAATGTTCAACTCTGTGACTTGAATGCAATCATCACAAAGTAGTTTCTGAGAATGCTTCTGTTTAGTTCTGTGCGGTTTATCCCGTTTCCAACGAAATCCTCAGAGAGGCCCAAATATCCACTTGCACATTCTACAAATAGTGTGTTTCGAAACTGCTCCATCCAAAGGAATGTTCAGCTCTGTGAGTTAAACTCAGTCGTCACCAAGAGTTTTCTGTGAATGCTTCTGTTTTAGTTCTGTGCGGTTTATCCCGTTTCCAACGAAATCCTCAGAGAGGTCCAAATATCTTCTTGCAGTTTCTACAGAAAGACCGTTTCAAACCTGAACTATCAAAGAAAGGTTCAACACTGTGAGTTGAATGCAAACATCACGAAGAAGGTTCTGAGAATGCTTCTGTTTAGTTCTGTGCGGTTTATCCCGTTTCCAACGAAATCCTCAGAGAGGACCAAATATCCACTTGCAGTTTCTACAAGAAGAGTGTTTCAAAGCTGAACTATCAAAGAAAGGTTCAGCACTGTGAGTTGAATGCAAACATCACGAAGAGGGTTCTGAGAATGCTTCTGTCTTCTTTCTATAGGAAGTTATTTCCTTTACTACGGTAGGCCTCAAAGAAGTGCAATTATCCCCTTGCAGTTTCTACAAAAAGAGTGTTTCAAACCTGAACTATCAAAGAAAGCTTCCACACTGTGAGTTGAATGCAGACATCACGAAGAAGGTTCTGAGAATGCTTCTGTTTAGTCAGCTGAAATTATCCCGTTTCCAACGAATTCCTCAGAGAGGTCCAAATATGCACTTGCAGATTCTGCAGAAAGTGTGTTTCTAAACTGCTACATCGCAAGGAATGTTCAGCTCTGTGAGTTCCACTCAATCATCTCAAAGAATTTTCTGAGAAAGCTTCTGTCTAGATGTCATGTGAAGATATACCCGTTTCGAACGAAGGACACAGAGTGGTCCAAATATCCACTTGTAGATCCTGCAAAAAGAGTGTTTCAAACGTGAACTTTGAAAGGAAAGTTCAACTCTGGGATTTGAATGCAAACATCACAAAGAAGATTCTGAGACTGCTTCTGTATAGTTTTTATGTGAAGATGATTCCGTTTGCAACGAAATCTTCAAAGAGGTCTACATGTCCCCTTGCAGATGCCACAGAAAGAGAGTTTCAAAACTGCGCTCTCAAAAGGAGTGTTCAACTCCGTGAGTTGAATGCAGTCATCACAGAGAAGCTTCTGAGAATGCTTCTATCTAGTATTTAGGTGAAGATATTTCCTTTTCCACCACAAACCACAAAGCCCTCCAAACGTCCACTTGCAGATTCTAGAAAAAGAGTGTTTCATAGCTGCTCTTTCCAAAGGAAAGTTCAACTCTGGGAGTTGAATACAAACATCACCAAAAAGTTCCTGTGAATGCATCTGTCTAGTTTTTCTATGAAGCTATTCCCTTTACTACCATAGGCCTCAAAGCGCTCCAAATCTCCACTTGCACATTCCACAACAAGAGTGTTTTCAAACTGCTCTATCAATAGGAATGTTCAACTCTGTGAGGTGAATGCAATCATCACAAAGCAGTTTCTGAGAATGCTTCCGTTTAGTTAGGTGCAGTTATCCCGTTTCCAACGAAATCCTCAGAGAGGTCCAAATATCCACTTGTAGATTCTACAAAAAGTGTGTCTCAAACCTGCTCCATCCAAAGGAATGTTCAGCTCTGTGAGTTCAACTCAATCATCACAAAGTATTTTCTGAGAATGCTTCTGTCTAGATTTTATGCGAAGATATACCCGTTTCGAACGAAGGCCACAGAGTGGTCCAAATAGCCACTTGCAGATCCTACAAAAAGAGTGTTTCAAACCTGAACTATCAAAGGAAGGTTCAACTCTGGGATTTGAATGCAAACATCACCAAGAAGTTTCTGAGAATGCTTCTGTTTAGTTTTTATGTGAAGATATTCCCGTTTCCAAAGACATCTTCGGAGAGGTCCACATATCCACTTGCAGATTCCACAAAAAGAGAGTTTCAACACTGCTCTATCCATAGGAGGGTTCAACTCTGTGAGTTGAATGCAATCATCACAGAGAAGTTTCTGAGAAGGCTTCTCTCCAGTTTTTATGTGACCATAATTCGTTTTCCACCACAGGCCTGAAAGCGCTCCAAATGTCCACTTGCAGACACTACGAAAAGCATGTTTCAGAACTACTCTATGAAAAGCAACGTGAAACTCTGGGAGTTGAACACAAACATCACAGAGAAGTTTCTGAGAATGCTTCTGTTTTAGTTCTGTGCGTTTTATCCCGTTTCCAACGAAATCCTCAGAGAGGCCCAAATATCCACTTGCAGATTCCACAGAAAGAGTGATTGGAAACTGCTGTTTGAAAAGGAACCTTCAACTCTGTGAGTTGAATGCAATCATCACAAAGAAGTTTCTGACAATGCTTCTGTTTTAGTTCTGTGCGGTTTATCCCGTTTCCAACGAAATCCTCAGAGAGGACCAAACATCCACTTGCAGTTTCTACAAAAAGAGTGTTTCAAAGCTGCACTATCAAAGAAAGGTTCAGCACTGTGAGTTGAATGCAAACATCACGAAGAGGGCTCTGAGAATTCTTCTGTTTAGTTCTGTGCGGTTTATCCCGTTTCCAACGAAATCCTCAGAGAGGACCAAATATCCACTTGCAGTTTCTACAAGAAGAGTGTTTCAAAGCTGAACTATCAAAGAAAGGTTCAGCACTGTGAGTTGAATGCAAACATCACGAAGAGGGTTCTGAAGAATGCTTCTGTCTTCTTTCTATAGGAAGTTATTTCCTTTACTACGGTAGGCCTCAAAGAAGTGCAATTATCCCCTTGCAGTTTCTACAAAAAGAGTGTTTCAAACCTGAACTATCAAAGAAAGGTTCCACACTGTGAGTTGAATGCAGACATCACGAAGAAGGTTCTGAGAATGCTTCTGTTTAGTCAGCTGAAATTATCCCGTTTCCAACGAATTCCTCAGAGAGGTCCAAATATGCACTTGCAGATTCTGCAGAAAGTGTGTTTCTAAACTGCTACATCGCAAGGAATGTTCAGCTCTGTGAGTTCCACTCAATCATCCCAAAGAATTTTCTGAGAAAGCTTCTGTCTAGATGTCGTGTGAAGATATACCCGTTTCGAACGAAGGACACAGAGTGGTCCAAATATCCACTTGTAGATCCTGCAAAAAGAGTGTTTCAAACGTGAACTTTGAAAGGAAAGTTCAACTCTGGGATTTGAATGCAAACATCACAAAGAAGATTCTGAGACTGCTTCTGTATAGTTTTTATGTGAAGATGATTCCGTTTCCAACGAAATCTTCAAAGAGGTCTACATGTCCCCTTGCAGATGCCACAGAAAGAGAGTTTCAAAACTGCGCTCTCAAAAGGAGTGTTCAACTCCGTGAGTTGAATGCAGTCATCACAGAGAAGCTTCTGAGAATGCTTCTATCTAGTATTTAGGTGAAGATATTTCCTTTTCCACCACAAACCACAAAGCCCTCCAAACGTCCACTTGCAGATTCTAGAAAAAGAGTGTTTCATAGCTGCTCTTTCCAAAGGAAAGTTCAACTCTGGGAGTTGAATACAAACATCACCAAAAAGTTCCTGAGAATGCATCTGTCTAGTTTTTCTATGAAGCTATTCCCTTTACTACCATAGGCCTCAAAGCGCTCCAAATCTCCACTTGCACATTCCACAACAAGAGTGTTTCCAAACTGCTCTATCAATAGGAATGTTCAACTCTGTGAGGTGAATGCAATCATCACAAAGCAGTTTCTGAGAATGCTTCCGTTTAGTTAGGTGCAGTTATCCCGTTTCCAACGAAATCCTCAGAGAGGTCCAAATATCCACTTGTAGATTCTACAAAAAGTGTGTCTCAAACCTGCTCCATCCAAAGGAATGGTCAGCTCTGTGATTTAAACTCAATCATCACAAAGTATTTTCTGAGAATGCTTCTGTCTAGATTTTATGCGAAGATGTACCCGTTTCGAATGAAGGCCACGGAGTGGTCCAAATATCCACTTGCAGATCCTACAAAAAGAGTGTTTCAAACCTGAACTATCAAAGGAAGGTTCAACTCTGGGATTTGAATGCAAACATCACCAAGAAGTTTCTGAGAATGCTTCTGTTTAGTTTTTATGTGAAGATATTCCCGTTTCCAAAGACATCTTCGGAGAGGTCCACATATCCACTTGCAGGTTCCACAAAAAGAGAGTTTCAACACTGCTCTATCCATAGGAGGGTTCAACTCTGTGAGTTGAATGCAATCATCACAGAGAAGTTTCTGAGAAGGCTTCTCTCCAGTTTTTATGTGACCATAATTCGTTTTCCACCACAGGCCTGAAAGCGCTCCAAATGTCCACTTGCAGACACTACGAAAAGCATGTTTCAGAACTACTCTATGAAAAGCAACGTGAAACTCTGGGAGTTGAACACAAACATCACAGAGAAGTTTCTGAGAATGCTTCTGTTTAGCTTTTCTGTGAAGATTCTCCCGTTTCCAACGAAATCTTCAAAGAGGTCCAAATATCCACTTGCAGATTCCACAGAAAGAGTGATTGGAAACTGCTCTTTGAAAAGGAACCTTCAACTCTGTGACTTGAATGCAATCATCACAAAGAAGTTTCTGACAATGCTTCTATCTAGCTTTTACGGGAAGATAATTCCTTTTCCACCACAGGCCTCAAAGCCCTCCAAATGTCCACTTGCACATTCTGGAAAAAGAGTGTTTCAAAGCTTCTCTCTCGAAAGGAAAGTTCAACTCTGTGAGTTGAATGCAAGCATCACAAAGAAGGTCCTGAGAATGCTACTGTCTAGCTTTTATATGAAGCTATTTCCTTTACTACCATAGGCCTCAAAGCGGTCCATATCTCCACTTGCAGATTCTACACAAAGAGAGTTTCCAAACTGCTCTGTCAAAGGGAATGTTCAACTCTGTGACTTGAATGCAATCATCACAAAGTAGTTTCTGAGAATGCTTCTGTTTAGTTCTGTGCGGTTTATCCCGTTTCCAACGAAATCCTCAGAGAGGCCCAAATATCCACTTGCACATTCTACAAATAGTGTGTTTCGAAACTGCTCCATCCAAAGGAATGTTCAGCTCTGTGAGTTAAACTCAGTCGTCACCAAGAGTTTTCTGTGAATGCTTCTGTTTTAGTTCTGTGCGGGTTATCCCGTTTCCAACGAAATCCTCAGAGAGGTCCAAATATCTACTTGCAGTTTCTACAGAAAGACCGTTTCAAACCTGAACTATCAAAGAAAGGTTCCACACTGTGAGTTGAATGCAAACATCACGAAGAAGGTTCTGAGAATGCTTCTGTTTAGTTCTGTGCAGTTTATCCCGTTTCCAACGAAATCCTCAGAGAGGACCAAATATCCACTTGCAGTTTCTACAAAAAGAGTGTTTCAAAGCTGAACTATCAAAGAAAGGTTCAGCACTGTGAGTTGAATGCAAACATCACGAAGAGGGTTCTGAGAATGCTTCTGTCTTCTTTTTATAGGAAGTTATTTCCTTTACTACGGTACTCCTCAAAGAGTGCAATTATCCCCTTGCAGTTTCTACAGAAAGAGTGTTTCAAACCTGAACTATCAAAGAAAGGTTCCACACTGTGAGTTGAATGCAGACATCACGAAGAAGGTTCTGAGAATGCTTCTGTTTAGTCAGCTGAAATTATCCCGTTTCCAACGAATTCCTCACAGAGGTCCAAATATGCACTTGCAGATTCTGCAGAAAGTGTGTTTCTAAACTGCTACATCGCAAGGAATGCTCAGCTCTGTGAGTTCAACTCAATCATCCCAAAGAATTTTCTGAGAAAGCTTCTGTCTAGATGTCATGTGAAGATATACCCGTTTCGAACGAAGGACACAGAGTGGTCCAAATATCCACTTGTAGATCCTGCAAAAAGAGTGTTTCAAACGTGAACTTTGAAAGGAAAGTTCAACTCGGGGATTTGAATGCAAACATCACAAAGAAGATTCTGAGACTGCTTCTGTATAGTTTTTATGTGAAGATGATTCCGTTTCCAACGAAATCTTCAAAGAGGTCTACATGTCCCCTTGCAGATGCCACAGAAAGAGAGTTTCAAAACTACGCTCTCAAAAGGAGTGTTCAACTCCGTGAGTTGAATGCAGTCATCACAGAGAAGCTTCTGAGAATGCTTCTATCTAGTATTTAGGTGAAGATATTTCCTTTTCCACCACAAACCACAAAGCCCTCCAAACGTCCACTTGCAGATTCTAGAAAAAGAGTGTTTCATAGCTGCTCTTTCCAAAGGAAAGTTCAACTCTGGGAGTTGAATACAAACATCACCAAAAAGTTCCTGAGAATGCATCTGTCTTGTTTTTCTATGAAGCTCTTCCCTTTACTACCATAGGCCTCAAAGCGCTCCAAATCTCCACTTGCACATTCCACAACAAGAGTGTTTCCAAACTGCTCTATCAATAGGAATGTTCAACTCTGTGAGGTGAATGCAATCATCACAAAGCAGTTTCTGAGAAGGCTTCCGTTTAGTTAGGTGCAGTTATCCCGTTTCCAACGAAATCCTCAGAGAGGTCCAAATATCCACTTGTAGATTCTACAAAAAGTGTGTCTCAAACCTGCTCCATCCAAAGGAATGTTCAGCTCTGTGAGTTCAACTCAATCATCACAAAGTATTTTCTGAGAATGCTTCTGTCTAGATTTTATGCGAAGATATACCCGTTTCGAACGAAGGCCACAGAGTGGTCCAAATATCCACTTGCAGATCCTACAAAAAGAGTGTTTCAAACCTGAACTATCAAAGGAAGGTTCAACTCTGGGATTTGAATGCAAACATCACCAAGAAGTTTCTGGGAATGCTTCTGTTTAGTTTTTATGTGAAGATATTCCCGTTGCCAAAGACATCTTCGGAGAGGTCCACATATCCGCTTGCAGATTCCACAAAAAGAGAGTTTCAACACTGCTCTATCCATAGGAGGGTTCAACTCTGTGAGTTGAATGCAATCGTCACAGAGAAGTTTCTGAGAAGGCTTCTCTCCAGTTTTTATGTGACCATAATTCGTTTTCCACCACAGGCCTGAAAGCGCTCCAAATGTCCACTTGCAGACACTACGAAAAGCATGTTTCAGAACTACTCTATGAGAAGCAATGTGAAACTCTGGGAGTTGAACACAAACATCACAGAGAAGTTTCTGAGAATGCTTCTGTTTAGCTTTTCTGTGAAGATTCTCCCGTTTCCAACGAAATCTTCAAAGAGGTCCAAATATCCACTTGCAGATTCCACAGAAAGAGTGATTGGAAACTGCTCTTTGAAAAGGAACCTTCAACTCTGTGACTTGAATGCAATCATCACAAAGAAGTTTCTGACAATGCTTCTATCTAGCTTTTATGGGAAGATAATTCCTTTTCCACCACAGGCCTCAAAGCCCTCCAAATGTCCACTTGCAGATTCTGGAAAAAGAGTGTTTCAAAGCTTCTCTCTCGAAAGGAAAGTTCAACTCTGTGAGTTGAATGCAAGCATCACAAAGAAGTTTCTGAGAATGCTACTGTCTAGCTTTTATATGAAGCTATTTCCTTTACTACCATAGGCCTCAAAGCGGTCCATATCTCCACTTGCAGATTCTACACAAAGAGAGTTTCCAAACTGCTCTGTCAAAGGGAATGTTCAACTCTGTGACTTGAATGCAATCATCACAAAGTAGTTTCTGAGAATGCTTCTGTTTAGTTCTGTGCGGTTTATCCCGTTTCCAACGAAATCCTCAGAGAGGCCCAAATATCCACTTGCACATTCTACAAATAGTGTGTTTCGAAACTGCTCCATCCAAAGGAATGTTCAGCTCTGTGAGTTAAACTCAGTCGTCACCAAGAGTTTTCTGTGAATGCTTCTGTTTTAGTTCTGTGCGGTTTATCCCGTTTCCAACGAAATCCTCAGAGAGGTCCAAATATCTACTTGCAGTTTCTACAGAAAGACCGTTTCAAACCTGAACTATCAAAGAAAGGTTCAACACTGTGAGTTGAATGCAAACATCACGAAGAAGGTTCTGAGAATGCTTCTGTTTAGTTCTGTGCGGTTTATCCCGTTTCCAACGAAATCCTCAGAGAGGACCAAATATCCACTTGCAGTTTCTACAAGAAGAGTGTTTCAAAGCTGAACTATCAAAGAAAGGTTCAGCACTGTGAGTTGAATGCAAACATCACGAAGAGGGTTCTGAGAATGCTTCTGTCTTCTTTCTATAGGAAGTTATTTCCTTTACTACGGTAGGCCTCAAAGAAGTGCAATTATCCCCTTGCAGTTTCTACAAAAAGAGTGTTTCAAACCTGAACTATCAAAGAAAGGTTCCACACTGTGAGTTGAATGCAGACATCACGAAGAAGGTTCTGAGAATGCTTCTGTTTAGTCAGCTGAAATTATCCCGTTTCCAACGAATTCCTCAGAGAGGTCCAAATATGCACTTGCAGATTCTGCAGAAAGTGTGTTTCTAAACTGCTACATCGCAAGGAATGTTCAGCTCTGTGAGTTCCACTCAATCATCCCAAAGAATTTTCTGAGAAAGCTTCTGTCTAGATGTCGTGTGAAGATATACCCGTTTCGAACGAAGGACACAGAGTGGTCCAAATATCCACTTGTAGATCCTGCAAAAAGAGTGTTTCAAACGTGAACTTTGAAAGGAAAGTTCAACTCTGGGATTTGAATGCAAACATCACAAAGAAGATTCTGAGACTGCTTCTGTATAGTTTTTATGTGAAGATGATTCCGTTTCCAACGAAATCTTCAAAGAGGTCTACATGTCCCCTTGCAGATGCCACAGAAAGAGAGTTTCAAAACTGCGCTCTCAAAAGGAGTGTTCAACTCCGTGAGTTGAATGCAGTCATCACAGAGAAGCTTCTGAGAATGCTTCTGTCTAGTATTTAGGTGAAGATATTTCCTTTTCCACCACAAACCACAAAGCCCTCCAAACGTCCACTTGCAGATTCTAGAAAAAGAGTGTTTCATAGCTGCTCTTTCCAAAGGAAAGTTCAACTCTGGGAGTTGAATACAAACATCACCAAAAAGTTCCTGAGAATGCATCTGTCTAGTTTTTCTATGAAGCTATTCCCTTTACTACCATAGGCCTCAAAGCGCTCCAAATCTCCACTTGCACATTCCACAACAAGAGTGTTTCCAAACTGCTCTATCAATAGGAATGTTCAACTCTGTGAGGTGAATACAATCATCACAAAGCAGTTTCTGAGAATGCTTCCGTTTAGTTAGGTGCAGTTATCCCGTTTCCAACGAAATCCTCAGAGAGGTCCAAATATCCACTTGTAGATTCTACAAAAAGTGTGTCTCAAACCTGCTCCATCCAAAGGAATGGTCAGCTCTGTGATTTAAACTCAATCATCACAAAGTATTTTCTGAGAATGCTTCTGTCTAGATTTTATGCGAAGATATACCCGTTTCGAACGAAGGCCACAGAGTGGTCCAAATAGCCACTTGCAGATCCTACAGAAAGAGTGTTTCAAACCTGAACTATCAAAGGAAGGTTCAACTCTGGGATTTGAATGCAAACATCACCAAGAAGTTTCTGAGAATGCTTCTGTTTAGTTTTTATGTGAAGATATTCCCGTTTCCAAAGACATCTTCGGAGAGGTCCACATATCCACTTGCAGATTCCACAAAAAGAGAGTTTCAACACTGCTCTATCCATAGGAGGGTTCAACTCTGTGAGTTGAATGCAATCATCACAGAGAAGTTTCTGAGAAGGCTTCTCTCCAGTTTTTATGTGACCATAATTCGTTTTCCACCACAGGCCTGAAAGCGCTCCAAATGTCCACTTGCAGACACTACGAAAAGCATGTTTCAGAACTACTCTATGAAAAGCAACGTGAAACTCTGGGAGTTGAACACAAACATCACAGAGAAGTTTCTGAGAATGCTTCTGTTTAGCTTTTCTGTGAAGATTCTCCCGTTTCCAACGAAATCTTCAAAGAGGTCGAAATATCCACTTGCAGATTCCACAGAAAGAGTGATTGGAAACTGCTGTTTGAAAAGGAACCTTCAACTCTGTGAGTTGAATGCAATCATCTCAAAGAAGTTTCTGACAATGCTTCTATCTAGCTTTTACGGGAAGATAATTCCTTTTCCACCACAGGCCTCAAAGCTCCCCAAATGTCCACTTGCACATTCTGGAAAAAGAGTGTTTCAAAGCTTCTCTCTCGAAAGGAAAGTTCAACTCTGTGAGTTGAATGCAAGCATCACAAAGAAGTTTCTGAGAATGCTACTGTCTAGCTTTTATATGAAGCTATTTCCTTTACTACCATAGTCCTCAAAGCATTCCATATCTCCACTTGCAGATTCTACACAAAGAGAGTTTCGAAACTGCTCCGTCAAAGGGAATGTTCAACTCTGTGACTTGAATGCAATCATCACAAAGTAGTTTCTGAGAATGCTTCTGTTTAGTTCTGTGCGGTTTATCCCGTTTCCAACGAAATCCTCAGAGAGGCCCAAATATCCACTTGCACATTCTACAAATAGTGTGTTTCGAAACTGCTCCATCCAAAGGAATGTTCAGCTCTGTGAGTTAAACTCAGTCGTCACCAAGAGTTTTACTGTGAATGCTATCTGTTTTAGTTGTGTGCGCTTTATCCCGTTTCCAACGAAATCCTCAGAGAGGTCCAAATATCTACTAGCAGTTTCTACAGAAAGACCGTTTCAAACCTGAACTATCAAAGAAAGGTTCAACACTGTGAGTTGAATGCAAACATCACGAAGAAGGTTCTGAGAATGCTTCTGTTTTAGTTCTGTGCGGTTTATCCCGTTTCCAACGAAATCCTCAGCAGAGGACCAAACATCCACTTGCAGTTTCTACAAAAAGAGTGTTTCAAAGCTGCACTATCAAAGAAAGGTTCAGCACTGTGAGTTGAATGCAAACATCACGAAGAGGGCTCTGAGAATTCTTCTGTCTTCTTTCTATAGGAAGTTATTTCCTTTACTACGGTAGGCCTCAAAGAAGTGCAATTATCCCCTTGCAGTTTCTACAAAAAGAGTGTTTCAAACCTGAACTATCAAAGAAAGGTTCCACACTGTGAGTTGAATGCAGACATCACGAAGAAGTTCTGAGAATGCTTCTGTTTAGTCAGCTGAAATTATCCCGTATCCAACGAATTCCTCAGAGAGGTCCAAATATGCACTTGCAGATTCTGCAGAAAGTGTGTTTCTAAACTGCTACATCGCAAGGAATGTTCAGCTCTGTGAGTTCCACTCAATCATCCCAAAGAATTTTCTGAGAAAGCTTCTGTCTAGATGTCGTGTGAAGATATACCCGTTTCGAACGAAGGACACAGAGTGGTCCAAATATCCACTTGTAGATCCTGCAAAAAGAGTGTTTCAAACGTGAACTTTGAAAGGAAAGTTCAACTCTGGGATTTGAATGCAAACATCACAAAGAAGATTCTGAGACTGCTTCTGTATAGTTTTTATGTGAAGATGATTCCGTTTCCAACGAAATCTTCAAAGAGGTCTACATGTCCCCTTGCAGATGCCACAGAAAGAGAGTTTCAAAACTGCGCTCTCAAAAGGAGTGTTCAACTCCGTGAGTTGAATGCAGTCATCACAGAGAAGCTTCTGAGAATGCTTCTATCTAGTATTTAGGTGAAGATATTTCCTTTTCCACCACAAACCACAAAGCCCTCCAAACGTCCACTTGCAGATTCTAGAAAAAGAGTGTTTCATAGCTGCTCTTTCCAAAGGAAAGTTCAACTCTGGGAGTTGAATACAAACATCACCAAAAAGTTCCTGAGAATGCATCTGTCTAGTTTTTCTATGAAGCTATTCCCTTTACTACCATAGGCCTCAAAGCGCTCCAAATCTCCACTTGCACATTCCACAACAAGAGTGTTTCCAAACTGCTCTATCAATAGAAATGTTCAACTCTGTGAGGTGAATGCAATCATCACAAAGCAGTTTCTGAGAATGCTTCCGTTTAGTTAGGTGCAGTTATCCCGTTTCCAACGAAATCCTCAGAGAGGTCCAAATATCCACTTGTAGATTCTACAAAAAGTGTGTCTCAAACCTGCTCCATCCAAAGGAATGTTCAGCTCTGTGAGTTCAACTCAATCATCACAAAGTATTTTCTGAGAATGCTTCTGTCTAGATTTTATGCGAAGATATACCCGTTTCGAACGAAGGCCTCAGAGTAGTCCAAATAGCCACTTGCAGATCCTACAAAAAGAGTGTTTCAAACCTGAACTATCAAAGGAAGGTTCAACTCTGGGATTTGTATGCAAACATCACCAAGAAATTTCTGAGAATGCTTCTGTTTAGTTTTTATGTGAAGATATTCCCGTTTCCAAAGACATCTTCGGAGAGGTCCACATATCCACTTGCAGATTCCACAAAAAGAGAGTTTCAACACTGCTCTATCCATAGGGAGGGTTCAACTCTGTGAGTTGAATGCAATCATCACAGAGAAGTTTCTGAGAAGGCTTCTCTCCAGTTTTTATGTGACCATAATTCGTTTTCCACCACAGGCCTGAAAGCGCTCCAAATGTCCACTTGCAGACACTACGAAAAGCATGTTTCAGAACTACTCTATGAAAAGCAATGTGAAACTCTGGGAGTTGAACACAAACATCACAGAGAAGTTTCTGAGAATGCTTCTCTTTAGCTTTTCTGTGAAGATTCTCCCGTTTCCAACGAAATCTTCAAAGAGGTCGAAATATCCACTTGCAGATTCCACAGAAAGAGTGATTGGAAACTGCTCTTTGAAAAGGAACCTTCAACTCTGTGAGTTGAATGCAATCATCACAAAGAAGTTTCTGACAATGCTTCTATCTAGCTTTTACGGGAAGATAATTCCTTTTCCACCACAGGCCTCAAAGCCCTCCAAATGTCCACTTGCAGATTCTGGAAAAAGAGTGTTTCAAAGCTTCTCTCTCGAAAGGAAAGTTCAACTCTGTGAGTTGAATGCAAGCATCACAAAGAAGTTTCTGAGAATGCTACTGTCTAGCTTTTATATGAAGGTATTTCCTTTACTACCATAGTCCTCAAAGCATTCCATATCTCCACTTGCAGATTCTACACAAAGAGAGTTTCCAAACTGCTCTGTCAAAGGGAATGTTCAGCTCTGTGACTTGAATGCAATCATCACAAAGTAGTTTCTGAGAATGCTTCTGTTTAGTTCTGTGCGGTTTATCCCGTTTCCGACGAAATCCTCAGAGAGGCCTAAATATCCACTTGCACATTCTACAAATAGTGTGTTTCGAAACTGCTCCATCCAAAGGAATGTTCAGCTCTGTGAGTTAAACTCAGTCGTCACCAAGAGTTTTCTGTGAATGCTTCTGTTTTAGTTCTGTGCGGGTTATCCCGTTTCCAACGAAATCCTCAGAGAGGTCCAAATATCTACTTGCAGTTTCTACAGAAAGACCGTTTGAAACCTGAACTATCAAAGAAAGGTTCAACACTGTGAGTTGAATGCAAACATCACGAAGAAGGTTCTGAGAATGCTTCTGTTTAGTTCTGTGCAGTTTATCCCGTTTCCAACGAAATGCTCAGAGAGGACCAAATATCCACTTGCAGTTTCTACAAAAAGAGTGTTTCAAAGCTGAACTATCAAAGAAAGGTTCAGCACTGTGAGTTGAATGCAAACATCACGAAGAGGGTTCTGAGAATGCTTCTGTCTTCTTTTTATAGGAAGTTATTTCCTTTACTACGGTACTCCTCAAAGAGTGCAATTATCCCCTTGCAGTTTCTACAGAAAGAGTGTTTCAAACCTGAACTATCAAAGAAAGGTTCCACACTGTGAGTTGAATGCAGACATCACGAAGAAGGTTCTGAGAATGCTTCTGTTTAGTCAGCTGAAATTATCCCGTTTCCAACGAATTCCTCACAGAGGTCCAAATATGCACTTGCAGATTCTGCAGAAAGTGTGTTTCTAAACTGCTACATCGCAAGGAATGCTCAGCTCTGTGAGTTCAACTCAATCATCCCAAAGAATTTTCTGAGAAAGCTTCTGTCTAGATGTCATGTGAAGATATACCCGTTTCGAACGAAGGACACAGAGTGGTCCAAATATCCACTTGTAGATCCTGCAAAAAGAGTGTTTCAAACGTGAACTTTGAAAGGAAAGTTCAACTCGGGGATTTGAATGCAAACATCACAAAGAAGATTCTGAGACTGCTTCTGTATAGTTTTTATGTGAAGATGATTCTGTTTCCAACGAAATCTTCAAAGAGGTCTACATGTCCCCTTGCAGATGCCACAGAAAGAGAGTTTCAAAACTGCGCTCTCAAAAGGAGTGTTCAACTCCGTGAGTTGAATGCAGTCATCACAGAGAAGCTTCTGAGGATGCTTCTATCTAGTATTTAGGTGAAGATATTTCCTTTTCCACCACAAACCACAAAGCCCTCCAAACGTCCACTTGCAGATTCTAGAAAAAGAGTGTTTCATAGCTGCTCTTTCCAAAGGAAAGTTCAACTCTGGGAGTTGAATACAAACATCACCAAAAAGTTCCTGAGAATGCATCTGTCTAGTTTTTCTATGAAGCTATTCCCTTTACTACCATAGGCCTCAAAGCGCTCCAAATCTCCACTTGCACATTCCACAACAAGAGTGTTTCCAAACTGCTCTATCAATAGGAATGTTCAACTCTGTGAGGTGAATGCAATCATCACAAAGCAGTTTCTGAGAATGCTTCCGTTTAGTTAGGTGCAGTTATCGCGTTTCCAACGAAATCCTCAGAGAGGTCCAAATATCCACTTGTAGATTCTACAAAAAGTGTGTCTCAAACCTGCTCCATCCAAAGGAATGTTCAGCTCTGTGAGTTAAACTCAATCATCACAAAGTATTTTCTGAGAATGCTTCTGTCTAGATTTTATGTGAAGATGTACCCGTTTCGAACGAAGGCCACAGTAGTGGTCCAAATATCCACTTGCAGATCCTACAAAAAGAGTGTTTCAAACCTGAACTATCACAGGAAGGTTCAACTCTGGGATTTGAATGCAAACATCACCAAGAAGTTTCTGAGAATGCTTCTGTTTAGTTTTTATGTGAAGATATTCCCGTTTCCAAAGACATCTTCGGAGAGCTCCACATATCCACTTGCAGATTCCACAAAAAGAGAGTTTCAACAATGCTCTATCCATAGGAGGGTTCAAATCTGTGAGTTGAATGCAATCATCACAGAGAAGTTTCTGAGAAGTCTTCTCTCCAGTTTTTATGGGACCATAATTCGTTTTCCACCACAGGCCTGAAAGCGCTCCAAATGTCCACTTGCAGACACTACGAAAAGCATGTTTCAGAACTACTCTATGAAAAGCAATGTGAAACTCTGGGAGTTGAACACAAACATCACAGAGAAGTTTCTGAGAATGCTTCTGTTTAGCTTTTCTGTGAAGATTCTCCCGTTTCCAACGAAATCTTCAAAGAGGTCCAAATATCCACTTGCAGATTCCACAGAAAGAGTGTTTGGAAACTGCTGTTTGTAAAGGAACCTTCATCTCTGTGAGTTGAATGCAATCATCACAAAGAAGTTTCTGACAATGCTTCTATCTAGCTTTTACGGGAAGATAATTCCTTTTCCACCACAGGCCTCAAAGCCCTCCAAATGTCCACTTGCAGATTCTGGAAAAAGAGTGTTTCAAAGCTTCTCTCTCGAAAGGAAAGTTCAACTCTGTGAGTTGAATGCAAGCATCACAAAGAAGTTTCTGAGAATGCTACTGACTAGCTTTTATATGAAGCTATTTCCTTTACTACCATAGGCCTCAAAGCGGTCCATATCTCCACTTGCAGATTCTACACAAAGAGAGTTTCCAAACTGCTCTGTCAAAGGGAATGTTCAACTCTGTGACTTGAATGCAATCATCACAAAGTAGTTTCTGAGAATGCTTCTGTTTAGTTCTGTGCGGTTTATCCCGTTTCCAACGAAATCCTCAGAGAGGCCCACGTATCCACTTGCACATTCTACAAATAGTGTGTTTCGAAACTGCTCCATCCAAAGGAATATTCAGCTCTGTGAGTTAAACTCAGTCGTCACCAAGAGTTTTCTGTGAATGCTTCTGTTTTAGTTCTGTGCGGTTTATCCCGTTTCCAACGAAATCCTCAGAGAGGACCAAATATCCACTTGCAGTTTCTACAAAAAGAGTGTTTCAAAGCTGCACTATCAAAGAAAGGTTCAGCACTGTGAGTTGAATGCAAACATCACGAAAAGGGCTCTGAGAATTCTTCTGTTTAGTTCTGTGCGGTTTATCCCGTTTCCAACGAAATCCTCAGAGAGGACCAAATATCCACTTGCAGTTTCTACAAGAAGAGTGTTTCAAAGCTGAACTATCAAAGAAAGGTTCAGCACTGTGAGTTGAATGCAAACATCACGAAGAGGGTTCTGAGAATGCTTCTGTCTTCTTTCTATAGGAAGTTATTTCCTTTATTACGGTAGGCCTCAAAGAAGTGCAATTATCCCCTTGCAGTTTCTACAAAAAGAGTGTTTCAAACCTGAACTATCAAAGAAAGGTTCCACACTGTGAGTTGAATGCAGACATCACGAAGGAGGTTCTGAGAATGCTTCTGTTTAGTCAGCTGAAATTATCCCGTTTCCAACGAATTCCTCAGAGAGGTCCAAATATGCACTTGCAGATTCTGCAGAAAGTGTGTTTCTAAACTGCTACATCGCAAGGAATGTTCAGCTCTGTGAGTTCCACTCAATCATCCCAAAGAATTTTCTGAGAAAGCTTCTGTCTAGATGTCGTGTGAAGATATACCCGTTTCGAACGAAGGACACAGAGTGGTCCAAATATCCACTTGTAGATCCTGCAAAAAGAGTGTTTCAAACGTGAACTTTGAAAGGAAAGTTCAACTCTGGGATTTGAATGCAAACATCACAAAGAAGATTTCTGAGACTGCTTCTGTATAGTTTTTATGTGAAGATGATTCCGTTTCCAACGAAATCTTCAAAGAGGTCTACATGTCCCCTTGCAGATGCCACAGAAAGAGAGTTTCAAAACTGCGCTCTCAAAAGGAGTGTTCAACTCCGTGAGTTGAATGCAGTCATCACAGAGAAGCTTCTGAGAATGCTTCTATCTAGTATTTAGGTGAAGATATTTCCTTTTCCACCACAAACCACAAAGCCCTCCAAACGTCCACTTGCAGATTCTAGAAAAAGAGTGTTTCATAGCTGCTCTTTCCAAAGGAAAGTTCAACTCTGGGAGTTGAATACAAACATCACCAAAAGGTTCCTGAGAATGCATCTGTCTAGTTTTTCTATGAAGCTATTCCCTTTACTACCATAGGCCTCAAAGCGCTCCAAATCTCCACTTGCACATTCCACAACAAGAGTGTTTCCAAACTGCTCTATCAATAGGAATGTTCAACTCTGTGAGGTGAATGCAATCATCACAAAGCAGTTTCTGAGAATGCTTCCGTTTAGTTAGGTGCAGTTACCCCGTTTCCAACGAAATCCTCAGAGAGGTCCAAATATCCACTTGTAGATTCTACAAAAAGTGTGTCTCAAACCTGCTCCATCCAAAGGAATGGTCAGCTCTGTGATTTAAACTCAATCATCACAAAGTATTTTCTGAGAATGCTTCTGTCTAGATTTTATGCGAAGATATACCCGTTTCGAACGAAGGCCACAGAGTGGTCCAAATAGCCACTTGCAGATCCTACAGAAAGAGTGTTTCAAACCTGAACTATCAAAGGAAGGTTCAACTCTGGGATTTGAATGCAAACATCACCAAGAAGTTTCTGAGAATGCTTCTGTTTAGTTTTTATGTGAAGATATTCCCGTTTCCAAAGACATCTTCGGAGAGGTCCACATATCCACTTGCAGATTCCACAAAAAGAGAGTTTCAACACTGCTCTATCCATAGGAGGGTTCAACTCTGTGAGTTGAATGCAATCATCACAGAGAAGTTTCTGAGAAGGCTTCTCTCCAGTTTTTATGTGACCATAATTCGTTTTCCACCACAGGCCTGAAAGCGCTCCAAATGTCCACTTGCAGACACTACGAAAAGCATGTTTCAGAACTACTCTATGAAAAGCAACGTGAAACTCTGGGAGTTGAACACAAACATCACAGAGAAGTTTCTGAGAATGCTTCTGTTTTAGTTCTGTGCGTTTTATCCCGTTTCCAACGAAATCCTCAGAGAGGCCCAAATATCCACTTGCAGATTCCACAGAAAGAGTGATTGCAAACTGCTGTTTGAAAAGGAACCTTCAACTCTGTGAGTTGAATGCAATCATCACAAAGAAGTTTCTGACAATGCTTCTGTTTTAGTTCTGTGCGGTTTATCCCGTTTCCAACGAAATCCTCAGAGAGGACCAAACATCCACTTGCAGTTTCTACAAAAAGAGTGTTTCAAAGCTGCACTATCAAAGAAAGGTTCAGCACTGTGAGTTGAATGCAAACATCACGAAGAGGGCTCTGAGAATTCTTCTGTTTAGTTCTGTGCGGTTTATCCCGTTTCCAACGAAATCCTCAGAGAGGACCAAATATCCACTTGCAGTTTCTACAAGAAGAGTGTTTCAAAGCTGAACTATCAAAGAAAGGTTCAGCACTGTGAGTTGAATGCAAACATCACGAAGAGGGTTCTGAGAATGCTTCTGTCTTCTTTTTATAGGAAGTTATTTCCTTTACTACGGTAGGCCTCAAAGAAGTGCAATTATCCCCTTGCAGTTTCTACAAAAAGAGTGTTTCAAACCTGAACTATCAAAGAAAGTTTCCACACTGTGAGTTGAATGCAGACATCACGAAGAAGGTTCTGAGAATGCTTCTGTTTAGTCAGCTGAAATTATCCCGTTTCCAACGAATTCCTCAGAGAGGTCCAAATATGCACTTGCAGATTCTGCAGAAAGTGTGTTTCTAAACTGCTACATCGCAAGGAATGTTCAGCTCTGTGAGTTCAACTCAATCATCCCAAAGAATTTTCTGAGAAAGCTTCTGTCTAGATGTCATGTGAAGATATACCCGTTTCGAACGAAGGACACAGAGTGGTCCAAATATCCACTTGTAGATCCTGCAAAAAGAGTGTTTCAAATGTGAACTTTGAAAGGAAAGTTCAACTCTGGGATTTGAATGCAAACATCACAAAGAAGATTCTGAGACTGCTTCTGTATAGTTTTTATGTGAAGATGATTCCGTTTCCAACGAAATCTTCAAAGAGGTCTACATGTCCCCTTGCAGATGCCACAGAAAGAGAGTTTCAAAACTGCGCTCTCAAAAGGAGTGTTCAACTCCGTGAGTTGAATGCACTCATCACAGAGAAGCTTCTGAGAATGCTTCTATCTAGTATTTAGGTGAAGATATTTCCTTTTCCACCACAAACCACAAAGCCCTCCAAACGTCCACTTGCAGATTCTAGAAAAAGAGTGTTTCATAGCTGCTCTTTCCAAAGGAAAGTTCAACTCTGGGAGTTGAATACAAACATCACCAAAAAGTTCCTGAGAATGCATCTGTCTAGTTTTTCTATGAAGCTATTCCCTTTACTACCATAGGCCTCAAAGCGCTCCAAATCTCCACTTGCACATTCCACAACAAGAGTGTTTCCAAACTGCTCTATCAATAGGAATGTTCAACTCTGTGAGGTGAATGCAATCATCACGAAGCAGTTTCTGAGAATGCTTCCGTTTAGTTATGTGCAGTTATCCCGTTTCCAACGAAATCCTCAGAGAGGTCCAAATATCCACTTGTAGATTCTACAAAAAGTGTGTCTCAAACCTGCTCCATCCAAAGGAATGTTCAGCTCTGTGAGTTCAACTCAATCATCACAAAGTATTTTCTGAGAATGCTTCTGTCTAGATTTTATGCGAAGATGTACCCGTTTGGAACGAAGGCCACAGAGTGGTCCAAATATCCACTTGCAGATCCTACAAAAAGAGTGTTTCAAACCTGAACTATCAAAGGAAGGTTCAACTCTGGGATTTGAATGCAAACATCACCAAGAATTTTCTGAGAATGCTTCTGTTTAGTTATTATGTGAAGATATTCCCGTTTCCAAAGACATCTTCGGAGAGGTCCACATATCCACCTGCAGATTCCACAAAAAGAGAGTTTCAACACTGCTCTATCCATAGGAGGGTTCAACTCTGTGAGTTGAATGCAATCATCACAGAGAAGTTTCTGAGAAAGCTTCTCTCCAGTTTTTATGTGACCATAATTCGTTTTCCACCACAGGACTGGAAGCGCTCCAAATGTCCACTTGTAGACACTACGAAAAGCATGTTTCAGAACTACTCTATGAAAAGCAATGTGAAAGTCTGGGAGTTGAACACAAACATCACAGAGAAGTTTCTGAGAATGCTTCTGTTTAGCTTTTCTGTGAAGATTATCCCGTTTCCAACGAAATCTTCAAAATAGGTCGAAATATCCACTTGCAGATTCCACAGAAAGAGTGATTGGAAACTGCTCTTTGAAAAGGAACCTTCAACTCTGTGAGTTGAATGCAATCATCACAAAGAAGTTTCTGACAATGCTTCTATCTAGCTTTTACGGGAAGATAATTCCTTTTCCACCACAGGCCTCAAAGCCCTCCAAATGTCCACTTGCAGATTCTGGAAAAAGAGTGTTTCAAAGCTTCTCTCTCGAAAGGAAAGTTCAACTCTGTGAGTTGAATGCAAGCATCACAAAGAAGTTTCTGAGAATGCTACTGTCTAGCTTTTATATGAAGCTATTTCCTTTACTACCATAGGCCTCAAAGCGGTCTATATCTCCACTTGCAGATTCTACACAAAGAGAGTTTCCAAACTGCTCTGTCAAAGGGAATGTTCAACTCTGTGACTTGAATGCAATCATCACAAAGTAGTTTCTGAGAATGCTTCTGTTTAGTTCTGTGTGGTTTATCCCGTTTCCAACGAAATCCTCAGGGAGGCCCAAATATCCAGTTGCACATTCTACAAATAGTGTGTTTCGAAACTGCTCCATCCAAAGGAATGTTCAGCTCTGTGAGTTAAACTCAGTCAACACCAAGAGTTTTCTGTGAATGCTTCTGTTTTAGTTCTGTGCGGTTTATCCCGTTTCCAACGAAATCCTCAGAGAGGTCCAAATATCTACTTGCAGTTTCTACAGAAAGACCGTTTCCAACCTGAACTATCACAGAAAGGTTCAACACTGTGAGTTGAATGCAAACATCACGAAGAATGTTCTGAGAATGCTTCTGTTTAGTTCTGTGCGGTTTATCCCGTTTCCAATGAAATCCTCAGAGAGGACCAAATATCCACTTGCAGTTTCTACAAGAAGAGTGTTTCAAAGCTGAACTATCAAAGAAAGGTTCAGCACTGTGAGTTGAATGCAAACATCACGAAGAGGGTTCTGAGAATGCTTCTGTCTTCTTTCTATAGGAAGTTATTTCCTTTACTACGGTAGGCCTCAAAGAAGTGCAATTATCCCCTTGCAGTTTCTACAAAAAGAGTGTTTCAAACCTGAACTATCAAAGAAAGGTTCCACACTGTGAGTTGAATGCAGACATCACGAAGAAGGTTCTGAGAATGCTTCTGTTTAGTCAGCTGAAATTATCCCGTTTCCAACGAATTCCTCAGAGAGGTCCAAATATGCACTTGCAGATTCTGCAGAAAGTGTGTTTCTAAACTGCTACATCGCAAGGAATGTTCAGCTCTGTGAGTTCCACTCAATCATCCCAAAGAATTTTCTGAGAAAGCTTCTGTCTAGATGTCGTGTGAAGATATACCCGTTTCGAACGAAGGACACAGAGTGGTCCAAATATCCACTTGTAGATCCTGCAAAAAGAGTGTTTCAAACGTGAACTTTGAAAGGAAAGTTCAACTCTGGGATTTGAATGCAAACATCACAAAGAAGATTCTGAGACTGCTTCTGTATAGTTTTTATGTGAAGATGATTCCGTTTCCAACGAAATCTTCAAAGAGGTCTACATGTCCCCTTGCAGATGCCACAGAAAGAGAGTTTCAAAACTGCGCTCTCAAAAGGAGTGTTCAACTCCGTGAGTTGAATGCAGTCATCACAGAGAAGCTTCTGAGAATGCTTCTATCTAGTATTTAGGTGAAGATATTTCCTTTTCCACCACAAACCACAAAGCCCTCCAAACGTCCACTTGCAGATTCTAGAAAAAGAGTGTTTCATAGCTGCTCTTTCCAAAGGAAAGTTCAACTCTGGGAGTTGAATACAAACATCACCAAAAAGTTCCTGAGAATGCATCTGTCTAGTTTTTCTATGAAGCTATTCCCTTTACTACCATAGGCCTCAATGCGCTCCAAATCTCCACTTGCACATTCCACAACAAGAGTGTTTCCAAACTGCTCTATCAATAGGAATGTTCAACTCTGTGAGGTGAATGCAATCATCACAAAGCAGTTTCTGAGAATGCTTCCGTTTAGTTAGGTGCAGTTATCCCGTTTCCAACGAAATCCTCAGAGAGGTCCAAATATCCACTTGTAGATTCTAGAAAAAGTGTTTCTCAAACCTGCTCCATCCAAAGGAATGTTCAGCTCTGTGAGTTCAACTCAATCATCACAAAGTATTTTCTGAGAATGCTTCTGTCTAGCATTTTATGCGAAGATGTACCCGTTTCGAACGAAGGCCACAGAGTGGTCCAAATATCCACTTGCAGATCCTACAAAAAGAGTGTTTCAAACCTGAACTATCAAAGGAAGGTTCAACTCTGGGATTGGAATGCAAACATCACCAAGAAGTTTCTGAGAATGCTTCTGTTTAGTTTTTATGTGAAGATATTCCCGTTTCCAAAGACATCTTCGGAGAGGTCCACATATCCACTTGCAGATTCCACAAAAAGAGAGTTTCAACACTGCTCTATCCATAGGAGGGTTCAACTCTGTGAGTTGAATGCAATCATCACAGAGAAGTTTCTGAGAAGGCTCTCTCCAGTTTTTATGTGACCATAATTCGTTTTACACCACAGGCCTGAAAGCGCTCCAAATGTCCACTTGCAGACACTACGAAAAGCATGTTTCAGAACTACTCTATGAAAAGCAACGTGAAACTCTGGGAGTTGAACACAAACATCACAGAGAGGTTTCTGAGAATGCTTCTGTTTTAGTTCTGTGCGTTTTATCCCGTTTCCAACGAAATCCTCAGAGAGGCCCAAATATCCACTTGCAGATTCCACAGAAAGAGTGATTGGAAACTGCTGTTTGAAAAGGAACCTTCAACTCTGTGAGTTGAATGCAATCATCACAAAGAAGTTTCTGACAATGCTTCTGTTTTAGTTCTGTGCGGTTTATCCCGTTTCCAACGAAATCCTCAGAGAGGACCAAACATCCACTTGCAGTTTCTACAAAAAGAGTGTTTCAAAGCTGCACTATCAAAGAAAGGTTCAGCACTGTGAGTTGAATGCAAACATCACGAAGAGGGCTCTGAGAATTCTTCTGTTTAGTTCTGTGCGGTTTATCCCGTTTCCAACGAAATCCTCAGAGAGGACCAAATATCCACTTGCAGTTTCTACAAGAAGAGTGTTTCAAAGCTGAACTATCAAAGAAAGGTTCAGCACTGTGAGTTGAATGCAAACATCACGAAGAGGGTTCTGAGAATGCTTCTGTCTTCTTTCTATAGGAAGTTATTTCCTTTACTACGGTAGGCCTCAAAGAAGTGCAATTATCCCCTTGCAGTTTCTACAAAAAGAGTGTTTCAAACCTGAACTATCAAAGAAAGGTTCCACACTGTGAGTTGAATGCAGACATCACGAAGAAGGTTCTGAGAATGCTTCTGTTTAGTCAGCTGAAATTATCCCGTTTCCAACGAATTCCTCAGAGAGGTCCAAATATGCACTTGCAGATTCTGCAGAAAGTGTGTTTCTAAACTGCTCCATCGCAAGGAATGTTCAGCTCTGTGAGTTCCACTCAATCATCCCAAAGAATTTTCTGAGAAAGCTTCTGTCTAGATGTCGTGTGAAGTTATACCCGTTTCGAACGAAGGACACAGAGTGGTCCAAATATCCACTTGTAGATCCTGCAAAAAGAGTGTTTCAAACGTGAACTTTGAAAGGAAAGTTCAACTCCTGGGATTTGAATGCAAACATCACAAAGAAGATTCTGAGACTGCTTCTGTATAGTTTTTATGTGAAGATGATTCCGTTTCCAACGAAATCTTCAAAGAGGTCTACATGTCCCCTTGCAGATGCCACAGAAAGAGAGTTTCAAAACTGCGCTCTCAAAAGGAGTGTTCAACTCCGTGAGTTGAATGCAGTCATCACAGAGAAGCTTCTGAGAATGCTTCTATCTAGTATTTAGGTGAAGATATTTCCTTTTCCACCACAAACCACAAAGCCCTCCAAACGTCCACTTGCAGATTCTAGAAAAAGAGTGTTTCATAGCTGCTCTTTCCAAAGGAAAGTTCAACTCTGGGAGTTGAATACAAACATCACCAAAAAGTTCCTGAGAATGCATCTGTCTAGTTTTTCTATGAAGCTATTCCCTTTACTACCACAGGCCTCAAAGCGCTCCAAATCTCCACTTGCACATTCCACAACAAGAGTGTTTCCAAACTGCTCTATCAATAGGAATGTTCAACTCTGTGAGGTGAATGCAATCATCACAAAGCAGTTTCTGAGAATGCTTCCGTTTAGTTAGGTGCAGTTATCCCGTTTCCAACGAAATCCTCAGAGAGGTCCAAATATCCACTTGTAGATTCTACAAAAAGTGTGTCTCAAACCTGCTCCATCCAAAGGAATGGTCAGCTCTGTGATTTAAACTCAATCATCACAAAGTATTTTCTGAGAATGCTTCTGTCTAGATTTTATGCGAAGATATACCCGTTTCGAACGAAGGCCACAGAGTGGTCCAAATAGCCACTTGCAGATCCTACAGAAAGAGTGTTTCAAACCTGAACTATCAAAGGAAGGTTCAACTCTGGGATTTGAATGCAAACATCACCAAGAAGTTTCTGAGAATGCTTCTGTTTAGTTTTTATGTGAAGATATTCCCGTTTCCAAAGACATCTTCGGAGAGGTCCACATATCCACTTGCAGATTCCACAAAAAGAGAGTTTCAACACTGCTCTATCCATAGGAGGGTTCAACTCTGTGAGTTGAATGCAATCATCACAGAGAAGTTTCTGAGAAGGCTTCTCTCCAGTTTTTATGTGACCATAATTCGTTTTCCACCACAGGCCTGAAAGCGCTCCAAATGTCCACTTGCAGACACTACGAAAAGCATGTTTCAGAACTACTCTATGAAAAGCAACGTGAAACTCTGGGAGTTGAACACAAACATCACAGAGAAGTTTCTGAGAATGCTTCTGTTTTAGTTCTGTGCGTTTTATCCCGTTTCCAACGAAATCCTCAGAGAGGCCCAAATATCCACTTGCAGATTCCACAGAAAGAGTGATTGGAAACTGCTGTTTGAAAAGGAACCTTCAACTCTGTGAGTTGAATGCAATCATCACAAAGAAGTTTCTGACAATGCTTCTGTTTTAGTTCTGTGCGGTTTATCCCGTTTCCAACGAAATCCTCAGAGAGGACCAAACATCCACTTGCAGTTTCTACAAAAAGAGTGTTTCAAAGCTGCACTATCAAAGAAAGGTTCAGCACTGTGAGTTGAATGCAAACATCACGAAGAGGGCTCTGAGAATTCTTCTGTTTAGTTCTGTGCGGTTTATCCCGTTTCCAACGAAATCCTCAGAGAGGACCAAATATCCACTTGCAGTTTCTACAAGAAGAGTGTTTCAAAGCTGAACTATCAAAGAAAGGTTCAGCACTGTGAGTTGAATGCAAACATCACGAAGAGGGTTCTGAGAATGCTTCTGTCTTCTTTCTATAGGAAGTTATTTCCTTTACTACGGTAGGCCTCAAAGAAGTGCAATTATCCCCTTGCAGTTTCTACAAAAAGAGTGTTTCAAACCTGAACTATCAAAGAAAGGTTCCACACTGTGAGTTGAATGCAGACATCACGAAGAAGGTTCTGAGAATGCTTCTGTTTAGTCAGCTGAAATTATCCCGTTTCCAACGAATTCCTCAGAGAGGTCCAAATATGCACTTGCAGATTCTGCAGAAAGTGTGTTTCTAAACTGCTACATCGCAAGGAATGTTCAGCTCTGTGAGTTCCACTCAATCATCCCAAAGAATTTTCTGAGAAAGCTTCTGTCTAGATGTCGTGTGAAGATATACCCGTTTCGAACGAAGGACACAGAGTGGTCCAAATATCCACTTGTAGATCCTGCAAAAAGAGTGTTTCAAACGTGAACTTTGAAAGGAAAGTTCAACTCTGGGATTTGAATGCAAACATCACAAAGAAGATTCTGAGACTGCTTCTGTATAGTTTTTATGTGAAGATGATTCCGTTTCCAACGAAATCTTCAAAGAGGTCTACATGTCCCCTTGCAGATGCCACAGAAAGAGAGTTTCAAAACTGCGCTCTCAAAAGGAGTGTTCAACTCCGTGAGTTGAATGCAGTCATCACAGAGAAGCTTCTGAGAATGCTTCTATCTAGTATTTAGGTGAAGATATTTCCTTTTCCACCACAAACCACAAAGCCCTCCAAACGTCCACTTGCAGATTCTAGAAAAAGAGTGTTTCATAGCTGCTCTTTCCAAAGGAAAGTTCAACTCTGGGAGTTGAATACAAACATCACCAAAAGGTTCCTGAGAATGCATCTGTCTAGTTTTTCTATGAAGCTATTCCCTTTACTACCACAGGCCTCAAAGCGCTCCAAATCTCCACTTGCACATTCCACAACAAGAGTGTTTCCAAACTGCTCTATCAATAGGAATGTTCAACTCTGTGAGGTGAATGCAATCATCACAAAGCAGTTTCTGAGAATGCTTCCGTTTAGTTAGGTGCAGTTATCCCGTTTCCAACGAAATCCTCAGAGAGGTCCAAATATCCACTTGTAGATTCTACAAAAAGTGTGTCTCAAACCTGCTCCATCCAAAGGAATGGTCAGCTCTGTGATTTAAACTCAATCATCACAAAGTATTTTCTGAGAATGCTTCTGTCTAGATTTTATGCGAAGATGTACCCGTTTCGAACAAAGGCCACAGAGTGGTCCAAATATCCACTTGCAGATCCTACAAAAAGAGTGTTTCAAACCTGAACTATCAAAGGAAGGTTCAACTCTGGGATTTGAATGCAAACATCACCAAGAAGTTTCTGAGAATGCTCTGTTTAGTTTTTATGTGAAGATATTCCCGTTTCCAAAGACATCTTCGGAGAGGTCCACATATCCACTTGCAGATTCCACAAAAAGAGAGTTTCAACACTGCTCTATCCATAGGAGGGTTCAACTCTGTGAGTTGAATGCAATCATCACAGAGAAGTTTCTGAGAAGGCTTTCTCTCCAGTTTTTATGTGACCATAATTCGTTTTCCACCACAGGCCTGAAAGCGCTCCAAATGTCCACTTGCAGACACTACGAAAAGCATGTTTCAGAACTACTCTATGAAAAGCAACGTGAAACTCTGGGAGTTGAACACAAACATCACAGAGAAGTTTCTGAGAATGCTTCTGTTTTAGTTCTGTGCGTTTTATCCCGTTTCCAACGAAATCCTCAGAGAGGCCCAAATATCCACTTGCAGATTCCACAGAAAGAGTGATTGGAAACTGCTGTTTGAAAAGGAACCTTCAACTCTGTGAGTTGAATGCAATCATCACAAAGAAGTTTCTGACAATGCTTCTGTTTTAGTTCTGTGCGGTTTATCCCGTTTCCAACGAAATCCTCAGAGAGGACCAAACATCCACTTGCAGTTTCTACAAAAAGAGTGTTTCAAAGCTGCACTATCAAAGAAAGGTTCAGCACTGTGAGTTGAATGCAAACATCACGAAGAGGGCTCTGAGAATTCTTCTGTTTAGTTCTGTGCGGTTTATCCCGTTTCCAACGAAATCCTCAGAGAGGACCAAATATCCACTTGCAGTTTCTACAAGAAGAGTGTTTCAAAGCTGAACTATCAAAGAAAGGTTCAGCACTGTGAGTTGAATGCAAACATCACGAAGAGGGTTCTGAGAATGCTTCTGTCTTCTTTCTATAGGAAGTTATTTCCTTTACTACGGTAGGCCTCAAAGAAGTGCAATTATCCCCTTGCAGTTTCTACAAAAAGAGTGTTTCAAACCTGAACTATCAAAGAAAGGTTCCACACTGTGAGTTGAATGCAGACATCACGAAGAAGGTTCTGAGAATGCTTCTGTTTAGTCAGCTGAAATTATCCCGTTTCCAACGAATTCCTCAGAGAGGTCCAAATATGCACTTGCAGATTCTGCAGAAAGTGTGTTTCTAAACTGCTACATCGCAAGGAATGTTCAGCTCTGTGAGTTCCACTCAATCATCCCAAAGAATTTTCTGAGAAAGCTTCTGTCTAGATGTCGTGTGAAGATATACCCGTTTCGAACGAAGGACACAGAGTGGTCCAAATATCCACTTGTAGATCCTGCAAAAAGAGTGTTTCAAACGTGAACTTTGAAAGGAAAGTTCAACTCTGGGATTTGAATGCAAACATCACAAAGAAGATTCTGAGACTGCTTCTGTATAGTTTTTATGTGAAGATGATTCCGTTTCCAACGAAATCTTCAAAGAGGTCTACATGTCCCCTTGCAGATGCCACAGAAAGAGAGTTTCAAAACTGCGCTCTCAAAAGGAGTGTTCAACTCCGTGAGTTGAATGCAGTCATCACAGAGAAGCTTCTGAGAATGCTTCTGTCTAGTATTTAGGTGAAGATATTTCCTTTTCCACCACAAACCACAAAGCCCTCCAAACGTCCACTTGCAGATTCTAGAAAAAGAGTGTTTCATAGCTGCTCTTTCCAAAGGAAAGTTCAACTCTGGGAGTTGAATACAAACATCACCAAAAAGTTCCTGAGAATGCATCTGTCTAGTTTTTCTATGAAGCTATTCCCTTTACTACCACAGGCCTCAAAGCGCTCCAAATCTCCACTTGCACATTCCACAACAAGAGTGTTTCCAAACTGCTCTATCAATAGGAATGTTCAACTCTGTGAGGTGAATGCAATCATCACAAAGCAGTTTCTGAGAATGCTTCCGTTTAGTTAGGTGCAGTTATCCCGTTTCCAACGAAATCCTCAGAGAGGTCCAAATATCCACTTGTAGATTCTACAAAAAGTGTGTCTCAAACCTGCTCCATCCAAAGGAATGGTCAGCTCTGTGATTTAAACTCAATCATCACAAAGTATTTTCTGAGAATGCTTCTGTCTAGATTTTATGCGAAGATATACCCGTTTCGAACGAAGGCCACAGAGTGGTCCAAATAGCCACTTGCAGATCCTACAGAAAGAGTGTTTCAAACCTGAACTATCAAAGGAAGGTTCAACTCTGGGATTTGAATGCAAACATCACCAAGAAGTTTCTGAGAATGCTTCTGTTTAGTTTTTATGTGAAGATATTCCCGTTTCCAAAGACATCTTCGGAGAGGTCCACATATCCACTTGCAGATTCCACAAAAAGAGAGTTTCAACACTGCTCTATCCATAGGAGGGTTCAACTCTGTGAGTTGAATGCAATCATCACAGAGAAGTTTCTGAGAAGGCTTCTCTCCAGTTTTTATGTGACCATAATTCGTTTTCCACCACAGGCCTGAAAGCGCTCCAAATGTCCACTTGCAGACACTACGAAAAGCATGTTTCAGAACTACTCTATGAAAAGCAACGTGAAACTCTGGGAGTTGAACACAAACATCACAGAGAAGTTTCTGAGAATGCTTCTGTTTTAGTTCTGTGCGTTTTATCCCGTTTCCAACGAAATCCTCAGAGAGGCCCAAATATCCACTTGCAGATTCCACAGAAAGAGTGATTGGAAACTGCTGTTTGAAAAGGAACCTTCAACTCTGTGAGTTGAATGCAATCATCACAAAGAAGTTTCTGACAATGCTTCTGTTTTAGTTCTGTGCGGTTTATCCCGTTTCCAACGAAATCCTCAGAGAGGACCAAACATCCACTTGCAGTTTCTACAAAAAGAGTGTTTCAAAGCTGCACTATCAAAGAAAGGTTCAGCACTGTGAGTTGAATGCAAACATCACGAAGAGGGCTCTGAGAATTCTTCTGTTTAGTTCTGTGCGGTTTATCCCGTTTCCAACGAAATCCTCAGAGAGGACCAAATATCCACTTGCAGTTTCTACAAGAAGAGTGTTTCAAAGCTGAACTATCAAAGAAAGGTTCAGCACTGTGAGTTGAATGCAAACATCACGAAGAGGGTTCTGAGAATGCTTCTGTCTTCTTTCTATAGGAAGTTATTTCCTTTACTACGGTAGGCCTCAAAGAAGTGCAATTATCCCCTTGCAGTTTCTACAAAAAGAGTGTTTCAAACCTGAACTATCAAAGAAAGGTTCCACACTGTGAGTTGAATGCAGACATCACGAAGAAGGTTCTGAGAATGCTTCTGTTTAGTCAGCTGAAATTATCCCGTTTCCAACGAATTCCTCAGAGAGGTCCAAATATGCACTTGCAGATTCTGCAGAAAGTGTGTTTCTAAACTGCTACATCGCAAGGAATGTTCACCTCTGTGAGTTCCACTCAATCATCCCAAAGAATTTTCTGAGAAAGCTTCTGTCTAGATGTCATGTGAAGATATACCCGTTTCGAACGAAGGACACAGAGTGGTCCAAATATCCACTTGTAGATCCTGCAAAAAGAGTGTTTCAAACGTGAACTTTGAAAGGCAAGTTCAACTCTGGGATTTGAATGCAAACATCACAAAGAAGATTCTGAGACTGCTTCTGTATAGTTTTTATGTGAAGATGATTCCGTTTCCAACGAAATCTTCAAAGAGGTCTACATGTCCCCTTGCAGATGCCACAGAAAGAGAGTTTCAAAACTGCGCTCTCAAAAGGAGTGTTCAACTCCGTGAGTTGAATGCAGTCATCACAGAGAAGCTTCTGAGGATGCTTCTATCTAGTATTTAGGTGAAGATATTTCCTTTTCCACCACAAACCACAAAGCCCTCCAAACGTCCACTTGCAGATTCTAGAAAAAGAGTGTTTCATAGCTGCTCTTTCCAAAGGAAAGTTCAACTCTGGGAGTTGAATACAAACATCACCAAAAAGTTCCTGAGAATGCATCTGTCTAGTTTTTCTATGAAGCTATTCCCTTTACTACCATAGGCCTCAAAGCGCTCCAAATCTCCACTTGCACATTCCACAACAAGAGTGTTTCCAAACTGCTCTATCAATAGGAATGTTCAACTCTGTGAGGTGAATGCAATCATCACAAAGCAGTTTCTGAGAATGCTTCCGTTTAGTTAGGTGCAGTTATCCCGTTTCCAACGAAATCCTCAGAGAGGTCCAAATATCCACTTGTAGATTCTACAAAAAGTGTGTCTCAAACCTGCTCCATCCAAAGGAATGGTCAGCTCTGTGATTTAAACTCAATCATCACAAAGTATTTTCTGAGAATGCTTCTGTCTAGATTTTATGCGAAGATATACCCGTTTCGAACGAAGGCCACAGAGTGGTCCAAATAGCCACTTGCAGATCCTACAGAAAGAGTGTTTCAAACCTGAACTATCAAAGGAAGGCTCAACTCTGGGATTTGAATGCAAACATCACCAAGAAGTTTCTGAGAATGCTTCTGTTTAGTTTTTATGTGAAGATATTCCCGTTTCCAAAGACATCTTCGGAGAGGTCCACATATCCACTTGCAGATTCCACAAAAAGAGAGTTTCAACACTGCTCTATCCATAGGAGGGTTCAACTCTGTGAGTTGAATGCAATCATCACAGAGAAGTTTCTGAGAAGGCTTCTCTCCAGTTTTTATGTGACCATAATTCGTTTTCCACCACAGGCCTGAAAGCGCTCCAAATGTCCACTTGCAGACACTACGAAAAGCATGTTTCAGAACTACTCTATGAAAAGCAACGTGAAACTCTGGGAGTTGAACACAAACATCACAGAGAAGTTTCTGAGAATGCTTCTGTTTAGCTTTTCTGGGAAGATTCTCCCGTTTCCAACGAAATCTTCAAAGAGGTCGAAATATCCACTTGCAGATTCCACAGAAAGAGTGATTGGAAACTGCTGTTTGAAAAGGAACCTTCAACTCTGTGAGTTGAATGCAGTCATCACAAAGAAGTTTCTGACAATGCTTCTATCTAGCTTTTACGGGAAGATAATTCCTTTTCCACCCCAGGCCTCAAAGCTCCCCAAATGTCCACTTGCACATTCTGGAAAAAGAGTGTTTCAAAGCTTCTCTCTCGAAAGGAAAGTTCAACTCTGTGAGTTGAATGCAAGCATCACAAAGAAGTTTCTGAGAATGCTACTGTCTAGCTTTTATATGAAGCTATTTCCTTTACTACCATAGGCCTCAAAGCGGTCCATATCTCCACTTGCAGATTCTACACAAAGAGAGTTTCCAAACTGCTCTGTCAAAGGGAATGTTCAACTCTGTGACTTGAATGCAATCATCACAAAGTAGTTTCTGAGAATGCTTCTGTTTTAGTTCTGTGCGGTTTATCCCGTTTCCAACGAAATCCTCAGAGAGGCCCAAATATCCACTTGCAGATTCTACAAATAGTGTGTTTCGAAACTGCTCCATCCAAAGGAATGTTCAGCTCTGTGAGTTAAACTCAGTCGTCACCAAGAGTTTTCTGTGAATGCTTCTGTTTAGTTCTGTGCGTTTTATCCCTTTTCCAACGAAATCCTCAGAGAGGACCAAATATCCATTTGCAGTTTCTACAAAAAGAGTGTTTCAAAGCTGAACTATCAAAGAAAGGTTCAGCACTGTGAGTTGAATGCAAACATCACGAAGAGGGTTCTGAGAATGCTTCTGTCTTCTTTTTAGAGGAAGTTATTTCCTTTACTACGGTACTCCTCAAAGAGTGCAATTATCCCCTTGCAGTTTCTACAAAAAGAGTGTTTCAAACCTGAACTATCAAGGAAAGGTTCCACACTGTGAGTTGAATGCAGACATCACGAAGAAGGTTCTGAGAATGCTTCTGTTTAGTCAGCTGAAATTATCCCGTTTCCAACGAATTCCTCAGAGAGGTCCAAATATGCACTTGCAGATTCTGCAGAAAGTGTGTTTCTAAACTGCTACATCGCAAGGAATGCTCAGCTCTGTGAGTTCAAGTCAATCATCCCAAACAATTTTCTGAGAAAGCTTCTGTCTAGATGTCATGTGAAGATATACCCGTTTCGAACGAAGGACACAGAGTGGTCCAAATATCCACTTGTAGATCCTGCAAAAAGAGTGTTTCAAACGTGAACTTTGAAAGGAAAGTTCAACTCTGGGATTTGAATGCAAACATCACAAAGAAGATTCTGAGACTGCTTCTGTATAGTTTTTATGTGAAGATGATTCCGTTTCCAACGAAATCTTCAAAGAGGTCTACATGTCCCCTTGCAGATGCCACAGAAAGAGAGTTTCAAAACTGCGCTCTCAAAAGGAGTGTTCAACTCCGTGAGTTGAATGCAGTCATCACAGAGAAGCTTCTGAGAATGCTTCTATCTAGTATTTAGGTGAAGACATTTCCTTTTCCACCACAAACCACAAAGCCCTCCAAACGTCCACTTGCAGATTCTAGAAAAAGAGTGTTTCATAGCTGCTCTTTCCAAAGGAAAGTTCAACTCTGGGAGTTGAATACAAACATCACCAAAAAGTTCCTGAGAATGCATCTGTCTAGTTTTTCTATGAAGCTATTCCCTTTACTACCATAGGCCTCAAAGCGCTCCAAATCTCCACTTGCACATTCCACAACAAGAGTGTTTCCAAACTGCTCTATCAATAGGAATGTTCAACTCTGTGAGGTGAATGCAATCATCACAAAGCAGTTTCTGAGAATGCTTCCGTTTAGTTAGGTGCAGTTATCCCGTTTCCAACGAAATCCTCAGAGAGGTCCAAATATCCACTTGTAGATTCTACAAAAAGTGTGTCTCAAACCTGCTCCATCCAAAGGAATGTTCAGCTCTGTGAGTTCAACTCAATCATCACAAAGTATTTTCTGAGAATGCTTCTGTCTAGATTTTATGCGAAGATGTACCCGTTTCGAACGAAGACCACAGAGTGGTCCAAATATCCACTTGCAGATCCTACAAAAAGAGTGTTTCAAACCTGAACTCTCAAAGGAAGGTTCAACTCTGGGATTTGAATGCAAACATCATCAAGAAGTTTCTGAGAATGCTTCTGTTTAGTTTTTATGTGAAGATATTCCCGTTTCCAAAGACATCTTCGGAGAGGTCCACATATCCGCTTGCAGATTCCACAAAAAGAGAGTTTCAACACTTCTCTATCCATAGGAGGGTTCAACTCTGTGAGTTGAATGCAATCATCACAGAGAAGTTTCTGAGAAGGCTTCTCTCCAGTTTTTATGTGACCATAATTCGTTTTCCACCACAGGCCTGAAAGCGCTCCAAATGTCCACTTGCAGACACTACGAAAAGCATGTTTCAGAACTACTCTATGAAAAGCAATGTGAAACTCTGGGAGTTGAACACAAACATCACAGAGAAGTTTCTGAGAATGCTTCTGTTTTAGTTCTGTGCGTTTTATCCCGTTTCCAACGAAATCCTCAGAGAGGCCCAAATATCCACTTGCAGATTCCACAGAAAGAGTGATTGGAAACTGCTGTTTGAAAAGGAACCTTCAACTCTGTGAGTTGAATGCAATCATCACAAAGAAGTTTCTGACAATGCTTCTGTTTTAGTTCTGTGCGGTTTATCCCGTTTCCAACGAAATCCTCAGAGAGGACCAAATATCCACTTGCAGTTTCTACAAAAAGAGTGTTTCAAAGCTGCACTATCAAAGAAAGGTTCAGCACTGTGAGTTGAATGCAAACATCACGAAGAGGGCTCTGAGAATTCTTCTGTTTAGTTCTGTGCGGTTTATCCCGTTTCCAACGAAATCCTCAGAGAGGACCAAATATCCACTTGCAGTTTCTACAAGAAGAGTGTTTCAAAGCTGAACTATCAAAGAAAGGTTCAGCACTGTGAGTTGAATGCAAACATCACGAAGAGGGTTCTGAGAATGCTTCTGTCTTCTTTCTATAGGAAGTTATTTCCTTTACTACGGTAGGCCTCAAAGAAGTGCAATTATCCCCTTGCAGTTTCTACAAAAAGAGTGTTTCAAACCTGAACTATCAAAGAAAGGTTCCACACTGTGAGTTGAATGCAGACATCACGAAGAAGGTTCTGAGAATGCTTCTGTTTAGTCAGCTGAAATTATCCCGTTTCCAACGAATTCCTCAGAGAGGTCCAAATATGCACTTGCAGATTCTGCAGAAAGTGTGTTTCTAAACTGCTACATCGCAAGGAATGTTCAGCTCTGTGAGTTCCACTCAATCATCCCAAAGAATTTTCTGAGAAAGCTTCTGTCTAGATGTCGTGTGAAGATATACCCGTTTCGAACGAAGGACACAGAGTGGTCCAAATATCCACTTGTAGATCCTGCAAAAAGAGTGTTTCAAACGTGAACTTTGAAAGGAAAGTTCAACTCTGGGATTTGAATGCAAACATCACAAAGAAGATTCTGAGACTGCTTCTGTATAGTTTTTATGTGAAGATGATTCCGTTTCCAACGAAATCTTCAAAGAGGTCTACATGTCCCCTTGCAGATGCCACAGAAAGAGAGTTTCAAAACTGCGCTCTCAAAAGGAGTGTTCAACTCCGTGAGTTGAATGCAGTCATCACAGAGAAGCTTCTGAGAATGCTTCTATCTAGTATTTAGGTGAAGATATTTCCTTTTCCACCACAAACCACAAAGCCCTCCAAACGTCCACTTGCAGATTCTAGAAAAAGAGTGTTTCATAGCTGCTCTTTCCAAAGGAAAGTTCAACTCTGGGAGTTGAATACAAACATCACCAAAAAGTTCCTGAGAATGCATCTGTCTAGTTTTTCTATGAAGCTATTCCCTTTACTACCATAGGCCTCAAAGCGCTCCAAATCTCCACTTGCACATTCCACAACAAGAGTGTTTCCAAACTGCTCTATCAATAGGAATGTTCAACTCTGTGAGGTGAATGCAATCATCACAAAGCAGTTTCTGAGAATGCTTCCGTTTAGTTAGGTGCAGTTATCGCGTTTCCAACGAAATCCTCAGAGAGGTCCAAATATCCACTTGTAGATTCTACAAAAAGTGTGTCTCAAACCTGCTCCATCCAAAGGAATGTTCAGCTCTGTGAGTTAAACTCAATCATCACAAAGTATTTTCTGAGAATGCTTCTGTCTAGATTTTATGTGAAGATGTACCCGTTTCGAACGAAGGCCACAGAGTGGTCCAAATATCCACTTGCAGATCCTACAAAAAGAGTGTTTCAAACCTGAACTATCACAGGAAGGTTCAACTCTGGGATTTGAATGCAAACATCACCAAGAAGTTTCTGAGAATGCTTCTGTTTAGTTTTTATGTGAAGATATTCCCGTTTCCAAAGACATCTTCGGAGAGGTCCACATATCCACTTGCAGATTCCACAAAAAGAGAGTTTCAACAATGCTCTATCCATAGGAGGGTTCAAATCTGTGAGTTGAATGCAATCATCACAGAGAAGTTTCTGAGAAGTCTTCTCTCCAGTTTTTATGGGACCATAATTCGTTTTCCACCACAGGCCTGAAAGCGCTCCAAATGTCCACTTGCAGACACTACGAAAAGCATGTTTCAGAACTACTCTATGAAAAGCAATGTGAAACTCTGGGAGTTGAACACAAACATCACAGAGAAGTTTCTGAGAATGCTTCTGTTTAGCTTTTCTGTGAAGATTCTCCCGTTTCCAACGAAATCTTCAAAGAGGTCCAAATATCCACTTGCAGATTCCACAGAAAGAGTGTTTGGAAACTGCTGTTTGTAAAGGAACCTTCATCTCTGTGAGTTGAATGCAATCATCACAAAGAAGTTTCTGACAATGCTTCTATCTAGCTTTTACGGGAAGATAATTCCTTTTCCACCACAGGCCTCAAAGCCCTCCAAATGTCCACTTGCACATTCAGGAAAAAGAGTGTTTCAAAGCTTCTCTCTCGAAAGGAAAGTTTAACTCTGTGAGTTGAATGCAAGCATCACAAAGAAGTTTCTGAGAATGCTACTGCCTAGCTTTTATATGAAGCTGTTTCCTTTACTACCATAGGCCTCAAAGCGGTCCATATCTCCACTTGCAGATTCTACACAAAGAGAGTTTCCAAACTGCTCTGTCAAAGGGAATGTTCAACTCTGTGACTTGAATGCAATCATCACAAAGTAGTTTCTGAGAATGCTTCTGTTTTAGTTCTGTGCGGTTTATCCCGTTTCCAACGAAATCCTCAGAGAGGCCCAAATATCCACTTGCAGATTCTAGAAATAGTGTGTTTCGAAACTGCTCCATCCAAAGGAATGTTCAGCTCTGTGAGTTAAACTCAGTCGTCACCAAGTGTTTTCTGTGAATGCTTCTGTTTAGTTCTGTGCAGTTTATCCCGTTTCCAACGAAATCCTCAGGAGGAGGACCAAATATCCACTTGCAGTTTCTACAAAAAGAGTGTTTCAAAGCTGAACTATCAAATAAAGGTTCAGCACTGTGAGTTGAATGCAAACATCACGAAGAGGGTTCTGAGAATGCTTCTGTCTTCTTTTTATAGGAAGTTATTTCCATTACTACGGTAGGCCTCAAAGAAGTGCAATTATCCCCTTGCAGTTTCCACAAAAAGAGTGTTTCAAACCTGAACTATCAAAGAAAGGTTCCACACTGTGAGTTGAATGCAGACATCTCGAAGAAGGTTCTGAGAATGCTTCTGTTTAGTCAGCTGAAATTATCCCGTTTCCAACGAATTCCTCAGAGAGGTCCAAATATGCACTTGCAGATTCTGCAGAAAGTGTGTTTCTAAACTGCTACATCGCAAGGAATGTTCAGCACTGTGAGTTCCACTCAATCATCCCAAAGAATTTTCCTGAGAAAGCTTCTGTCTAGATGTCGTGTGAAGTTATACCCGTTTCGAACGAAGGACACAGAGTGGTCCAAATATCCACTTGTAGATCCTGCAAAAAGAGTGTTTCAAACGTGAACTTTGAAAGGAAAGTTCAACTCTGGGATTTGAATGCAAACATCACAAAGAAGATTCTGAGACTGCTTCTGTATAGTTTTTATGTGAAGATGATTCCGTTTCCAACGAAATCTTCAAAGAGGTCTACATGTCCCCTTGCAGATGCCACAGAAAGAGAGTTTCAAAACTGCGCTCTCAAAAGGAGTGTTCAACTCCGTGAGTTGAATGCAGTCATCACAGAGAAGCTTCTGAGAATGCTTCTATCTAGTATTTAGGTGAAGATATTTCCTTTTCCACCACAAACCACAAAGCCCTCCAAACGTCCACTTGCAGATTCTAGAAAAAGAGTGTTTCATAGCTGCTCTTTCCAAAGGAAAGTTCAACTCTGGGAGTTGAATACAAACATCACCAAAAAGAAGTTCCTGAGAATGCATCTGTCTAGTTTTTCTATGAAGCTATTCCCTTTACTACCACAGGCCTCAAAGCGCTCCAAATCTCCACTTGCACATTCCACAACAAGAGTGTTTCCAAACTGCTCTATCAATAGGAATGTTCAACTCTGTGAGGTGAATGCAATCATCACAAAGCAGTTTCTGAGAATGCTTCCGTTTAGTTAGGTGCAGTTATCCCGTTTCCAACGAAATCCTCAGAGAGGTCCAAATATCCACTTGTAGATTCTACAAAAAGTGTGTCTCAAACCTGCTCCATCCAAAGGAATGGTCAGCTCTGTGATTTAAACTCAATCATCACAAAGTATTTTCTGAGAATGCTTCTGTCTAGATTTTATGCGAAGATATACCCGTTTCGAACGAAGGCCACAGAGTGGTCCAAATAGCCACTTGCAGATCCTACAAAAAGAGTGTTTCAAACCTGAACTATCAAAGGAAGGTTCAACTCTGGGATTTGAATGCAAACATCACCAAGAAGTTTCTGAGAATGCTTCTGTTTAGTTTTTATGTGAAGATATTCCCGTTTCCAAAGACATCTTCGGAGAGGTCCACATATCCACTTGCAGATTCCACAAAAAGAGAGTTTCAACACTGCTCTATCCATAGGAGGGTTCAACTCTGTGAGTTGAATGCAATCACCACAGAGAAGTTTCTGAGAAGGCTTCTCTCCAGTTTTTATGTGACCATAATTCGTTTTCCA
Source organism: Homo sapiens (assembly GCF_000001405.40). Classification (NCBI taxonomy): domain Eukaryota; kingdom Metazoa; phylum Chordata; class Mammalia; order Primates; family Hominidae; genus Homo; species Homo sapiens. The sequence continues at coordinate 23,826,444 of NC_000017.11, read as the reverse complement.
CCACAGGCCTGAAAGCGCTCCAAACGTCCACTTGCAGACACTACGAAAAGCATGTTTCAGAACTACTCTATGAAAAGCAACGTGAAACTCTGGGAGTTGAACACAAACATCACAGAGAAGTTTCTGAGAATGCTTCTGTTTTAGTTCTGTGCGTTTTATCCCGTTTCCAACGAAATCCTCAGAGAGGCCCAAATATCCACTTGCAGATTCCACAGAAAGAGTGATTGGAAACTGCTGTTTGAAAAGGAACCTTCAACTCTGTGAGTTGAATGCAATCATCACAAAGAAGTTTCTGACAATGCTTCTGTTTTAGTTCTGTGCGGTTTATCCCGTTTCCAACGAAATCCTCAGAGAGGACCAAACATCCACTTGCAGTTTCTACAAAAAGAGTGTTTCAAAGCTGCACTATCAAAGAAAGGTTCAGCACTGTGAGTTGAATGCAAACATCACGAAGAGGGCTCTGAGAATTCTTCTGTTTAGTTCTGTGCGGTTTATCCCGTTTCCAACGAAATCCTCAGAGAGGACCAAATATCCACTTGCAGTTTCTACAAGAAGAGTGTTTCAAAGCTGAACTATCAAAGAAAGGTTCAGCACTGTGAGTTGAATGCAAACATCACGAAGAGGGTTCTGAGAATGCTTCTGTCTTCTTTCTATAGGAAGTTATTTCCTTTACTACGGTAGGCCTCAAAGAAGTGCAATTATCCCCTTGCAGTTTCTACAAAAAGAGTGTTTCAAACCTGAACTATCAAAGAAAGGTTCCACACTGTGAGTTGAATGCAGACATCACGAAGAAGGTTCTGAGAATGCTTCTGTTTAGTCAGCTGAAATTATCCCGTTTCCAACGAATTCCTCAGAGAGGTCCAAATATGCACTTGCAGATTCTGCAGAAAGTGTGTTTCTAAACTGCTACATCGCAAGGAATGTTCAGCTCTGTGAGTTCCACTCAATCATCCCAAAGAATTTTCTGAGAAAGCTTCTGTCTAGATGTCGTGTGAAGATATACCCGTTTCGAACGAAGGACACAGAGTGGTCCAAATATCCACTTGTAGATCCTGCAAAAAGAGTGTTTCAAACGTGAACTTTGAAAGGAAAGTTCAACTCTGGGATTTGAATGCAAACATCACAAAGAAGATTCTGAGACTGCTTCTGTATAGTTTTTATGTGAAGATGATTCCGTTTCCAACGAAATCTTCAAAGAGGTCTACATGTCCCCTTGCAGATGCCACAGAAAGAGAGTTTCAAAACTGCGCTCTCAAAAGGAGTGTTCAACTCCGTGAGTTGAATGCAGTCATCACAGAGAAGCTTCTGAGAATGCTTCTATCTAGTATTTAGGTGAAGATATTTCCTTTTCCACCACAAACCACAAAGCCCTCCAAACGTCCACTTGCAGATTCTAGAAAAAGAGTGTTTCATAGCTGCTCTTTCCAAAGGAAAGTTCAACTCTGGGAGTTGAATACAAACATCACCAAAAAGTTCCTGAGAATGCATCTGTCTAGTTTTTCTATGAAGCTATTCCCTTTACTACCATAGGCCTCAAAGCGCTCCAAATCTCCACTTGCACATTCCACAACAAGAGTGTTTCCAAACTGCTCTATCAATAGGAATGTTCAACTCTGTGAGGTGAATGCAATCATCACAAAGCAGTTTCTGAGAATGCTTCCGTTTAGTTAGGTGCAGTTATCGCGTTTCCAACGAAATCCTCAGAGAGGTCCAAATATCCACTTGTAGATTCTACAAAAAGTGTGTCTCAAACCTGCTCCATCCAAAGGAATGTTCAGCTCTGTGAGTTAAACTCAATCATCACAAAGTATTTTCTGAGAATGCTTCTGTCTAGATTTTATGTGAAGATGTACCCGTTTCGAACGAAGGCCACAGAGTGGTCCAAATATCCACTTGCAGATCCTACAAAAAGAGTGTTTCAAACCTGAACTATCACAGGAAGGTTCAACTCTGGGATTTGAATGCAAACATCACCAAGAAGTTTCTGAGAATGCTTCTGTTTAGTTTTTATGTGAAGATATTCCCGTTTCCAAAGACATCTTCGGAGAGGTCCACATATCCACTTGCAGATTCCACAAAAAGAGAGTTTCAACAATGCTCTATCCATAGGAGGGTTCAAATCTGTGAGTTGAATGCAATCATCACAGAGAAGTTTCTGAGAAGGCTTCTCTCCAGTTTTTATGGGACCATAATTCGTTTTCCACCACAGGCCTGAAAGCGCTCCAAATGTCCACTTGCAGACACTACGAAAAGCATGTTTCAGAACTACTCTATGAAAAGCAATGTGAAACTCTGGGAGTTGAACACAAACATCACAGAGAAGTTTCTGAGAATGCTTCTGTTTAGCTTTTCTGTGAAGATTCTCCCGTTTACAACGAAATCTTCAAAGAGGTCCAAATATCCACTTGCAGATTCCACAGAAAGAGTGTTTGGAAACTGCTGTTTGTAAAGGAACCTTCATCTCTGTGAGTTGAATGCAATCATCACAAAGAAGTTTCTGACAATGCTTCTATCTAGCTTTTACGGGAAGTTAATTCCTTTTCCACCACAGGCCTCAAAGCCCTCCAAATGTCCACTTGCAGATTCTGGAAAAAGAGTGTTTCAAAGCTTCTCTCTCGAAAGGAAAGTTCAACTCTGTGAGTTGAATGCAAGCATCACAAAGAAGTTTCTGAGAATGCTACTGTCTAGCTTTTATATGAAGCTATTTCCTTTACTACCATAGGCCTCAAAGCGGTCCATATCTCCACTTGCAGATTCTACACAAAGAGAGTTTCCAAACTGCTCTGTCAAAGGGAATGTTCAACTCTGTGACTTGAATGCAATCATCACAAAGTAGTTTCTGAGAATGCTTCTGTTGAGTTCTGTGCGGTTTATCCCGTTTCCAACGAAATCCTCAGAGAGGCCCAAATATCCACTTGCACATTCTACAAATAGTGTGTTTCGAAACTGCTCCATCCAAAGGAATGTTCAGCTCTGTGAGTTAAACTCAGTCGTCACCAAGAGTTTTCTGTGAATGCTTCTGTTTTAGTTCTGTGCGGTTTATCCCGTTTCCAACGAAATCCTCAGAGAGGTCCAAATATCTACTTGCAGTTTCTACAGAAAGACCGTTTCAAACCTGAACTATCAAAGAAAGGTTCAACACTGTGAGTTGAATGCAAACATCACGAAGAAGGTTCTGAGAATGCTTCTGTTTAGTTCTGTGCGGTTTATCCCGTTTCCAACGAAATCCTCAGAGAGGACCAAATATCCACTTGCAGTTTCTACAAAAAGAGTGTTTCAAAGCTGAACTATCAAAGAAAGGTTCAGCACCGTGGGTTGAATGCAAACATCACGAAGAGGGTTCTGAGAATGCTTCTGTCTTCTTTTTGTAGGAAGTTATCTCCTTTACTACGGTAGGCCTCAAAGAAGTGCAATGATTCCCTTGCAGTTTCTACAAAAAGAGTGTTTCAAACCTGAACTATCAAAGAAAGGTTCCACACTGTGAGTTGAACGCAGACATCACGAAGAAGGTTCTGAGAATGCTTCTGTTTAGTCAGCTGAAATTATCCCGTTTCCAACGAATTCCTCAGAGAGGTCCACATATGCACTTGCAGATTCTGCAGAAAGTGTGTTTCTAAACTGCTACATCACAAGGAGTGTTCAGCTCTGTTTGCTCAACTCAATCATCCCAAAGAATTTTCTGAGAAAGCTTCTGTCTAGATGTCATGTGAAGATATACCCGTTTCGAACGAAGGACACAGAGTGGTCCAAATATCCACTTGTAGATCCTGCAAAAAGAGTGTTTCAAACGTGAACTTGGAAAGGAAAGTTCAACTCAGGGATTTGAATGCAAACATCACAAAGAAGATTCTGAGACTGCTTCTGTATAGTTTTTATGTGAAGATGATTCCGTTTCCAACGAAATCTTCAAAGAGGTCTACATGTCCCCTTGCAGATGCCACAGAAAGAGAGTTCCAAAACTGCGCTCTCAAAAGGAGTGTTCAACTCCGTGAGTTGAATGCAGTCATCACAGAGAAGCTTCTGAGAATGCTTCTATCTAGTATTTAGGTGAAGATATTTCCTTTTCCACCAAAAACCACAAAGCCCTCCAAACGTCCACTTGCAGATTCTAGAAAAAGAGTGTTTCATAGCTGCTCTTTCCAAAGGAAAGTTCAACTCTGGGAGTTGAATACAAACATCACCAAAAAGTTCCTGAGAATGCATCTGTCTAGTTTTTCTATGAAGCTATTCCCTTTACTACCATAGGCCTCAAAGCGCTCCAAATCTCCACTTGCACATTCCACAAGAAGAGTGTTTCCAAACTGCTCTATCAATAGGAATGTTCAACTCTGTGAGGTGAATGCAATCATCACAAAGCAGTTTCTGAGAATGCTTCCGTTTAGTTAGGTGCAGTTATCCCGTTTCCAACGAAATCCTCAGAGAGGTCCAAATATCCACTTGTAGATTCTACAAAAAGTGTGTCTCAAACCTGCTCCATCCAAAGGAATGTTCAGCTCTGTGAGTTCAACTCAATCATCACAAAGTATTTTCTGAGAATGCTTCTGTCTAGATTTTATGCGAAGATGTACCCGTTTCGAACGAAGGCCACAGAGTGGTCCAAATATCCACTTGCAGATCCTACAAAAAGAGTGTTTCAAACCTGAACTCTCAAAGGAAGGTTCAACTCTGGGATTTGAATGCAAACATCACCAAGAAGTTTCTGAGAATGCTTCTGTTTAGTTTTTATGTGAAGATATTCCCGTTGCCAAAGACATCTTCGGAGAGGTCCACATATCCGCTTGCAGATTCCACAAAAAGAGAGTTTCAACACTGCTCTATCCATAGGAGGGTTCAACTCTGTGAGTTGAATGCAATCATCACAGAGAAGTTTCTGAGAAGGCTTCTCTCCAGTTTTTATGTGACCATAATTCGCTTTCCACCACAGGCCTGAAAGCGCTCCAAATGTCCACTTGCAGACACTACGAAAAGCATGTTTCAGAACTACTCTATGAGAAGCAATGTGAAATTCTGGGAGTTGAACACAAACATCACAGAGAAGTTTCTGAGAATGCTTCTGTTTAGCTTTTCTGTGAAGATTCTCCCGTTTCCAACGAAATCTTCAAAGAGGTCCAAATATCCACTTGCAGATTCCACAGAAAGAGTGATTGGAAACTGCTCTTTGAAAAGGAACCTTCAACTCTGTGACTTGAATGCAATCATCACAAAGAAGTTTCTGACAATGCTTCTATCTAGCTTTTACGGGAAGATAATTCCTTTTCCACCACAGACCTCAAAGCCCTCCAAATGTCCACTTGCAGATTCTGGAAAAAGAGTGTTTCAAAGCTTCTCTCTCGAAAGGAAAGTTCAACTCTGTGAGTTGAATGCAAGCATCACAAAGAAGTTTCTGAGAATGCTACTGTCTAGCTTTTATATGAAGCTATTTCCTTTACTACCATAGGCCTCAAAGCGGTCCATATCTCCACTTGCAGATTCTACACAAAGAGAGTTTCCAAACTGCTCTGTCAAAGGGAATGTTCAACTCTGTGACTTGAATGCAATCATCACAAAGTAGTTTCTGAGAATGCTTCTGTTTAGTTCTGTGCGGTTTATCCCGTTTCCAACGAAATCCTCAGAGAGGCCCACATATCCACTTGCACCTTCTAGAAATAGTGTGTTTCGAAACTGCTCCATCCAAAGGAATGTTCAGCTCTGTGAGTTAAACTCAGTCGTCACCAAGAGTTTTCTGTGAATGCTTCTGTTTTAGTTCTGTGCGGTTTATCCCGTTTCCAACGAAATCCTCAGAGAGGTCCAAATATCTACTTGCAGTTTCTACAGAAAGACCGTTTCAAACCTGAACTATCAAAGAAAGGTTCAACACTGTGAGTTGAATGCAAACATCACGAAGAAGGTTCTGAGAATGCTTCTGTTTAGTTCTGTGCGGTTTATCCCGTTTCCAACGAAATCCTCAGAGAGGACCAAATATCCACTTGCAGTTTCTACAAAAAGAGTGTTTCAAAGCTGAACTATCAAAGAAAGGTTCAGCACCGTGAGTTGAATGCAAACATCACGAAGAGGGTTCTGAGAATGCTTCTGTCTTCTTTTTATAGGAAGTTATTTCCTTTACTACGGTAGGCCTCAAAGAAGTGCAATGATCCCCTTGCAGTTTCTACAAAAAGAGTGTTTCAAACCTGAACTATCAAAGAAAAGTTCCACACTGTGAGTTGAATGCAGACATCACGAAGAAGGTTCTGAGAATGCTTCTGTTTAGTCAGCTGAAATTATCCCGTTTCCAACGAATTCCTCAGAGAGGTCCACATATGCACTTGCAGATTCTGCAGAAAGGGTGTTTCTAAACTGCTACATCGCAAGGAGTGTTCAGCTCTGTTTGCTCAACTCAATCATCCCAAAGAATTTTCTGAGAAAGCTTCTGTCTAGATGTCATGTGAAGATATACCCGTTTCGAACGAAGGACACAGAGTGGTCCAAATATCCACTTGTAGATCCTGCAAAAAGAGTGTTTCAAACGTGAACTTTGAAAGGCAAGTTCAACTCTGGGATTTGAATGCAAACATCACAAAGAAGATTCTGAGACTGCTTCTGTATAGTTTTGATGTGAAGATGATTCCGTTTCCAACGAAATCTTCAAAGAGGTCTACATGTCCCCTTGCAGATGCCACAGAAAGAGAGTTCCAAAACTGCGCTCTCAAAAGGAGTGTTCAACTCCGTGAGTTGAATGCAGTCATCACAGAGAAGCTTCTGAGAATGCTTCTTTCTAGTATTTAGGTGAAGATATTTCCTTTTCCACCACAAACCACAAAGCCCTCCAAACGTCCACTTGCAGATTCTAGAAAAAGAGTGTTTCATAGCTGCTCTTTCCAAAGGAAAGTTCAACTCTGGGAGTTGAATACAAACATCACCAAAAAGTTCCTGAGAATGCATCTGTCTAGTTTTTCTATGAAGCTATTCCCTTTACTACCATAGGCCTCAAAGCGCTCCAAATCTCCACTTGCACATTCCACAAGAAGAGTGTTTCCAAACTGCTCTATCAATAGGAATGTTCAACTCTGTGAGGTGAATGCAATCATCACAAAGCAGTTTCTGAGAATGCTTCCGTTTAGTTAGGTGCAGTTATCCCGTTTCCAACGAAATCCTCAGAGAGGTCCAAATATCCACTTGTAGATTCTACAAAAAGTGTGTCTCAAACCTGCTCCATCCAAAGGAATGTTCAGCTCTGTGAGTTCAACTCAATCATCACAAAGTATTTTCTGAGAATGCTTCTGTCTAGATTTTATGCGAAGATGTACCCGTTTCGAACGAAGGCCACAGAGTGGTCCAATTATCCACTTGCAGATCCTACAAAAAGAGTGTTTCAAACCTGAACTCTCAAAGGAAGGTTCAACTCTGGGATTTGAATGCAAACATCACCAAGAAGTTTCTGAGAATGCTTCTGTTTAGTTTTTATGTGAAGATATTCCCGTTTCCAAAGACATCTTCGGAGAGGTCCACATATCCGCTTGCAGATTCCACAAAAAGAGAGTTTCAACACTGCTCTATCCATAGGAGGGTTCAACTCTGTGAGTTGAATGCAATCATCACAGAGAAGTTTCTGAGAAGGCTTCTCTCCAGTTTTTATGTGACCATAATTCGTTTTCCACCACAGGCCTGAAAGCGCTCCAAATGTCCACTTGCAGACACTACGAAAAGCATGTTTCAGAACTACTCTATGAGAAGCAATGTGAAACTCTGGGAGTTGAACACAAACATCACAGAGAAGTTTCTGAGAATGCTTCTGTTTAGCTTTTCTGTGAAGATTCTCCCGTTTCCAACGAAATCTTCAAAGAGGTCCAAATATCCACTTGCAGATTCCACAGAAAGAGTGATTGGAAACTGCTCTTTGAAAAGGAACCTTCAACTCTGTGACTTGAATGCAATCATCACAAAGAAGTTTCTGACAATGCTTCTATCTAGCTTTTACGGGAAGATAATTCCTTTTCCACCACAGGCCTCAAAGCCCTCCAAATGTCCACTTGCAGATTCTGGAAAAAGACTGTTTCAAAGCTTCTCTCTCGAAAGGAAAGTTCAACTCTGTGAGTTGAATGCAAGCATCACAAAGAAGTTTCTGAGAATGCTACTGTCTAGCTTTTATATGAAGCTATTTCCTTTACTACCATAGGCCTCAAAGCGGTCCATATCTCCACTTGCAGATTCTACACAAAGAGAGTTTCCAAACTGCTCTGTCAAAGGGAATGTTCAACTCTGTGACTTGAATGCAATCATCACAAAGTAGTTTCTGAGAATGCTTCTGTTTAGTTCTGTGCGGTTTATCCCGTTTCCAACGAAATCCTCAGAGAGGCCCACATATCCACTTGCACATTCTACAAATAGTGTGTTTCGAAACTGCTCCATCCAAAGGAATGTTCAGCTCTGTGAGTTAAACTCAGTCGTCACCAAGAGTTTTCTGTGAATGCTTCTGTTTTAGTTCTGTGCGGGTTATCCCGTTTCCAACGAAATCCTCAGAGAGGTCCAAATATCTACTTGCAGTTTCTACAGAAAGACCGTTTCAAACCTGAACTATCAAAGAAAGGTTCAACACTGTGAGTTGAATGCAAACATCACGAAGAAGGTTCCTGAGAATGCTTCTGTTTAGTTCTGTGCGGTTTATCCCGTTTCCAACGAAATCCTCAGAGAGGACCAAATATCCACTTGCAGTTTCTACAAGAAGAGTGTTTCAAAGCTGAACTATCAAAGAAAGGTTCAGCACTGTGAGTTGAATGCAGACATCACGAAGAGGGTTCTGAGAATGCTTCTGTCTTCTTTCTATAGGAAGTTATTTCCTTTACTACGGTAGGCCTCAAAGAAGTGCAATTATCCCCTTGCAGTTTCTACAAAAAGAGTGTTTCAAACCTGAACTATCAAAGAAAGGTTCCACACTGTGAGTTGAATGCAGACATCACGAAGAAGGTTCTGAGAATGCTTCTGTTTAGTCAGCTGAAATTATCCC